>NC_000002.12:151429011-151732042 GCF_000001405.40 Homo sapiens
AGTTGAAGTTAAGTAACTACTGAATTATTTTCATTTTAAGGGAACAGGAATAAATTTGTACTGAAAATAGAATTCACATACTAGGCATTGGAAATCACAAATATGAAATCTGTTTCACAGTATTTCAAAAACTGAACAAAGTGAAAAATAATGATTTGTGGCTTCCTTTTTTATTTATTTATTTATTTTTTGAGACAGGGTCGCTCTTGCCCAGGCTGGAGTGCAGTGATGGGATCTTGGTTCACTGCGACCCCCGCCTCCCAGGTTCAAGAGATTCTCCTGCCTCAGCCTCCCGAGTAGCTGGGATTACAGGTGCCCACCACTACACCCGGCTAATTTGTGCATTTTTAGTAGAGACAGGGTTTCACTATGTTGGCCAGGCTGGTCTGGAACTCCTGACCTCAAGTGATCCGCCCTCCTTGGCCTCCCAAATGCTGGGATTACAGGCGTGAGCCACTGCCCCCAGCCTATTATTTGTGGCTTTCTTACATGTTAGCACTGAGTTGAGTACTTTATGTATATTTTATTTAATCATCACAATAGACCTGAGATGTAATTATTAATCACTATTTTAGAGAGATTGAGTAATTATCCAGAGGTCACATAACCAGTAGATGATAGGAAGCAGTTGTGATTTCCATGGAATAAAAATATCAGTGATCGATGACCTTACTTCTTTCAGGATCTCTAGAAGAGTACCTAATAGTGGTTTAATATTGATATATGGAAGTCATTCTTTTTGATTTACTTTAACCTTATCTTCTTATTGTTCAATGGAGTTTTCTGATAATATATTCACAAGAAAGAATATTTAGCCCAAAACTGTGTTAGTATGAGTACTTAACTAGGTGGTAGTTAATCTTAGATTTAATTAACACTGTATGTTTACAAGAGCTGCTAAGTAATGTTGATTTTTATCCTATATTTTTCCTGCCAAAGACCATTATTTATCCCATTTCTTCCTCCTTTTAATATGTTTTGTATTGTGATTATTTGCATTAATGTATAATAACTTTTTTTTTTTTTTGAGACGGAGTTTCGCTCTGTCGTCCAGGCTGGAGTGCAGTGGCACAATCTCGGCTCACTGCAAGCTCCGCCTCCTGGGTTCACACCATTCTTCTGCCTCAGCCTCCCGATTAGTTGGGATTACAGGTGCTCGTCACCACGCCCAGCTAATTTTTTTGTATTTTTAGTAGAGACGGGGTTTCACCGTGTTAGCCAGGATGGTCTTGATCCCCTGACCTGGTGATCTGCCCGCCTCAGCCTCCCAAAGTGCTGGGATTCCAGGTGTGAGGTACTGCGCCCGGCCTTTTTTTTCTTTTTTGTTTGAGATGGAGTCTCACTGTGTTGCTCGGGCTGGAGTGCAGTGGCGTGATCTCAGCTCACTGCAACCTCCGCCTCCCAAGTTCAAGCGATTCTCCTGCCTCAGCCTCCCAAGTAGCTGGGATGACAGGCGCCCGCTGCCACGTCTGGCTAATTTTTGTATTTTCAGTAGAGACAAGGTTTCACCATACTGGCCAGGCTGGTCTCGAACTTCTGACCTTGTGATCTGCCTGCCTCGGTCTCCCAAAGTGCTGGGATTACAGGCAAGAGCCACTGCTCCCAGCCCTATAATTACTTTTATTTAAAATACTGGTACATTTTGGGGGCATAGTTTCCCCCCCTCCCCCCACTTAGGGTCTTGCCCTGTCACCTAGACTGGAGTGCAGTGGCTGACTGCAGCCTTGACCTCCTGGGCTCCAGTGATCCTCCCACCTCAGCCCCCCCAAGTAGCTGGGACTACAGGCGTGTGCCACCATTTCTGGCTAATTTTTGTATTTTTTGTAGAGGCGGGATTTGACCACGTTGCCCGGGCTAGTCTCGAGCTCCTGGACTCAAGTGATCCACCTGCCTCAGCCTTCCAAAGTGTTAGGATTACAGGTGTGAGCCACTGTGCTCATTCTACTACAATTTTTAATTGAAATTGTAGCTTATTTTTATGTTTATGAGCTGGCATGTATTTGGGTCTAACTGTAAACCCAGAAGTGTGAGGTAATGTTTGGGACTACAATCTTTAGGAATTAAGTTAAAGCATAAAATAAGAGTAGTTTAAAGATAGTAAGTTAAAAATAAGTTCAGAGCTAGGGAATCCATGACTGATGCTGTGGATCCGGGAAGTCATCAAGGAATCAGATGACTGTATTTTTACTCTGCCATCTTTGATTTGTCTTAATTGCAGACAGGAAGGAGGGAAGGCAGAAGAGCAGAAAAGACTTCTTCACAGCTTACTCACCTATACCTAGAAATAGCCTTCTAAGAATCTTATATACACATCCACTTAAATTTTACTGGGTAGAATGGCTCAGTGGCCGACTAGAAAAAGTAGTCAAAAATTGGGCACCCATCACTGTCCTGTGTAAAATCAGATTTTTTAATTAAAGGAGATTGGTTTATTGCATGGCAATTAATCTCTGCTACTGTAGAGATATTATTATGGAGCTCTTCTCATAAATAGAATAGAGTCCAGACGTGGTGGCTCACGCCTGTAATCCCAGCACTTTGAGAGGCGGGCAGATCACCTGAGTTCTCGAGTTAGAGACCAGCCTGACCAACATGGAGAAACCCCATCTTTACTAAAAATACAAAGTTGGACGGGCATGGTGGCACATGCCTGTAATCCCAGCTACTTGGGAGGCAGAGGCAGGAGAATCCGGGAGGAGGAGGCTGCAGTGAGCCGAGATCATGCCATTGCACTCCAGCCTGGGCAACAAGAGTGAAACTTCCGTCTCTGAATGAATGAATGAATGAATGAATGAATGAATGAACAAAAAGAATAGGAGACCCCAAAAAGGAAGTGTCTTGGACTGGAGAACTTGTTCATACAGTGATAGCCTTTATTTTCTTATAGAACTGTTAATTGAAATAGCTAAATGGCAGAGTAGTTGTAACAGACATTGTTGAGTGCCATTCCACCAAATACATGGCCTGATTGATGTTTCAGAATCCTTTTCAAGTTATTTATTTATTTATTTATTCAGGACGGAGTCTCACTCTGTCACCCAGCCTGGAGTGCAGTGGTGTGATCTCAGCTCACTGCAACCTCTGCCTCCTGGGTCCAAGCGAGTCTCCTGCCTTAGGCTCCTGAGTAGCTGGTATTACAGGAGCCACCGCCATGCCTAGCTAACCTTTTTGTAGTTTTAGTAGAGGTAGGATTTCACCATGTTGGTCAGGCTGGTTTCAAACTCCTGACCTCAAGTGACCAACCTGCCTCATCCTCCCAAAGTGCCAGGATTATAGGCGTGAACCACCACGCCCAGCCCTTTTAAGGTCTTTTTGACAAGTTATTTTAGCACAGACTGTGTCTTAATTTTACATATCCCCAGTCTTACTCATTTGGCATAAATGTTTTTTCTGAAGATTGGATTTAATTTCTATGCTGAATTTTAACAATATGATTATTGTTAAGATAGGGCAGTCCTGAATCTAAATGAATCTATTTAGATTTCAAAAATGTATTCAGTCAGTGGCCCCAGTAGTAATGATTTTTGATGGAATATATTAATAATTGATTTTTAAAATGATAGCCTTTTTTGACATAATGTAAACATATGCTTCCGTTTCTTTGTCAAATGGGGATAATGAGAATGCTAAAGCAGCTAGGACAGTATTTGTCAAAGTTTTGGCATTTTGTGCTGGATAATTTGTTTTTCAGGACTGTCCTGGTGTGGTGTTGAAGTTTAGTAGCGTCCGTAGTCTCTACTCACTAAGATGTCAATAGCATCCCCTCATTTGTAACCAACCTGAAGTATTCCCTGGTGGGAAATTGCCCCGGCACACAATATCTAATAAATATTACTTATTTGTTTTAAAATATATTTTTGATTTATTGAGTGTTTTTGGTTCAGCTGTACTGTAGTTTATCAAAATGCAAGTTTTGGGTAGAGCAAGGACAGCCTGGGGATTTATTTTTTTAAAAAAATTTTAAAATACGTTCTCTTGCTGTGATAAAAGACTGTTGCATAGCTAGTGTTAGAGTTAATCTTTAGCTTGGACGTCTCTTTAACTGTGTGCTTATTTTCTTTTAAGATATACTATGTAGTGCAAAAAGACTCAAGTTGTTAATGCAGCCTTTGAGTTCCATCCATGTGAGAACAGAAACTCTAGCATTAACAAAACTAGAAGTCTGGTGGTATTTACTGATGAGACTTGGACCTCATCTTCCTGCTAATTTTGAACAGGTAACATTACAAGTGTTGACTATAGCACTTTATGTTTTTGTTAATGTGTTCTTAAATTCTTACCAATGTAATCCTGTGGTGTTATTTTTGCTATTTATTAGCAGACTAGAACATATAAAAGGTCTTTCACTTTACTGGCAGAGAACTTAAATTCATTTCCCACAAGGGATATTGTTCAGTTGCTTGAAATGGAGCCCCTTTACCTGAAATGTTTTTATTTATTTATTATTAATTTATTTATTTTGAGATGGAGTCTTGTTCTGTTTCCCAGGATGGAGTGCAGTGGCACGATCTCGGCTCACTGCAACCTCCACCTCCTGGGTTCAAGTGATTCTCCTGTGTCAGTCTCCCGAGTAGCTGGGACTGCAGGCGCACGACCACACCTGGCTAATTTTTTGTATTTTTTAGTGTAGATAGGGTTTTACCATGGTGGCCAGGCTGGTCTCGCACTCCTGGCCTCAAATGATTCGCCCATGCCAGCCTCCCAAAATGCTGGGATTACAGGCATGAGCCACCGCGCCTGGCCCTGAAATGTTTTTAAATTAGCAAGTACTCAAACATTCTTACTCTACAAGCATTATGATTTTAAACAAAGGGTTTTTTCCCCTAGAGCATTTGGAATATAATTGAGAAGAAAACCAGCATCAGTGAAATAGAAATCAGCCGGGCGCGGTGACTCATGCCTGTAGTCCTAGCACTTTGGGAGGCAGAGGCAGGTGGGTTGCCTGAGCTCAGGAGTTTGAGACCAGCCTGGGCAACATGGTGAAACCCCGTGTCTACTAAAATACAAAAAAGTAGCTGGGTGTGGTGGCATGTGCCTGTAGTCTCAGCTACTCGGGAGGCTGAGGAGAATTGCTTGAACCCAGGAGATGGAGGTTGCAGTGAGCTGAGATCACACCACTGCACTCCAGCCCAGGCAACAGAGTGAGACTCCATCTCAAAAAAAAAAAAAAAGAGAGAAATCAAGTGCTACACTGGGTAGATACAAGGTTGGACCAGTTCTTGTTTTTTTATTTCTTGCTCCGTTTTCTAGGCT
The DNA here is from genome assembly GCF_000001405.40 of Homo sapiens. Taxonomy (NCBI): domain Eukaryota; kingdom Metazoa; phylum Chordata; class Mammalia; order Primates; family Hominidae; genus Homo; species Homo sapiens. The sequence goes on from NC_000002.12 coordinate 151,434,265, forward strand.
GCATAGTGATAACCAATGACTGAATCCTATTTATAGGTTCTTTTTAATTGTTACACAATGATTTTACGAATTCTTCAGGATTTGCATATCCTTACTGGCATTTAGATATAAAGTTTAATCTTAACCTAAACCTTTTGAGTTATTTGCAGTTATTTCCATCCTTGGTTTTTGAATTTTTTTTTTTTTTTTTTTTTGAGATGGAGTCTCGCTCTGTTGCCCAGGCTAGGGTGCAGTGGCACGATCTCGGCTCACTGCAAACTCCACCTCCTGGGTTCACACCATTCTCCTGCCTCAGCCTCCTGAGTAGCTGGGACTACAGGCGCCCGCCACCACGCCCAGCTAATTTTTTGTATTTTTAGTAGAGACGGGGTTTCACTGTGTTAGCCAGGATGGTCTCGATCTCCTGACTTTGTGATCTGCCTGCCTCGGCCTCCCAAAGTGCTGGGATTACAGGCATGAGCCACTGCGCCAGCCTGGTTTTTGAATTTTTTTACAGTTAAAAGGAGCAGCTCTGCTAACATCTTTTTCATTTCTTTATCACTTATTTTGGATTTTGGGGGTACATTTTACTTCTGGGGGTATATTTTAGGGGTATATTTTATATTTTATATAAATAGCTGCATAGCAGGGAATGCATTCTTGGACAGGAGGACTTATAAATATACTTAAGCCATTTTTATTCAGTTTTTAATTTTTTAATTATTGAGTTTTAAATTTATATAACATGAAATAATTGAAGATGGGCATTGTCAACAATGTAATTTGCATCATAATGAATTTTCCAAATTCTACCATTATAAGGGTCCAATAGGCTAATTCTTTGCATTTGTCCAATACATTAATTGGAATAATTTATTTGGTAACTACATGTGACTGGTACTAGGATGATGTTAGAAATGAGCTTTGTCTGAGTTCATGTTTTCCAGAGTTTTAAAAAGTTAAAATTAGTCTACCAGTAATGTGTACAGTTCAGATGTTGATGTATATAAACAAATTTAGGTAATACATATTTAGGGCAAATACAGTTGTAATGTTCATATTTTTTCCAAATTCCACTTTTTAGCCTGTTTGTGCATGGAAACGATCTGTAAAATGGAATATATTAAGGCTCCATTTAATGAAATTTATATTATGTGAGGCTTTTAAAAACTGTGACAGTTGTATAGTTTATAGATCGATGTTTTCTTTTACCCCATAGGTTTGTGTGCCTCTGATTCAAAGTACAATAAGCATTGATTCTAATGCCTCACCTCAGGGCAATTCGTGTCATGTAGCTACATCTCCAGGTTTAAATCCTATGACTCCTGTACACAAAGGTAAGAGGTAGATATTCTTGTTTTTTGCTTTTTTAATCAGGCTTTGTTGACCTAGAAGCATAGTTTTGAAGTAGGAAAAAAAAAGGCTTTGAGAGGTTTTGCTCAGTGTTTTTCGTTTGAAATGAAGCACTTCATAATTTTTAGGTTCATTACCAAAAAATCCATTATCATGTTTTTCTGTTTTTTGTTTTTTTTTTTTAATATTACTGATTACTGTTGTAAGCGCATTGTTGTGGTTAGAAGAGACGGATGTTTTTTCAGTACATTATGTGAGGTGCCTTGCAAAAAAAGCCTCAGAGCAGCTAACATGAAGCTGTTGATTTTAGAACCAGAATCTTAGCGCTATTAAAAACAACACATCGGCCAGGTGAGGTGGCTCACGCCTGTAATCCTAGCACTTTGGGAGGCCGAGCCCAGCAGATCACTTGAGGTCAGGCATTTGAGACCAGCCTGGCCAACACGGTGAAACCCAGTCTCTACTGAAAATAAAAAAATTAGCCGGGCGTGGTCGTGGGCCCCTGTAATAACCAGCTACCTGGGAGGCTGTGGCAGGAGAATTGCTTGAATCCTGGGAGGCGGAGGTTGCAGTGAGCCGAGATCTCGCCACTGCACTCCAGCCTGGGCGACAGAGTGAGACTCAGTCTCAAAAAAAACAAAATAAAACAAAAACAACACTTCAGCCAGGTGCAGTGGCAGGCACCTATAATCTCAGCATTTAGGGGGCTGAGGTGGGAGGATCACTTGAAGCCAGGAGTTGGATACCACCTGTGCTACATAGTGAGACCCTGTCTCTACAAAAAATTTAAAAATTAACTGAGCACAGTGGTATCCATCCATCTATAGTTACAGCTACTTGGAATGCTGATGGGAGAAGTGCTTGAGCCCAGGAGTTTGAGGTTGTAGTGAACTATGATTGTACCACTGCACTGCAGCCTGGGCAGTACAATGAGACTCTGTCTCAAAAAAAAAAAAAAAAAAAATCTCAGCAGTTATAAAGTGTCTTCTTTATGTATGTCATTGAAAGACATATGATATACATGTGTGTCATATGTATTATTTTGTTTGCCATCTGAGTCTTCAAAATTTGTTACAGAATACCTGCATATTAATATTTCAAGGTATGGATTAATGCCTGAGACATTTAAACTCTGTTTTTAAAAGTTTCATTGAAATGAAATGTATGCATTTGGGTAGCTAATATAAAATGAGCTTGTATGACTTAACTCTTTTTTTTTTTTTCTTAAAGGTGCTTCCTCCCCGTACGGAGCCCCGGGAACTCCCCGAATGAACCTGAGTTCGAATTTAGGTGGAATGGCCACAATCCCATCCATTCAACTTTTGGGACTTGAAATGTTGCTTCATTTCTTGTTGGGTCCAGAAGCCTTGAGTTTTGCTAAGCAAAATAAACTTGTGCTGAGCTTAGGTATTTAAAGGTTTTAAGAATAATTTTAATTACTAAAACAGTCTAGGACTTAATGCATTGGGGTGAGGAGAGGTGTTATTTTGTCGCAGCCAAAATATTTTACAGTTGTGTATGAAATATGAATCTTTTTTTTATAGAAAACACACCTACTTAATAGACATTTTAAAGTTTTATAGTGAGAAATGTATTTCATAAATCTGTTGTTTTACATAATTATCTTTTATTCTTCCCTTTCAGAGCCATTGGAACATCCGTTAATCAGCAGCCCTTCCTTTTTTTCCAAACATGCAAATACACTTATCACTGCTGTTCATGATAGCTTTGTTGCAGTTGGAAAAGATGCCCCCGGTAAGAGAATTTGATTTATTATTTGCTCAAATGTGTGTTTAAAAAGAAGAAAAAATAGGCCAGTCACAGTACCTCACACCTGTAATCCCAGCACTTTGGGAGGCCGAGGTGAGTGGATCACTTGAGCTCAGGAGTTCGAGACCAGCCTGGGCAACATGACAAAACCCTGTCTCTACAAAGCATACAAAAACTAGGTGGGCATGTTGGCAGATACCTGTAGTCCCAGCTACTCGGGAGGCGGAGGCATGAGAATTGCTTGAGCCCAGGAGGTGGAAGTTGCAGTGAGCCAAGATTGTGCCACTGCACTGCAGCCTGGGTGATAGAGCAAGACTCTATTAAAAAATAAAAAATATGAAGATAAAATAACAAATATTTATATAGTGCCACCTACTGGCCAGATTGTGCATTGAGAACTTTACATTTATTCATTTAATTTTCGCAGTAACATACCATGTTAGTTCATTTTACAAATGAGAAAATGGGTTATACAGGAAGTACATAAGTTATGCAGAGTCACTTACGAGTGGTAGTACCGTGTCAAGCTCTATGGCTCTAGCATCTGTGCCTAAACTCCTGTGTTACATGGCCTATCAAATAATGAGGAAAGGAAATTTCAAAAATTGTTTGCTCTTTAACTGGTTGGAAAAAGAATCACAATGAATCACATAAATTTTTTCTATTGGTTGTTAGATATCCTTCTGAATCTCCGTGAACAATCTCTGCCCCAAAAGTAGTGGGCATTCAATTCAGAAAAGAAAGATAATTTAAAAAAAGATAAAACAATTACCCTTAGTTACACAATTCATTGTTAACATGTTATAGTTGTTTTAAGGAACACATTTATGGCTGGACATGGTAGCGCATGCCTGTAATCCTGGCAGTTTGGGAGAGGCTAAGGTGGGAGGTTCACTTGAGGCAGATGTTTGTGACCAGCCTAGGAAATGTAGTGAGAGTGCTATCTTTACAAAAAAAAATAATTAGATGGGTGTAGTGGTGTGTACCTATAGTCCTAGCTACTTGGGAGGCTGATGTGGGAAGACTGCTTGAGCCCAGGTTGTTGAGGTGACAATGAGCTATGATTGTGCCACTGTACTCCAGCCTGGACAGAGCAAGACCCTGTCTGAAAAAAATAAACCATATTTAGTTTCTACAAACAAAAACGAAGTGATAGTGTTTTATAAACTTACTACAGGGTTGAGTATCATGAGGAAAATTAAATTAAGTATTGTTCAATTTATTTGTTTAATGTAAGGAAGTAAAGGGAGAGTGTTAGTCATAGTACGTAGTCATATGTACTTCATTTAAAATACTCAAGTTTATTTTGTTTGACAGATGTGGTTGTCAGTGCTATCTGGAAGGAGCTAATTAGCTTGGTGAAGTCAGTTACTGAATCAGGTAAGCACTATTACACTGATCAAATGTTGTTTTTTGAAACAGGTGGTGATCAGATGATTTTTATAGCATCCGGTGAATTGTTTGACTATATAAAATTTATTTTAAAAGTATTTCTTGCACTACCGTAGCTTCCAGTTTTTAATTTGTAGTTAATGTTTGAAGAACACTGGGGTTAGGTGTGCTGACCCACCACATGGTCCAAAATCTACATATAACTTCAGACTCCCCCAGAACTTAACTACTGATAACTTACTATCGATTGGAAGCCTTGCTGATAACATAAATAGCTGATGAGCACATATTTATACGTTATGTGCATTATATGCTGTGTTCATTAACAATATTAGTAAATTAGAGAAAAGAATGTTAGGAAAATCATAAGAGAAAACATAATCATTAAGTGGAAACGGGTTATATTCTTGTCTTTATGTTGAGTACACTAAGGAGGGAAGAGGAGGGGTGGAACTTGCTGTTTCCGGGATGGAAGAAAGTCTGAATAGGAGTGGACTCATGCCGTCCAAACCCGTGTCGTTCAAGGGTCAACTGTACTTAGTATTGTTGATTTAGAAAAAATAAATTTTTACAGCTCTCTGTATAGTCATCTCTAAAATTACATGCTTAGAAATACACCCTTCTAGCCGGGCGCGGTGGCTCATGCCTGTAATTCCAGCACTTTGGGAGGCCGAGGCGGGCGGATCACCTGAGGTCAGGAGTTTGAGACCCGTCTGACCAACATGGAGAAACCCTGCCTCTACTAAAAATACGAAATTAGCCAGACATGGTGGTGCATGCCTGTAATCAATCCCCAGCTACTCAGGAGGCTGAGGCAGGAGAATTGCTTGAACCTGGGAGGCGGAGGTTGCAGTGAGCTGAGATGGCGCCATTGCACTCCAGCCTGGGCAATAAGAGTGAAACTCCATCAAAAAAAAAAAAAAAAAGTAAATACACCATTCTCAGCCAGGCATGGTGGCTGACGTCTGTAATCCCAACACTTTGGGAAGCTGAGATGGGTGGATCACCTGAGGTCAGGAGTTTGATACCAGCCTAGCAAACCCGTCTCTACTAAAAATATGAAAATCAGCCAGGCATGGTGGTGCACACCTGTAATCCCAGCTACTCAGGAAGCTGAGGCAGGAGAATCGCTTGAACCCAGGAAGTGGTGGTTGCAGTGAGCCAAGGTTGTGCCCCTGTACCCCAGCTTGGGTGACAGAGCAAGACCCTGTCTCAAAAAAAAAAAAAAAAAAAAAAAGAACTATACCCTTCTTTTTGCTTTTTGATAGGTAACAAAAAAGAGAAACCAGGTTCTGAAGTTTTGACTCTCTTATTAAAGTCTTTGGAAAGCATAGTAAAGTCTGAAGTATTTCCTGTATCAAAAACGCTGGTAAGTATAATACCCGTATGTTGGACTTTAAAAACCATTTTCTGAAGTTAAATTTTATATAGAAGATATTTGCACAAATCTAGTTTGGGAAGACTTTTTTATATCAAGCATTCATCAGCAGTTTAGTCCTATTGCAATAAGTGCCATTCTATTAACTGTAGAGTCATTTGAAACCTTTTTAATAGTGACTATAACAACAGCCACAAAAGTCTTCAACGTGGTAAGAAAAAAGTATCCGCCATACAGAGAAAAACTAGGGTAAAGGACATGAAACTTGAACTGAAGAAACTCAGATGTCCTTTAATTTTATGACAAGATTGCTGAAAACTACTAATAGTTGGTACTTTGTTTTCAATTAACTGTTTTTAACCAAGATAATGACTTTGGTATTAAAACCCCTTTTTTTTTTAAACCCGTGTAGTACAGGAAGAAAAGTGAATTGGATATGATTTTGAGGATATGGGCATCTCAAAATAAGCTCCAGTGGAACAAACAATACCCTTAAATTCTGATTTTGTTTCCTTTATGTATTTTGATAGTTACTTGTTCTGTAGCAGTATAGCATAGTGGTTAATAGCAAGGGCTCTGGAGCATACTAGGTTGAATACCAGCCTAACTATTCATTAGCTGAGTAAATTTGTGCAGTTTATCTATTCCCTTGGCTTTGCCTAACCCCATATGTAAAGAGGGAATGTAGCAGTAGTTAAAGACTAAGTGAATTGATACATGGAAAGTACTATGGGCCAGGAACAAACTAATACTGTCTATTATTATTACTAATCTGTTTCAGGTGACAGTGTGTGAAAATGTATTTTCACTGACATAACTCTTCTATGACATTTAAGTTATGTAGTGCATGTTCATACCAGTATATTACCACTGGGCATGGTGGCTCACATCTGTAATCCCAGCACTTTGGGAGGGCAAGGTGGGCAAATTGCAAAAATTAGCCAGGCATGCTGACATGCCTCTAGTCCCAGCTTTTATGGAAGCAGAGGTGGGAGAATCACTTGAGCCCATGAGGTTGAGGCTGCAGTGAGCCAAGATCGTGCCACTGCAATCCAGCCTGGACAACAATGAGACCCTGTCTCAAAAAAGAAAAAAAAGACAGTATGGTAGTATTTTTGGAGAGCAATTTGGTAGGCTCAGTCAGTTTGATTTAGCAATCTTAGACCCAACTATTAGCAGTCCTTTGAATATTTGCTTTGGGTACCAGTATAATTAATTGCAGAATTTCTATTAGTAGTATAAAAAAACATAGAAATAGCCCCAAGGTCTCTTAATAGAAAAATGGTTGAATAAATAATGGACATTCATATAGCAGTATTTTTATATATTGATGCAAAAATTCCGTAACAAGGTAAAATGAAGGTTAGTTGCAGAGTTTAATATCATTAGTGATTTACAGTGTAATGGCTTTAATGGTTTAAAGGAATGTGTGTATAACTGGCTGCCCAAGAAGTTGTGTGTTTTTCTGTGTACTTACATATACAGAAATTTAGAAGGTCTAGGAAAATAGACTCTGAACTGAAAATATTATCGTTGGAGATTAAAGACTTTACCTGCTTTTTATATTTCTGTGTTTGAACTTCTAAAACGGATGCAGATATATTCATGTTAGTGAATGAATGTATTTGATCTTTTTTAACTAATGAGATTATATTTACGTTAATGAATGAACATTACTTGTAATTGTTAGAGATATAGTTAACACTCAGATTTTTATTAGATAATATTTTTACGGCTAATTTACTGTAAAACCTTTTATCTCTCATAGGTCCTCATGGAAATTACAATTAAAGGACTTCCTCAGAAAGTATTAGGTTCACCAGCATATCAGGTTGCTAATATGGATATTCTTAATGCAAGTATCTTAAATGTAATATGATGAAGATTGGCCAAAAACATTTATACTTCCCTTTTTTATTTTATTTTATTTTATTTTATTTTATTTTATTTATTTTTGAGACGGAGTTTTGCTCTTGTTGCCCAGGCTGGAGAGCAGTGGCACGATCTCGGCTCACTGCAACCTCCGCCTCCCAGGTTCAAGCTATTCTCCTGCCTCAACCTCCCGAGTAGCTGGGATTACAGGCATGTGCCACCACACCCGGCTAATTTTGTATTTTTATAGAGACGGGGTTTCTCCATGTTGGTCAGGCTGGTCTTGAACTCCTAACCTCGGGTGATCCCTCCGCCTTGCTCTTCCAAATCCTGGGATTACAGGTGTGAGCCACTGTGCCCAGCATATTTCCCTTTTTTTTAAAAAAAAAAAAAAAAAGAAAGATGACCTTATGTAAAATTCTGAGAGTATTGGATTTGAAGTATATTGACCAAATTAAAGGAAAAACTGATAGTTAATATAAAGAATTAAATATGCTGCTATGTGAATGAAAAAACTATTTTCCTGGATTAAATAAATGGCTCCAAAAGGAAAGTTTCCTAGTTGTTTATATACGATAATACTGTTGGTTACTGCCATAAATATTGGAAGCTAATGTAAAATGCACTTAGTATCTCTAGGATATAGGCATTGGGATTCCAGTAAGTTTTAAATCTATGTTCTTTTTATATCTGGAATCTCATAATTCCTTGATTTTCTGTGTAGAGGAAACAGCTATGATTAGACTATAAAGAGCTTGATTTTTTTTTTTTTTTTTTTTTTTTGAGACAGAGTCAGGCTGTTGCGCAGTCTGGAGTGCAGTGGCGTGATCTCGGCTCACTGCAACCTAATTCTCCCGGTCTCATGCCATTCTCCTGCCTCAGTCTCCCGAGTAGCTGGGACTACAGGCGCGTGCCACCCTGCCCGGCTAGTTTTTTTGTATTTTTATTTAGTAGAGATGGGGTTTCACTGTGTTAGCCAGGATGGTCTCGATCTCCTGACCTCGTGATCCACCCGCCTCGGCCTCCCAAAGTGCTGGCATTACAGGAGTGAGCCACTGCGCCCGGCCAAGAGCTTGATTTTTGTGTGCAGTATATGGAAATAATTTTACTAACATGGTTGTCATACCCTAAGTAATGCCAAAAGTTAAATTTGTCATGCTAAAACAATTTTATTTCTTAAATAACCAATTATAAAAAACAAATGTTCTATTCTTTGTAACTGAGAAGATTGACTTCATTTTCTCCTTCAGGGAACTCCAGCTTTGTTCTTAATTCAATTAATTTTCAACAATTTCTTGGAATGTGGTGTATCAGATGAAAGGTAAGTTTGTACTTTAACTTGAAACTTTGTCTTGGAAAGGTTATGTAATGAATGAGATTATTTATGTACTATTTCATAAGTTTAAGTTTTTTTAAAAAAAATTCGTTAACTTTTTGTCAGTTATTTTAGAATTTTGTTAACATTAAATTAATATATTCCTGCCAAAAAGTTGATGCATTTTTTATAATTTTTTGTTCAGGTTCTTTCTCAGTTTGGAATCACTTGTAGGCTGTGTTCTTTCTGGTCCAACTTCACCACTAGCTTTCAGTGACTCAGTTTTAAATGTTATTAATCAAAATGCAAAGCAGTTGGAAAATAAGGAGCATCTCTGGAAAATGTGGAGTGTTATAGTCACCCCATTAACTGAATTGATTAATCAGGTATGAAATAAATCTGCTACGTATTTTGGATAATAGACCTTTTTTTTTTGTTAGTGCAGTTGGGGAAATGAATAGAAGTTTGAATTTGAATAGAAGATGGTAAATATTTTTTCTGGTGGAATTGGTAAACGTTGTACTTTTGATTGATTTTATTGCATTTCTCCCTCACTGGTAAAGAAACTATAACTTAATGGGGACTAATCAGCTTCATTTTCTTCAGTAGTGATTATAAACCTAGAAGGCTCACATAGATGTAAATTCTTGTATCTTGGATTCTTTCAGTAGTTTTATTAACAGGGAATAACAGCGGTTATCTTGACTAGGCTATATATTCCCATAGTTAAGCCACGTTGGTGATTACCTCAAAGCCATATAGCATTTCCTTAAGTCAGGAATCTATTGAGAGTTGAATAATCTGTGTATTTAAATACTTAAATCCTCAATGTTTACCTATTTAACAAAAGTGGGTATAGTGGCAGGCTGTGGGGCACAAGTTCTGTTTATGATTTGTCAGCCTCTTTGTCAGTCTTTAAATGGGAATATGCATTCTCTGGGCTAATAGTGCTGTAACTCAAAAATGAAATAACTCGAAGGAATTTTGTTGTTTTTGTTGTTGTTGAGTTGGAATCTCACTCTGTCACCCAGGCTAGAGTACAGTGGCACGATCTTGGCTCACTGCAACCTCTGCCTCCCAGGTTGAAGCGATTCTCCTGTTTCAGCCTCCCAAATGGCTGGGACTACAGGTGCACGCCACCAAGCCCAGTTAATTTTTGTATTTTTAGTCAAGATGGGGTTTCACTGTATTGGTCAGGCGGATCTCAAACTCTTGACCTTAGCCTCAGCCTCCCAAAGTGCTGGGATTACAGGCGTGAGCCACTGTGCTCAGCTTTTTACATTATAGTTAACGTAGCCCTTGTTTTGGCTACTCAAGCTAGCACACTATTCTTCTGGAAGAAAAGTCATTTACATTCTTAAATAGCTCCCCACTGTTAGAATGATCCAGAGGCCCTTTTTATTGTATGAGTTTTTGCTGGAATGCTGTGTATGTATAGTAGAAGACTTTGGAGTTGGCCCTGGGATTCATTTTTAGAACTTAAACATAGTGCATAATTTCCCCAGATTGCAATTAACAAATTACAGCCAACTGGTGACTTAAAACTACAGGGATTTATTCTCTCACCGTTCTGGAGACCAGCTATCCAAAATCAAGGAGTTGGTAGGATTGGTTTCTCCTGGAGCTCTGAGACAGAATCTGTTCATGCCTCTCAGCTTCTGGTGGTTGCTGGCAATCCTTGACCTTCCTTGGGTTGTAGCTGCATCACTTGACTATGCCTCCATCTTCACATGGTATTGTTGTCTGTGCCTATCCAAATTTTCCTCTTACAGAAAAGACTGTTCATTGGATTGGGGCTGACCCTAATCCAGTAGGACCTCATCTGAACATATGCAAAGACTTTATTTCCAAATAAGACTACATGCGTAGGTTCGAGGGGTTAAGAGTTAAACTTATTTTGAATCTCATCATTGGGGAACACAGTTTTGCCCACTACTTATAAATAAGTTATGTTACTACTTAGGATTAGAATAAGATGGTAATTTGTCTAACTTCATTATTTTTCTTGTTTTAGACCAATGAAGTAAATCAAGGTGATGCCTTAGAACATAATTTTAGTGCCATCTATGGTGCATTGACTTTACCAGTAAACCACATTTTTTCAGAACAGAGATTTCCAGTGGTAAGGCATTGTCAAGTATTGATTTCCGAGGGATTTGTATTTTTCTGAAAATATTATTTCATCCTTTATAATCAGCTTCCACAATGATTTGTTTTTCTTTTTCTTTTTCTCTTTTTTTTTTGAGACAGTCTCACATTGTCGTCCAGGCTTGGAGTACAGTGGTGCAATCTCAGCTTACTGCAACCTCTGCCTTCTGGGTTCAAGCAGTTCTCCTGTCTCTGCCTCCCAAGTAGCTGGGATTACAGGACCATGCCACTGCGCCCAGCTAATTTTTGTATTTTTAGTAGAAATGGAGTTTCACCATATTGGTCAGTTTCACCTGACCTCAAGTGATCCACCTGCCTTGGCCTCCCAAAGTGCTGGGATTACAGGCGTGAGCCACTGTGCCCAGCCCACAATAATTTCTAAAATAAGACTTCTTTATGACTTTATTACTAGCTTAGGAGAATGATGAAGGGCGAGAGAAGTTCTTTTGGATCTTTGATAATTTTTGGTATCATGGCCTTATTTCCTCTCTTCAGTTAGACCTCTGGGATGTGGGGGAAAGGTTATTACCCTGTGTTAGTCTCTTTTTTATTTTGAGACAGTTTCACTCTTGTTGCCCAGGCTGGAGTGCAGTGGGGCAATCTTGGCTCACTGCAACCTCTACCTCCTGGGTTCAAGCAATTCTCCTACCTCAGCCTCCCGAGTAGCTGGGATTACAGGCATCCGCCACTTCGTCCGGCTGATTTTTTGTATTTTTAGTAGAGATGGGGTTTCGCCATGTTGACCTCGAACTCCTGACCTCAGGTGATCCACCAACCTCGGCCTCCCAGAGTGCTGGGGTTACAGGCGTGAGCCACTGCACCCGGCCGTTAGTGTCTTTTTTGACACACTAAATGTTGCAGTGTTTTTAAAAAATGTTAAAGATGTATTGATTCTATAAACTTTGATAGATAGGTATATATTAACAAAACTTCTTTTTTTGTTGTTATTGGTAGGCCACCATGAAGACTTTGCTTAGAACTTGGTCAGAATTATATAGAGCATTTGCTCGTTGTGCTGCTTTGGTGGCAACAGCAGAAGAGAACTTGTGCTGTGAGGAACTTTCTTCCAAGATAATGTCCAGTTTGGAAGATGAAGGCTTTTCTGTGAGTTTGTCCTGATGCTACCTTTTTTTGTTTGTTTTTAAAGGATTCTTTTCAAGTAAATGGAGATAATATTTGTGAACTGTCACCTATTACTGCCTCTATTTATATGTGATAAAGTTGATACTGCAAACAAGTATGCTTTGTGTAACAGTTTTGTGTCTTTGGGCTCTAAGATTCAGTTTTGGGATCATTAATAGTGAAGATCTTTTACTATACTGTGTTATCTCCTTGTGCTTGTGTCATTCTAGATTAACACTTCAAGGGCCTTGCTCTCCTGGACCTCACTTTCTCATACGTATCTGTTAGATCTTTAAATTCAATCCCTTTGAAAGTTTGTAGTCTTAGAAAATATAAGTCTCTTTTCTCTTTCTTTTTTTTTTTTTTTTGAGACGGAGTCTCGCTCTGTCGCCCAGGCTGGAGTGCAGTGGCGCGATCTCGGCTCACTGCAAGCTCCGCCTCCCGGGTTCACGCCATTCTCCTGCCTCAGCCTCCCGAGTAGCTGGGACCACAGGCGCCCGCCACCACGCCCGGCTAATTTTTTGTATTTTTAGTAGAGACGGGGTTTCACCGTGTTAGCCAGGATGGTCTCGATCTCCTGACCTCGTGATCCGCCCGCCTCGGCCTCCCAAAGTGCTGGGACCACAGGCGTGAGCCACCGCGCCCGGCCTCTTTCTTTCCCTCCTCATGGAAAGGACAGCTGTTGGGAACAGATTGATATGCGTCATTCCAGAATAGACCTCTTTCTGTTTACGCATGTCATTTGTATATTGATCCTTGCATATGCATTTGAATATATGGTATTCTTGCCAATGAAATCCTTATTGCATTTATTCCAAAGTAATTATGTAACTTTTCGTAAAACACTGTCTTGGCTCAGTTTCAAGTCAATCCATATAGCTCTATTATTTGTTTCAACTGCTGTCTAGTATTCTGTAGTATGGTTGTACCATTACTTGGAATTCTATTATTTATTTATTTATTATTTTTTGAGACAGAGTCTCACTCTGCTGCGCAGGCTTGAGTGCAGTGGCACGATCTCAGCTCACTGCAGCCTCCGCCTTCTGGGTTCAAGCGATTCTTCTGCCTCAGCTTCCCGAGTTGCTGGGACTACAGTTGCACACCATCATGCCCAGCTAATTTTGTATTTTTAGTAGAGATGGGGTTTCACCATGTTGGCCAGGCTGGTCTCGAATTCTTGACCTGAGGTGATCCACCTTGGCCTCCCAAAGTGCTAGGATTACAGGCGTGAGCCATTGCACCTGGCCTGGAATTCTGTTATTTTAAGGACATTTTGTTTTTTTCTATTATTTATTACTGTGTATGATCCTGGTAATGGCCTTCACACAGAAACCGTTGTTTTTCCATGCAGATTATTGAAATGATATTTGTTGTGCCTGTTTTCTCTATAGCTTATATCTAACACATATTTTAATGAGGAATAAAAGAAAGTAAAAATAACAGTTCTTTTTTTTTTTCTTGCCCCTGAGACAGAGTCTCACAGTGATTGTTGGACGACAACCCAGGCTGGAGTGCATTGGTGCAATATGGGCTCACTATGACCTCTGCCTCCCAGGTTCAAGTGATTCTCCTCCCTAGTAGCTGGGACTACAGGTGTGCACCACCATGCCTGGCTAATTTTTGTATTTTTAGTAGAGAGGGGGTTTCACCGTGTTGGCCAGGCTGGTCTTGAACTCCTGACCTCAGGTGATTAGCCCACCTCAGCCTTCCAAAGTGTTGGGATTACAGGTGTGAGCCGCCGCGCCCAGCCAAAAATGACAGTTCTTATTGTAAAAGATTACAAACAACAAAGCAAATTCCCCCTCACACGTCTTCTCCTCAGTAATAATCACTACCCATAGTTAGATGTTCATTGTTTTAGTGTTTTAAATGGATTTATATACATATCCTCTACTTGTTATTAGCACAATTCTAATTGTATTTGTCGGAGTGACTTTAAAAATGTAAATCAGATCTTGTCACTCTTGAAGTATTATAGTGTTTTGTTAGATTTGGAATAAAAATCTGAGCTCCTTACACTACCCATGAGGTTTCTGCTTCCTTTTCCAAAGGACTTACCTAATCGCGCTTGTTTATTTTTGTTGTATAGCATCTTATTTCCTTTTTAGTACTGTCTCGAAATTGTTTATTTCTGTACTTTATTATGTTATTTCACCCACACTCCATGAGGTTAGGGACATTGTCTGTCATGATGGTGATTATCTCTGGGATCTGTCTACTGAATAAACAATGTGCAGGTTTTTATAACTGATCGGAAGAAGGTTGACCCTCAGTTATCACCTTTAAAAAATGGTCTTAGTTAGGCTTTCTCCCTTTGTTCTTTTCCAGAAGAAACTTGGAGTCTGTCAAATTTCACAAAATACCCTGTTGAGATTTTGCTTGGCTTTGATAAGGGTGAATTCACAGATTAATTCGGAAAAGAATTTACGTCTTTCTAATCAAATTGTTCCTTCCAGGGATTTGTGTTTATTTAGGTCTTCTAAAGTTAACCTAACTTGATTATTGTTTTTAAGCTGTTTTTTAACATTATAAATGGGTCTGTTCTTCCCTCATACTTGCTTGTTGCTGAAGGACATAAAAGTTGTTGCTTACATACTTCCTTGTATTGAATCATGTGTTTTTGGGATACACTTCTTGGTTACAGTGCTATTCTTTTAAATTATCATAGGATTAATGTTTTTTTCTGCATGTATATCTTCATTAGTGATATTGGAGTTCTCATTGTTCAATTTTTGTATTATGGCAATAGTGACCTCTTAGAATGATTCAGAAAACTGTTCTTCACCAATTTATATAGTGTAAAAGGAATGCCATATCTACAGTTGTATTCTTTTTTTCTTTCTCTCTTTTTCTTTCTTTTCTTTCTTTCTTGATGAGGTCTTGCTGTGTTGCCCAAGCTGGAGTATAGTGGCTATTCACAGGCACCATGCACACTACAGCCTCCACCTCCTGGGTTCAAGCAGTCATCCTGCTTCAACCTCCCGAGTGGGTTGGACTACGTGATGCCAAGCCCACCAACCTTTTTGTTCTGAAGTCTTCTCTTTTCTTGGTTGGACTTGGTAATTAAAGGCTTATCTAAGTCTACCAAGGAAAACAACATGTAGTTTTATTTTATTGATCATTACTACACAGCTTTTTACTTTTCTTTGTCTTTAATACATTGAATGGTTTTGTTTTAAAGCTTTTTTCAAACATATGCATGTAAGACTTTGATTACTGCCATCAGTGATCATATAGACTACTTTGATGCCTTTTTTTTTTTTTTTGAGACCGAGTTTCACTCTTGTTGTCCAGGCTGGAGTGCAGTGGTGCGATCTCGGCTCACTGCAACCTCTGCCTCCGGGTTCAAGTGATTCTCCTGCCTTAGCCTCCCTAGTAGCTGGGATTAAAGGCGTGTGCCACCACGCCTGGCTAATTTTGTATTTTTAGTAGAGACGGGGTTTCTCCATGTTGGCCAGGCTGGTCTTGAACTCCTGACCTCAGGTGATTCTGCCTGCCTTGGCCTCCCAAAGTGCTGGGATTACAGGTGTGAGCCACCACACCCAGCCTTTGATGTCCCCCCCTTTTTTTTTTAATAGCACCAGGGAACTTGGAAGGGTGCTTTGTAATTTGAGAATTTTTTATGGATATGTGTTGCTATTTTATCATTAATTTTTTATTTTACTGTATTGTGATCAGAGAGGATCATCTAGGACTTCTAATTTTGGAATTCATCCTGTGTTATAACTGTGATAATGTAGTTTTATAATTGTTTATTTATAAGACACTTGGGATCAGGTATCTCCCTGATTATGAATTTGCTGTATATTAACATGTTTATTAAATACTTTGATGCCATATTGTTATACATTAGAGATTAATGACTACTGATGTTTTCATTGTAATGTGTTCCTTGTTACTGCCTTTTTCTTAAATTCTACTAGCTTGAAATTTATTACACCTTCTTGAAAATTTGTGTCAAATGTGTCTTTAAAAACACCATCCTGAGCAATAATTCTTTCTTTTTTTTTTTGACGGAGCCTCGCTCTGTCGCAGGCTGGCGTGCAATGGTGTGAACTCGGCTCACTGCAGCCTCCGCCTCCCGGGTTCAAGCAGTTCTCCTGCCCCAGCCTCCCGAGTAGCTGGGATTACAAGCATTCACCACCACGCCTGGCTAATTTTTGTGTTTTTAGTAGAGACGGGGTTTCACCATGTTGGCCAGGCTGGTCTCGAACTCCAGACCTCAGGTGATCCACCCACCTCAGCCTCCCAAAGTGCTGGGATTGCAGGCGTGAGCCACCAGTCCTGGCCAGCAACTTCTTTTTATGTTTTGTTTCCACTGGGTTTAGTGAAAACTTTTACTTCATAATTTTCAAGAGGAATTTGATAGAGAATCTGTGATCCTAGTATTTCCAATCTCAGTTTATTGGTTGATATGATGGCTTTTATGGGGATCTTAAAAGTGAATTATTTTTCTTAAATATTGAGGAAGAGAAAGTACAGTGTTTGACTCAGCAGTTAACTGAAAAAGATTTGTAATCATGTATGGTCATGCGCCTCATAACAATGTGTCAGTCAACAACAGACCGCAAATCTAGTGCTACATATCCTAAGCAGAACGTTATAATACGGTATTTTTACTGTGTCTTTTCGATGCTTAGATACACAAATACATACCATTTTGTTACAGTTGCCTAGAGTATTCAGTATAGTAACTACACACCTATACAGGTGCCTAGGCTATGTGTTTGTAGCTTAGGAACAACAGACTATATAGGTGTGTAGTAGGCTGTATCATCTAGGTTTGTGTGGGTACACTGTGTTCTCACAAGATGAAATTGCCTGATGACCCATTTTTCACAGTGGATCTCTGTTAAGCCGTGGGTGGCTGCACTTAATGTACTGTAAGCTGTGGCATGTGTGTTACATAGGATATATGGGAGTAACAGTCTTATATTTTTTCATGTTGCTTACTTTTGTTGAATACTGTCCCAGTACTTGAATGTTTCTAACAGTGGTACTTTCTTCCCTAGAATTTGTTGTTCGTGGATAGAATTATTTATATTATTACTGTAATGGTTGATTGCATTGACTTCTCACCATATAATATTAAATATCAGCCCAAAGTTAAATGTAAGTATGTATTTTTTAACCTTTGTTTGTCCAGTATTTCATAAGCAGTACTGAACTTTGCCAGGGGAAGTCCTAATACCTTTGCCACCTCATTTTACTAACTTTTGATCTTGTTTAACCATGTTAGTTACTATGCTAGGAGCTTTCATACATGTTCTCTCTCTTTTTTCTTTTTAATTTTCATATGCTCTGTATCATTCTCTTATCTCTATCACACAAAATTTCTTTACTCCTTTTTACAACGCAGAAAGATAAATACTATTCTAATTAGAGATTGCCTAATAGTACAAATGGTTTTACTCATTCCATCTGGTATGAAGGATTACCTGGACAAGAAACTTAGACATAACTTAAAATGTTTTTATTTGCAAGCCTGATTTAAAATAGTCATTGAATTGACATTATAATTTAAAAGAAAACAATGGGATCAGTTAATTGGTTATTTTTTTCCAGAAATGTTACAAAGTTTAACTCATCGTTTACCTGAAACATGGTAATTAAATGATTAAAATTGGACAATTGGGATCATAACAAGTTGCGTGATTTTTAAAACCATATGCCTTGGTTAGTTTTAAGTTATTTTGTAGCAAATAGTTTTTAAAATCTGTTAATTGATTCATTGAAGTCAGATATATCCACCTATGTTTATATGTTCTTACCATATAGGTAGTGATAATCTGTCATTAATGAAAAATGTTAGTTGATGTTGAGATATATTATTCTTGTTTAAAGATTAGGGACATAAAATTATCTAACAATAAGATTTGCCATTGATGAGTTTTCTAAAACATTCTTAGAATCTTTTTTGGTTTTTGAATTTTTACTAAGTAGCAATATGGAGTAACATGTTAAGCTCCTGAAGTATATTATAGGTCAGAGCATCCCGGCCTGAGTGCCGTGGAAATATAGGTTATAGATGTTCTTGACATACTGATCTTAGCTCTCCTCTTGGTCTGACCAGGACCTAATATGATTACCTCAGTGTGTCAGAAAAATAGGCTTATCTCTGAAAATCATAAGTTTACCAAGATTATATAACAGATGATGTCAGAAATTATAAGCCACTGAAGTTTCATAGAGCGAAGATGATCAGTCTCATTTTGACATAATTTTACCTATGTTGGTACTTCTGAAATTAGATTTAACCGAATATCCAATTCAGGAACCCACAGTTACAAATGTCTTTTCCACTCCGTGTCCATGCAAAACAGAGCCAGAGTTCTCTTGCTGTAAAATTTGGGTAATGGGGAGATTTTTAAAAGAAGTTGAGAAGAGGAAACAATGTTAAGACTAACCGAAAGGAAATTGTTATTATCAGGATCACCTTGGGATTTTTTGGTGACTTACATTGTGATGATTTCAAATTTAGAGAAATACTGCAAGAGTTTATGTGGAAACTTCGTATTCCTTTACTCAGGTTTCTCAATTAATGGTTGATTGCATTTATCTTATCTGCTCCCCCCTCCCCCCAGAATATACATTTTATTCTTTTTCCCTTCTGAACCATTTTAAGGTATAGTTTTAGACAAGTTGACAACCTGGAACAGTTCCTCAGTCTTGTCTTTTATGTCTTTCAAAAAACAACTTTAGGCTGGGTGCAGTGGCTCACGCCTGTAATACCAGCACTTTGAGAGGCCGAGGTGGGTGGATCACCTGAGGTCAGGAGTGCTAGACCAGCCTGGCCAACAGGGCTACAACCTGTCTCTACTAAAAATACAAAAATTAGCAAGCCATGGTGGTGCGCGCCTGTAGTCCCAGCTACTTGGGAATCTGAGGCAGGAGAATCTCCTGAACCCAGGAGGCAGAGGTTGCAGTGAGCTGAGATCATGCCACTGCACTCCACCAGCCTGGGCAACAGAGCTAGACTCTGTCTCAAAAAAAAAAAAAAAAAAAAAAAGGCAATTTTACTTTCTTAGAGTCTCTCAATCTGGGATTACCATATTGCTTTAAGATTAGATTCAGGGTCCATTCATTACTGGAGTACCACAGAAATAATGCTGTAGTTCTTTTTCAATTCATTATTTTCCCATTACTGGTGATGTTAACACTTCCTGTTTGTTTGAGGATGGCATCTGCCAGGTTTTCCACTGTAAGGTTAATTACTAAATACTTACTGTGGCACAATTATTGCTTGTTTCTCTAGATACACTTTCATTTACCATCTAATATCACATGGATTATGCTATTCATTCCTTTTCTGTATTTTTCTCTACTGTCTCTAATAGTGAGAAACCTGGTTTTCATTACCCTCAATGTATTTACAACTTGATCATTCACTTGTATGTAACCAGTCTCCTGACATAATGGCTGTCACCTCACCTCAGCATTCTGTCAGGGAATTTCTGGATATAGTTTTTCAGTGTACATAAATGTCTGAAAAATTGATTCCAAGGAGAAAGATCAACTTCCTTTTAGTAGCAACACTTGTTTTTCATGTTACCATATGAGATTAATTTTAATTAAGCATTCGTTTTCTGTTAAATTTGAGATCTCATTCCTTAAAAGAATGGATTGATTGAGAGAAACAAGTAATTTTGGAATGGGTAAATTTTTTGGGCAAGGGCTATGTGGGTTTATTCTTCTAGGTAGATGTTTACAGAGGGATTATCTAAGGGTACA
Source organism: Homo sapiens (assembly GCF_000001405.40). Classification (NCBI taxonomy): domain Eukaryota; kingdom Metazoa; phylum Chordata; class Mammalia; order Primates; family Hominidae; genus Homo; species Homo sapiens. The sequence continues at coordinate 151,454,325 of NC_000002.12, forward strand.
AAAAATCAGACAGTACTTTTAGGACAAATCTTTTTCTTTATATCTAGGAAATAGTAGACTTACTGCATTCTTTCTCAGCTTTGTATCTCTGACTTGTTCAATGTTATTTGTAGGGATCAATGTACTATAGATGAGCAAAAAAATGGTCCGTCATTCTTAGTGGAAATTTTTTGTTTTTAAAACTAACTTTCAAAATTTAAATTTGGAACCTATCTTATGTAATTTGGTACTTTCTTGCATATTAGTTGTTGAAATTTTATGAAATGTAAAATTAAAGTTTGAGATGCATTTTATAATTCCTAAGAAAAAATGAACTTGTTTTTCTGGAATTCATATTCATGATCCGCCAAGTAGTTTTCGTCTCCCATTCTCATTTGTAAAGATAATGTTCTAGTGATACTTATCCATTAATGGTACATTATGTTATGATTTGTTTGGGGTGTCAGTCAGCAAACGGACATGTATTTGATGTATCTAACATTTAAATGTGAGCTATAAATTGTAAAAGTGGACAGTGACTCCTATTTTCAATTTATTTGAGTTTTTAATTAATTCAGTTTTTGTTTTTAGCACCACAGAGACCTTCAGATTGGTCCAAAAAGAAGAATGAGCCCCTAGGGAAATTGACTTCTTTATTTAAACTTATTGTGAAAGTGATCTATTCTTTCCACACACTGAGCTTCAAGGAAGCACATTCTGATACCCTCTTCACTATTGGCAACTCAATCACCGGCATTATTTCCAGTGTACTTGGGCATATTTCTTTGCCTTCTATGATCCGAAAAATATTTGCAACTTTAACAAGACCTCTGGCATTATTTTATGAAAACTCAAAGTAAGTATTTTGGACTAAGTAGCTTTGAATTAAATGTATACAATTTAAATATAGGTAGCAACTTTTATTTTTTAATCAGCTGTGTTGTAGATGGTAGTCTTGACAATTTTGTGGAGAGGATAATAAACTACACTTTTGTTGAAAAGATAGTTAAAATAGTATAGAAATATGAGAGAGAAATTGGAAGTCTATTTTGCCTGTTACTTCCCTTTCCCTTTGCTTTTCAATGCTTACCTTTTCAGAATTGTTTATGCAAACAAGCATACCTATTAAATGCATGATAGATAGGAAAGCTTACTTGGCATGCTGTTTTGCAATTAATTATATGGTATGCACTTAATACAGTTGGCTGTTTGTATCCATGGGTTCTGCATTCATGGATTCAACCAACCCTGGATCGAAACTATTTAGAAAAATTAATAAAATGAATGCAAATAAATACAATATGACAATTATTTACATTGTATTAGATATTATAAGGAATCTAGAGATGATTTAAAACATATGGGAGGATGTGTGTAGGTTACATGCAAATACAATTTGTTTTATATTAGAGTGTTGAGCATCCATGGATTTTGGTATCTTGGCAGGAGGGTGGTCCTGGAATTAGCCGCCACCATGCCCAGCTAATACCCCATGGATACTGAGGGATTTCTGTCCTTGTACCATATACATGAGAATCTCATTTTTAAAAATGTCTACATGTGATTCTGTTAAACTTTTTACCCAATTTCTGATTGGTGGACATACATGTTTTTCTAGTGTTCTCCCTCATAACAATTGAACATTATTTATACGTAAATCATTGCCCACATTTGCCACTATTTCTGGGTATACACATTTATGTGTCTGAATTGGTCTCCAAAAAATTGAATTAATTTTGCATCACCCTTTATTTGAATCGAAGCAAGCAGTGCTTTAAAACCTGAAAGAAAAAAAAAGCCTCAGTAACAAACTCGTACAAGCATTTTGAAAGGATTCATGAATATTCTTTATAGCAAGCTTGTGTGGTTCATTCAGAAGACAGTTTATCTTTCATAAATTAACAAAGTTTTAGGAACAGATTTTATAAAGTACGATACAACCTCCAAATCCATGAACTTTTCTTTGCAAATCTTTAAGTCTATATTTCATCAAAAGTAATGCCTAAAAGAAATGTACAGAAACAAGCAGTTAATATGATTATTACTTTGAGGTTTATTGTAGATATTTTCTGTGATTCATTTTTCAAAGATGGGATGGTTTTATGCTTAATATTTAGTATTTGAGTTTTTTACTTGTTAAGTCTTTGGGCACCTTTTTATATCATCAATTTATATTTATTATGTCTTTATTACCTTTTTCTTAGGATTAGCTTGATAGATAGTACAGTGTTAACTTGCAGAAATATAAATGGTATTCTATTTTATCCTTCCTAGGCTTGATGAAGTTCCTAAAGTATATAGTTGTCTGAACAACAAGGTAAAAATAGACAATTCTCCATAAACCATACTTTCATGATGAGAAAATGATAGAGTTTAGATAATTTTCTTAAACATAATTCTGCTGATTTTTAAAGGGGTTATTCCTTCTTTCTTTCTTTTTTTCCTGGAGACAGCATTTTGCTCTTGTCACCCAAGCTGGAGTGCAGTGGCAGGATCTCGGCTCACTGCAACCTCCACCTCCTGGGATCAAGTGATTCTCCCACCTCAGCTTCCTGAGTAGCTGGGAGTACAGGCACATGCTACCACACCCAGCTGATTTTTTGTGTATTTAGTAGAGACAGGGTTTCACCATGTTGGGCAGGCTTGTCTCGAACTCCTGACCTCAAGTGATTCGCCTGCCTCGGCTTCCCGAAGTGCTAAGATTACAGGTGTGAGCCAACACGCTTGTCCTGTTCTTCATTTTTAATGGACATTTAATAACACCATATGAACACATTTATAGGGTTTTTTTTTTTTTAAGGATTTAATACTTTAAATTCATGTTAAGTAATGAACTTTTTTTTGGAGACAAAATCTCACCTAGCTGGGAGTGCAGTGGCACGATCACGGCTTACCACACCCCTGCCCTCCTGGGCTCAAGGTGATTCTCCCACCATAGCCTCCCAAGTAGCTAGGACTACAGGCATACACCACCACTCCTGGCTAATTTTTGTATTTTTTGTAGAGGCGGGGTTTTGCCATGTTGCTCAGGCTCGTCTCAAATTCCTGAGCTCAAGCAGTCTGCCCGCTTTGGCTTCCCAAAGTGCTGGGATTACAGGCGTGAACCACTGAGCCCAGCCTAGTTAATCAACTCTTAGCTCATCCCTTTGTATATGATGGCGATTGGACCCAAAGTTTTCTAGGTGAACGTATGTAGGTAACTATTTATCTTGTTATAATTATTACAAAAACATAATTTCTTTTGTTAATAGAAAATAAGTTCAAAATTGAACTGTAATATTAATAACCAAAGCAAATTCACCTGATAATTTGTCGAGTTATAAAGAGGGATATATATTTAAGGCAACAGTGGGGGTTAGTTTAAAATTGTCTTAATTTTAAAAATTGAAATAGCAACATATATTCTGTGAGTTAATATTTAGTATATGTTTTGCTTTTATTTTTTCGTTTTTCCTAGTTAGAAAAGCTACTGGGAGAAATTATTGCTTGTCTGCAATTCAGCTACACCGGAACTTATGATAGTGAACTTCTTGAACAACTCTCCCCACTATTATGCATAATATTTCTGCACAAGAATAAACAGATTCGAAAACAGAGTGCTCAGTTCTGGAATGCCACTTTTGCCAAAGTGATGATGTTGGTTTATCCTGAAGAGTTAAAGTATGCTAACAACAAAACTTATATACAACTAACTATTCTGTTGTGATCATATAAATTGATACTTTGATTCAAATAATCTTTTCTTATGGGGTATTGTTACAGAGGATTCCTTAGTTGAAATATTACCATTTGGAATACATGATAATTATTAAACATTATTTCACCTTTTCATTGGTGCTTAGAATAATCTTGATTTCAGGAGCCAAGAAAAGCAGTTTAAATTATCCTTAATAAAAGAGACAAGGAGGACAGGAAATAGATGATTTTTTTTTTTTTTTTTTTTTTTTGAGATAGAGTCTCACTCTGTCGCCCAGGCTGGAGTGCAGTGGTGCGATCTGGGCTCACTGCAAGCTCTGCCTCCCGGGTTCAAGCGATTCTCCTGCCTCAGCCTCCTGAGTAGCTGGGACTGAAGGTGCGTGCCACCATGCCTGGCTAATTTTTTGTATTTTTAGTAGAGACAAGGTTTCACTGTGTTAGCCAGGATCGTCTCAATCTCCTGACCTCGTTATCTGCGTGCCTCAGCCTCCCAAAGTGCTGGGATTACAGGTGTGAGCCACTGTGCCCTGCCTGGATAATTATTAAAGCTAGACATGAATACTTTATATAATATTCTACTTCTTATTGGAATTTTCCATGATAAAAATTTGGAATTCAGAAAAGTACAGGGAAAAATATAAAAATTGCCTAATTTTTCTCAGTTTTATATACACATAGTAAGGAACAGTCTTTATTTAAAAATAAAGATGTATTTTGCTGCTCTAAAAATTAAAGTGCTGTTGTTAACAGATCATCAGTGTTCACCAGTACTACTTGACTTAAGGTATATATTTTATGTACTTTTTTAAAGACCAGTACTAACACAAGCCAAACAAAAATTTCTGCTCCTGTTGCCTGGTTTGGAAACTGTTGAAATGATGGAGGAATCCAGTGGACCATATTCTGATGGAGTAAGTTGGGGGGTTTTATTGTTCATTTGTTTTTGGACATTTAAGTTATTTGTTGAAAGTTATAAATAAGTAGAACCTGAACAGAAAAGAGTTTTGTAACATAGGCTTTTTCCACATTGTCAGTGGTGTGGCCTGAAATTTCTTTTGTGATTTTTCACTAGAGATTCTCATGTAAATAATCTCTAATTCTTGTCATTAATCATTTGTTTTGAACTCGGGTACCTCATCTGTGCTGTTCACAAAGAGTAAAATACATAATTGTTGCTTTGGAAAAACTGGAAATAATGGTTACTAAGCCATATCTAAGCCAGAGCTGCTGTTCATTTTCTTATTTTTAAAAAATTGATTTTCTCAATTCTTCTATCAGGAAAATAAATCTTTGCTGTCACATGGCATTAGGAGCAAAGTTTCTTTGGCTAATAATATTTGATTACTGCCTGAAGATATAGTAGTTAAAGGCACGGGTACTATAGACTTGTGAGCTAGAGTGTTCTTAGAAAACCTTTTTCTATTCAGGAGCAGCTAGGGTATAGCTAATTTTGTTTAGAATCTTTGGGAGAAAAAAGACTGTTATAGCCAACTAAGTATCTCATTTGCTTTTGGCTGAAGTAAAAATTTTCCACTAGATAACTAACAGACTTGTGAAAGAGTTCAGTGGAATGTGGTCTGTAAAAGCTATATATTCTGTTGAGGGGAAATATGCTCTGTCATACATGCTTTATTAACCCTCAGTTGTTTAATGTTTAAAGTTCTATGGCTTTGAATATTCTCTTAGAAATATTTTCAGTTACAGGTAGAGTGTTTGAATGTAGTAATTTAATTCACTTTATGTGTTTATGTGACATGTCTCATTTTCAGAATTCATAAAATTGAATGGTATTAAACAGCTACTATTAAAGAGACACCAAAGCCATTTGCTGTTGAATTAGACAGTGGCTTTCCTTTCTTTGATTTTTATGGGATTGAATAATTAGAAAAATTTTGACAATATTTGCAATTACTATTTATTAGGAATTTTCAAAACGTGAAAAGGAAAAGCAAAATATTACCGTTCTATTTAATGAAATTGTTTCATTTTTAATAAAACAGACAGAAAATTCACAACTAAATGTGAAGATAAGTGGCATGGAGAGAAAATCAAATGGAAAAAGAGATTCATTTTTGGCACAAACAAAGAATAAAAAAGAAAATATGAAACCAGCAGCCAAAGTATGTTTTCAAAAGTTTAATCAAAAATTTTAAGATAAAGTATATTGTAACTTACATACAACTTTAAAAATTGGATGAAAGAACTATAAAAGACTAAATAAAGGTTGGGATTGCAGGGGAATTGAGGGCATTTGATGTAGAAAGACTGCTAGGATAGCATGGTAACCCAGAAGCCTTGGGTGATGATTCCTGTTTAGGAAAGGTAAGTTTCTGTGTAATGCTTAGCAACTGTTACATGTAGTTATTCCAGGCAGCAGCCCCCTTGAGATGGAATGAGACTAGTTATGAATGACTAACATAGGTAGCACAAGAGAAAATATTTTAGAACTTTTGTTTAGGATTATTGTTATTTTAGAACTTAATATTTTGAATAGAAATAAATAATGCCTAGATAAGACACCTATGTTCTTATCAACTAGCTCATGCTAGTTGCCAGTTAACTTGACTTTTAGACAACAGTTCTCTCTTCCATGACCTCCAGTAAAGGTTATTCTAGAATCTTGAGACCATGGCCCTGGTGAAATGAAAGAAAAGTGTTATTTTTTAAGAATACCTCTGCCACATTCTTGTAGCAACTATAAATAGAATTAAAGCAATGGTTCCAATGAACATTTATTAAGATAATATTGTAGTACCAAAGTTACTTGTATGTAGGGCATTTTGTATTGGCGACTTTCACTAAGTCATGCCTCAACTTGAGAGCTGCAAATATACTCTCCTCCTGCCAAATCAGTTCATTTCCATGTGTTAGCCTGACAGACGGTTTTGTCCATACTTTGTAGTTAAGCACAGACTTCCCTACTTCGTAAAGAGGTTTAATACTGTCTACTTTCTTAGTATTTATTAGAGGCAGAAAGAAAGTGGGGAACATTGTACTAATTTGTTACGGATCATGAGTATCATCAACTTTCATAATCACTATTGAAAAATGGTGTCATTATTAGAGGAGAGTGATAGAAATATTGGAAAATAATTTGGAAGCTAAAATGTACATTTGCTTATTTTTTCAAATCTGCAGCTGAAACTTGAATCTTCGTCTTTAAAAGTAAAGGGTGAAATTCTTTTGGAAGAGGAAAAGTCTACTGACTTTGTGTTTATACCTCCAGAAGGAAAAGATGCAAAGGAAAGAATATTAACTGATCATCAAAAAGAAGTTCTCAAAACAAAGCGGTTTGTAGGCCTTTTATCTTGAGTTGGGTATTTGGTATTCAGGCTTAGATTTCATGCAAGAAAAGTGTAACTTTGTGTTTAGAACTAAAATATGTGTACTAATTTTTTTTTTTTTTTTTTGACACGGAGTTTCACTCTGTTGCCCAGGCTGGAGTGCAGTGGTGCCATCTCGGCTCACTGCAAGCTCCGCCTCCCAGGTTCACGCTATTCTCCTGCCTCAGCCTCCCGAGTAGCTGGGACCACAGGCATGTGCCACCACGCCCGGCTAATTTTTTTGTACTTTTAGTAGAGACGGGGTTTCACCATGTTAGCCAGGATGGTCTTGATCTCCTGACCTCGTGATCTGCCCACCTCGGCCTCCCAAAGTGCTGGGATTACAGGTGTGAGCCACCACACCCGGCCACGTGTACTAAATTTTAATGCGAAAAGTTATACTTTACATAAATGCATTTCATAATGTATAAAGCTACCTAGTAATGTACCAAATATTTATAAACTGAATTTCTTCTCTGAGGTGGGAAATACGCATTTAGGTCATGATTTTATAACAATTTAGTAGAACTGTAATTTTCGTTTCTTTTTATGTTTTGTTTTATGTTGTTGAGACAGAGTCTCTCTCTGTTACCCAGGCTGGAGTGCAGTGGCATGATCTCTGCTCACTGCAGTCTCTGCCTCCCGGGCTCAAGTGATCTTCCCGCATCAACCTCCCAAGTAGCTGGGACTGCAGATGCACGCCACCATGCCCAGCTAATTTTTTATTTTTTGTAGAGATAGGATTTTGCCATGTTGCCCATGCTGGTCTTGAACTCCTGAGCTCAAGCAGCCCACCCACCTCAACCTCCCAAAGTGCTGGGATTACAGGCGTGAGCCACCGTACCTGGCCATAAGTTTAATTTCTAATTGTAAGAATATCATCCGGTTTTTGAAGTTACTTATATATAGTTTTTTTCAGGTGTGATATTCCTGCCATGTATAATAATCTGGATGTTTCCCAAGATACCTTATTTACTCAGTATAGTCAGGAAGAGCCTATGTAAGTACAGAAGCCATCAAACTTTTATATCTGTTTTATTCATTTTCAAATAATTATAAAAATAATATTCTTACTAATATTTATTTCAGGGAAATTCCTACTTTAACCAGAAAACCAAAGGAGGATTCTAAGATGATGATTACGGTATGTTTGACATTTCATATTTTGGGCTTTTTAGAATCACCCTTCCATTATACAGTCTGTTAAACTGCTGAAATGTCTGTAGGTCTTCCCTTTATTAATTTTAAAATTTATTGTAGATTTATTGTATGATTTCCTTTTAACTCCCATTCAGATACTAGCAGAATATCAGCAGACACTAGTCAGTGTGTGTGTGTGTGTGTGTATAAAATAAATGTACTTGGCTTTTCTTGAATATTTACAATTAGGAACACAAACTGTTAGGTATCTACCACTAACTTTGGAATAGTTGCCATATATTGAATGTCAGTGATTATCTTTGGGTTACCGAAGTTTTACACTAAAGTTTTCCCAGAAAGTCAAACTCGTTTGCTGGTTATTAATCTGTGTGTGTATATATATGTATATATTTCTGTGCAGGAGGAGCAAATGGACAGTGACATTGTCATTCCTCAAGATGTCACGGAAGACTGTGGTATGGCTGAACATCTTGAAAAGTCCTCCCTTTCGAATAATGAGTGTGGTTCTCTTGACAAAACCAGTCCAGAAATGTCAAACAGTAATAATGATGAAAGAAAAAAAGCTTTAATTTCATCAAGGAAAACATCAACTGAATGTGCATCTAGTACAGAAAATTCTTTCGTTGTCAGCAGTAGTTCAGTTTCTAATACCACTGTTGCTGGAACTCCCCCATACCCTACAAGTCGGAGGCAAACCTTTATTACTTTGGAGAAGTTTGATGGTTCAGAAAATAGACCTTTTAGTCCATCCCCCTTGAATAATATTTCATCAACTGTTACAGTGAAAAATAACCAGGAAACCATGATTAAAACAGATTTTCTACCAAAAGCAAAGCAAAGAGAAGGGACTTTTTCAAAATCTGATTCTGAAAAAATAGTGAATGGAACTAAGAGATCAAGCCGGAGAGCTGGTAAAGCTGAACAAACAGGGAATAAAAGGTCTAAGCCCTTAATGAGATCTGAGCCGGAGAAAAATACTGAGGAATCTGTTGAAGGCATTGTAGTCTTAGAAAATAACCCACCTGGTTTGCTTAATCAAACAGAATGTGTGTCAGATAATCAGGTTCATCTTTCTGAATCTACAATGGAGCATGACAATACAAAGCTTAAAGCAGCAACAGTGGAAAATGCTGTATTATTGGAAACTAATACTGTAGAGGAGAAAAATGTAGAAATTAATTTGGAATCCAAAGAGAATACACCCCCAGTAGTAATATCAGCAGATCAAATGGTAAATGAGGATAGTCAGGTTCAGATAACTCCAAATCAGAAAACCCTTAGACGGTCTTCAAGGCGACGTTCAGAAGTAGTAGAGTCTACCACTGAAAGCCAAGATAAGGAAAATAGTCATCAAAAAAAGGAACGACGTAAGGAAGAAGAAAAACCTCTTCAGAAGAGTCCATTGCATATAAAAGATGATGTGTTACCTAAACAAAAACTGATTGCTGAACAAACTCTACAGGAGAATTTAATTGAGAAAGGAAGTAATTTACATGAGAAGACTCTTGGGGAAACTAGTGCTAATGCAGAAACTGAACAAAATAAAAAAAAGGCAGACCCTGAGAACATTAAGTCTGAGGGGGATGGTACCCAGGACATTGTAGATAAGTCCTCTGAGAAACTAGTCAGAGGCCGAACACGGTATCAAACTAGAAGAGCATCTCAGGGTTTGCTTTCCAGCATTGAAAACTCAGAATCTGATAGTTCGGAGGCAAAAGAAGAAGGTTCTAGGAAGAAGAGATCTGGAAAATGGAAAAACAAAAGCAATGAAAGTGTTGACATTCAAGATCAAGAAGAGAAAGTGGTGAAACAGGAATGTATAAAAGCTGAAAATCAGTCACATGATTATAAAGCAACTTCTGAAGAAGATGTAAGCATAAAATCTCCGATTTGCGAAAAACAAGATGAAAGTAATACTGTAATATGTCAGGATTCTACAGTAACTTCAGATTTGTTGCAAGTTCCTGATGATTTACCAAATGTGTGTGAGGAAAAAAATGAAACTAGCAAATATGCAGAATATTCCTTTACAAGTCTACCTGTGCCAGAATCAAATCTAAGGACTAGAAATGCCATTAAGAGATTACATAAGCGAGACTCTTTTGATAATTGTAGTTTGGGAGAATCCTCAAAAATAGGGATATCAGATATTTCTTCGCTTTCAGAAAAAACTTTTCAAACACTTGAATGCCAACACAAGAGAAGTAGGAGGGTGAGGAGATCTAAAGGTTGTGATTGCTGTGGGGAAAAATCACAACCTCAGGAAAAGTCACTCATTGGGTTAAAGAATACAGAAAATAATGACGTAGAGATTAGTGAAACAAAAAAGGCAGATGTGCAAGCACCTGTAAGCCCATCAGAAACTTCTCAAGCTAATCCATATTCTGAAGGACAATTTTTAGATGAACATCATAGTGTGAATTTTCATTTGGGTCTCAAAGAGGATAATGATACTATTAATGATTCATTAATTGTTTCTGAAACCAAATCAAAAGAAAACACTATGCAAGAATCTCTTCCTTCTGGAATAGTAAACTTTAGAGAGGAAATTTGTGATATGGATTCTAGTGAAGCAATGTCTCTTGAAAGCCAGGAGTCACCTAATGAAAATTTTAAAACTGTTGGCCCGTGTTTAGGAGACTCGAAAAATGTTTCACAGGAATCTTTGGAGACAAAAGAAGAAAAACCAGAAGAAACCCCAAAAATGGAACTGAGTCTAGAGAATGTTACTGTTGAAGGAAATGCATGTAAAGTAACAGAATCCAATCTAGAGAAAGCAAAAACTATGGAATTGAATGTAGGAAATGAAGCTAGCTTTCATGGACAAGAGAGAACCAAAACTGGTATTTCTGAAGAAGCAGCAATAGAAGAAAATAAAAGAAATGATGACTCTGAAGCAGACACAGCTAAACTGAATGCCAAAGAAGTAGCAACTGAGGAATTTAATTCAGATATTAGTCTTTCTGATAATACTACACCTGTAAAATTGAATGCTCAAACTGAGATTTCTGAACAAACAGCAGCTGGGGAACTAGATGGAGGAAATGATGTATCTGATCTACACTCATCTGAAGAAACGAATACCAAAATGAAAAATAATGAAGAAATGATGATCGGCGAGGCAATGGCTGAAACTGGCCATGATGGTGAAACAGAGAATGAGGGCATAACTACCAAAACCTCAAAGCCTGATGAAGCTGAAACAAACATGTTGACTGCAGAAATGGACAACTTTGTTTGTGACACAGTTGAAATGAGCACTGAAGAAGGAATCATTGACGCTAATAAAACTGAAACAAATACTGAGTATAGTAAATCTGAAGAAAAATTAGATAACAATCAAATGGTAATGGAAAGTGATATTTTACAGGAAGATCACCATACTTCACAGAAAGTGGAGGAACCATCACAGTGTCTGGCATCTGGAACAGCTATCTCTGAGCTAATAATAGAAGACAATAATGCATCTCCTCAAAAACTAAGGGAACTTGATCCTTCACTTGTGTCAGCAAATGACAGTCCTAGTGGCATGCAGACACGCTGTGTCTGGTCTCCTTTGGCTTCTCCGTCTACGAGCATTTTAAAGAGAGGACTAAAAAGATCCCAAGAAGATGAAATCTCATCACCTGTTAATAAGGTAAGGGGAATGAGGCTAAATATTAAGGAACCCAGTATTTGGTTGGGATATTTTGGCCATACAGTGACCTCTGGTGAATGACAAAATATTACAATTATATGGCCACTCATTTGATTATTTACCATAATGGTTGCTAGGGAAAAGGTAGGTAGAAGAAAAGGTTTCGAAAAAAGGAGACTGAAGCCTTTTAGATAAGTCTTTCATTTTACAACACTAAAGATCTTTATGCAGCTGTGCACATTGTTCACCTTTGGCAAAATTGATAAGGCTCCTAGCATCTTTTCTGCTCCCCATACCATAATATCATATGAGGAAACAGATTTAGGAATGCAGGCAACACTGCCATTGATAAAGCAGATTTAGTAGTTGTGTGTTGGAACATTATGCTGTTTTACGTTTTACATACATGTTCCAGACCATATCTAATTAAAAAAAAAAACTCATGTGCCTTCATCAACTTGTAGATGTGATCTTATTTAGTTATTTATATCCCCATTTCCTCAGCTAAATTATAGATCTTTTACTTTAGAAAAGATGGATTATCTATATATCTGCTTTAGCTTCAGGCCTTGTGCCTTGCACATAGTTTGTTGAATGAATGAATAAAAAAATAGGAAAAGTTAAATGTATTTACGTAACTCAACTTGTCTTATACTTAACAAAATAGATATCCTGAAAAGGTATGATGTTGGCATTCCTTAATTTTGAACTTGAACCTGCTATTCATTGTAGAATACATTTTATATATACAAGCATGAATATATAGACATGACACCTTGTTTTTTGCCTTCAACAAACAACACTTTGAAAGTATTCCTTTGGCCAGGCTCGGTAGCTCACACCTGTAATCCCAGGCATGGGATTTGGGAGGCCAAGGCAGGTGGATCACCTGAGGGTCGGGAGTTCAAGACCAGCCTGACCAACATGGAGAAACCCCATCTCTATTAAAAATACAAAAATTAGCTGGGCCTGGTGGCGCACACCTGTAGTTACAGCTACTCAGGAGGCTGAGGCAGGAGAATTGCTTGAACCCAGGATGCAGAGGTCGCAGTGAGCTGAGATTGTGCCACTGCACTCCAGCCTGGCGACAGAGCGAGACTCTCAAAAAAAGAAAAAAAAATGTTCTTTCAAAATCCCTGTTACTCTTATTCATGTGTCTGAACTTTGCAAGATACACTGAAAATTCTTCTGCTGAGAATCTAGAGATTAAGTTGTTTTTTGTTTTGTTTGTTTGTTTTTTGAGATGGAGTCTTACTCTGTCTGTAAGACAGAGTAGTGCAGTGGCACGATCTTGGCTCACTGCATGCTCTGCCTCCCGGGTTCAAGCGATTCTCCTGCCTCAGCCTCTTGAGTAGCTGGCATTACAGGCATGTGCCACTAAGCCCAGCTAATTTTTGTACTTTTAGTAGAGATAAGGTTTCACCATGTTGGTCAGGCTGGTCTTGAACTCCTGACCTCGAGATCCACCCGCCTTGGCCTCCCAAAGTGCTGGGATTACAGGTGCGAGCCACTGCGCCTGGCACATTTCTGTTTTTACATCAGTCTTCTTTCTAGTCTGGTAATCCCATAAAGTTCCTAGAATCAGATCGTACACTTTTAACTGCCACATCTGGCTTCGTTAAGTTTTTGTTACTGTGCCTTTTTCACAATCTTTGGTATTATGCAGAGACAGTTTAAAATATAGAAAATTAGAGTGAATTGTGGTATTGAGTTAATGTGATCTGTGAAGGCAGTCGCTAGGAACTGTGCAGCTGACTTCTGGTGAAATAAATTTTCTAAACCCACATTCTATTTTTGGGTAACCTCATAATGAAAATTTATGGTGTAATTTTTTAAAAACTTTAATTTTGTTAAGTAAAATCCTGACCTGTGTTTTCAGGTTCGCCGTGTCTCCTTTGCAGATCCAATATACCAAGCAGGATTGGCAGATGACATTGATAGACGGTGCTCTATTGTTAGGTCCCATTCTTCCAATAGTTCTCCCATAGGAAAAAGTGTTAAAACTTCTCCTACTACACAATCTAAGGTAAGCTATAGGCTTTAAAATATACATATATGTATACCGACACAGAATTACATGTACATGATGTGTCATAAAATGAACTATATATGTGAAAAACTTCTTCCTTGGTTTAAAATATATTCTTTTGTCTGGTACACGGTAAGCAGAAAGGAAGAGAAGCAGAAAGGTAAGAGGCAGTAATGATCCAGCAAGTAATTGATTAGGTAGTAGATTACTCTTTTTATGTTTTTTGAACTTTTAAAGAAATGATTGCAGTCTAAGTTGTAAAAATTGTGAAATTATAGTCATCTAGGGTTCTGAGTGTTTTTTTCTCTCCTTTCTTCTATCTAGCATAATACCACTTCAGCCAAAGGATTTCTGTCCCCAGGATCACGTAGCCCTAAATTTAAGAGCTCAAAGAAGTGTTTAGTAAGAAGTGCTTTAGTTTTCATGTCACTTTATATTTTCATGTTCAGTCAGTTGACCTCTGTGTAACAGCTTCTGAAATTTATTCTAAGATTTCAGAAATGGCCAAAGAATCCATACCATGCCCAACAGAAAGTGTTTACCCACCATTGGTGAACTGTGTGGCACCAGTTGACATCATTTTACCTCAGATTACATCAAACATGTGGTAAGTGGTTATTTAGGCTTCTTGCTTATATTCCAAGATGCCACTTATTTAAGAGGACTTATCTGATTGCTTGGTTCTCATGTTTAGAATTGATTGGCATGTACTCTCACACACATTTTATTTTTGAAATAAAAATGCAACTGAGAAGGTAGGCCAGATAAGGCAATATGAAAAACATTTAGTATAGTAAGATGTATGCATAATATTTCAGGTGCTGCATTGAACCCTTATATCATTATCTTGTTTAATCCAAATATAAACCTTATGAGGAATATGAATATCATTTCTACTTTATAGGATGAAGTTTACAAAGATTACCAGCAAAACCACACAGCTGTTAAGTCATCACATGTAAGAAGCATGAGACTCACATACATAAAACTTGTTCATCAGCTGTTTTGTTTTGTTTCTAATTACAAGTTTGTTTCCTTGATGTTTTAAGTCTTGGAAACTTAAATGCGTGCATGTAGATCGTTCACTATATCTTGATTAAAAGAATTATTTCAGGTAGTTTGTGATGCCTTGAGATAGTTTCTCTTTAACTGAATTATCAAGCTGCCCTGTCGTAGCATAATCCCCAATAGGAGATGAAGTATTCTTAAACTTCTCTGAGGAATTTAATGATGCAGTAATATGTATCAGACATACCAAGTCCATTTCTGATTAAAGTTGGGGAGGGGATTATGTGTACTTAAGAATTATCTATTAATGAGATGTATGTAGAAGCACAAGGCACGCAGTGGGCTCATTCAGTTGCCAGTACTGTTGCTTATACCAGACATACACATCAGATTCGAATTTTGTTTTAAATTACACATACATGTGCCTGTCTTCACTGTGGGCTAACCTCAGTTATGATTGAGCTTAAATGGGGAAATTGAACTGGATAAACCCTTGCAAATAGCATATAAATAAAACTATATAATTATAATTTCCTGTTTCTGTTTTGTTTAGGGCAAGAGGCCTGGGACAACTCATTAGAGCTAAGAATATAAAAACTATTGGTGATTTGAGTACTCTTACAGCATCTGAAATAAAAACTCTTCCTATCCGTTCTCCAAAAGTGTCCAATGTAAAAAAGGCTCTCAGAATATATCATGAGCAGCAGGTAAAAACTTAGATATTAGCTATGATGTATATTAATAAATGATGTAGCAGTACAGTTACAGAAGTTTGTTAAAAGATCACTTCATAATGGCACAGGGAAATTGATTCATTTATTTTGTACTGTCTTTATGCATTGCACCTCAGATAAATTTTTAAATTGTTTTTTCATTAAATTCTGTTCATCCCCTTCTCTCTTTCATTTCCACCATTCGGTATTTGATTCCATGGCTGCTACTGCTAAAACCTAGATGTTCAAATCCAAACATCTACCAAAACCATACAGATTTGTAGGTCACAGTATTTTGGTTTGGATGCCTACCACATTTGTGACTTATTTTTCTTATTTTTCCTTTTTGTCAGTATTGTGCATATGAACATTTTGGGTCATGGGCATTTTTCAAGATTCTGATGAAAGCTAAGATTCTTCCCTGCTGTAAAACTATATAGAAAATTTTGTATATAATTTCAGAAGGATTCACAGACTACTGAAACCCATTCAGAGACCCTCTATCCATTGACACTACAGGTTGAGTATTCCTTATCTGAATTGCTTAGGACCAGAAATGTTTTGGACTTCAGATTTATTTCGATTTTGAGATATTTGCATTATGCAGCTACTTGCCAGTTTAGCAGCCCTAATCTGTAAATCCAAAACGCTCATTAGAGAATTTGGGCATCATGTCAGTGCTCAAAAAGCTTCAAATTTTGGATTCCATTCCATCCAAAAAAGATTCCATTTTTGGAGTAGGCATACTCAACCTGTATCAGAAGTTTTGAATAAATGAAAAATAGAATAAGCAGTGTTCTGAATCAGAATTTCTCAGACCTGGGGTTTGCCAGCCACTGAAGACTTCTGCTGTATTCTTGAAGGTCCTTGATTTTATATTAACTTATTTGTGATCTTCTAAACATTCATTAACTGGTTACTCAGAAAACCAATACTACTAGTAATTTTCTGTCTCACAGATTGAATTTAGTTTCTAAAGTATTTTCTTACTCAGTTTCCATGGGTCTTGGGAAAGTCTATGAGAATTAGGTTTTTTTTAACAGCTTCATTAAGATATGATTTACATCGTGTAAAATTCACCTACCCTATGGGTGCAGTTAGTTTTTAATATATTCACAGAGTTAAATAATATTCCCCATGATCTAATTTTGAATCTTTTTTTTTATCACCCAGAGAAGAAACACTGACCCATTAGCTATCACTCCTCATTTCCACTGTCCAGCCAATGCCTACTTTTCCTCTATAGATTTGCCTATTCTGGATATTTCATAAAAGTGGGGTCGTACAACTTGTGATCTTTTGTGAATGGCTTCTTTCACTTAGCATAATGTTTTCAAGGTTTATCCTCAAAAATTTCCGTTTTGAGGTTGAATAATTCTTTGTAGATTCTGGATATTAGCCTTTTGTCAGATGAGAAGATTGCAAAAATTTTCTCCCATTCTGTAGGTTGCCTGTTCACTCTGATGGTAGTTTCTTTTGCTGTGCAGAAGCTCTTTAGTTTAGTTAGATCCCATTTGTCAATTTTGGCTTTTGTTGCCATTGCTTTTGGTGTTTTAGACGTGAAGTCCTTGCCCATGCCTATGTCCCAAATGGTATTGCCAAGGTTTTCTTCTAGGGCTTTTATGGTTTTAGGTCTTACAGTTAAATCTTTAATCCATCTTGAATTAATTTTTGTATAAGGTGTAAGGAAGGGATCCAGTTTCAGCTTTCTACATATGGCTAGCCAGTTTTCCCAACACCATTTATTAAATAGGGAATCCTTTCCCCATTTCTTGTTTTTGTCAGGTTTGTCAAAGACCAGATGGTTGTAGCTGTGTGGTATTATTTCTGAGGGCTCTGTTCTGTTCCATTGGCTTATATCTCTGTTTTGGTACCAGTACCATGCTGTTTTGGTTACTGTAGCCTTGTAGTATAGTTTGAAGTCAGGTAGCATGATGTCTCCAGCTTTGTCTTTTTTGCTTCTGATTGACTTGGCAATGCGGGCTCTTTTTTCGTTGCATATGAACTTTAAAGTAGTTTTTTCCAATTCTGTGAAGAAAGTCCTTGGTAGCTTGATGGGGGTGGCATTGAATCTATAAATTACCTTGGGCAGTATGGCGATTTTCACAATATTGATTCTTCCTATCCATGAGCATGGAATGTTCTTCCATTTGTTTGTGTCCTCTTTTATTTCATTGAGCAGTGGTTTGTAGTTCTCCTTGAAGAGGTCCTTCACGTCCCTTGTAAGTTGGATTCCTAGGTATTTTATTCTCTTTGAAGCAATTGTGAATGGGAGTTCACTCATGATTTGGCTCTCTGTTTGTCTGTTATTGATGTATATGAATGCTTGTGATTTTTGCACATTGATTTTGTATCCTGAGACTTTGCTGAAGTTGCTTATTGGCCCAAGGAGATTTTGGGCTGAGACAACGGGGTTTTCTAGATATACAATCATGTCATCTGCAAACAGGAACAATTTGACTTCCTCTTTTCCTAAGTGAATACCCTTTATTTCTTTCTCTTGCCTGATTGCCCTGGCCAGAACTTCCAACACTATGTTGAATAGAAGTTGTGAGAGAGGGCATCCCTGTCTTGTGCCAGTTTTCAAAGGGAATGCTTTCAGTTTTTGCCCATTCAGTATGATATTGGCTGTGGGTTTGTCATAAATAGCTCTTATTATTTTGAGATACGTCCCATCAATACCTAGTTTATTGAGAGTTTTTAGCATGAAGTGTTGTTGAATTTTGTCAAAGGCCTTTTCTGCATCTATTGAGATAATCATGTGGTTTTGGTCTTTGGTTCTGTTTATATACTGGATTACGTTTACTGATTGTCATATGTTGAACCAGCCTTGCATCCCAGGGATGAAGCTCACTTGATCATGGTGGATAAGCTTTTTGATGTGCTGCTGGATTCGTTTTGCCAGTATTTTATTGAGGATTTTTGCATCAATGTTCATCAAGGATATTGGTCTAAAAATCTCTTTTTTTGTTGTGTCTCTGCCAGGCTTTGGTATCAGGATGATGGTGGCCTCATAAAAAGAGTTAGTGAGGATTCCCTCTTTTTCTATTGATTGGAATAGTTTCAGAAGGAATGGTACCAGCTCCTCTTTGTACCTCTGGTAGAATTCGGCTGTGAATTCATCTGGTCCTGGACTTTTTTTGGTTGAATAATATGCATTATATGTATATACCACATTTTGTTTATCCAGTTGACAGACATTTGGGTTGTTTCCACCATTTGCTATTACGAATAATGCTGCTGTGTCTGCAAGTTTTTATATGGATAGATGATTTCATTTCTCTTGTATATATACCTAGAAGTGGAATTGCTGAGTCATGTGGTTACTGAACTTATTATTTTCAGAAAGTTAACTTTCTGAACTTAGTATTTTCTCAATCAGTGGTCCATACGTCCTAGGAACACTTAAGAAAATTGTATCCTTTTTTTTTTTTTTTTTTTTTTAAATACAGTGTCACTGTCACCCAGGCCAGAGTGCAGGTGGGGCATGATCTCGGCCCACTGCAGCTGCACCTCCTGGACTCAAGCAGTTCTCCTGCCTCAGCCTCCCGAGTAGCTGGGATTACAGGCACCGTAATTTTTGTGTTTTTTGTAGAAGGGGGTTTCACTATGTTTGCCAGGCTGGTCTTGAACTCCTGACCTCAAGTGATCTACCCACCTTGGCCTCCCAAAGTGCTGGAATTACAGGGGTGAGCCACTGCTCCCAGCCAGAAAATTGTGTTCTTTTTTTTAAAAAAATTCTATATTTTATTTAAGCTTGGAAATCTCTGGTATAGACTTTTTTATACCACATTCTTAAACTTGGGAAATAGAATGTAATTTTCTTAGCTGCCATGGCTATATTTCCTGAGAAAACCATTATGAAATATTGTTAAATTCTAACCCTCTCTTTGAGGAAATACTTTGTAATGCTTTATTTTGTGTAGTTAGAACCTACTTTCTTAGCAGTATTAGCTCTTAATTGTGATGGGTGGTAGAACATAGGTTCTATGCAATGTTTTCCAGTGTTTGTACTATTACTCCTATTAAAAGTAAAGTTTCAATTTGTTGTTGTTGTTGTTTTGCGTTTTTTTCTGCTCCAACTGTAATCAAGGTGAAGACTCGTGGACTAGAAGAGATTCCAGTTTTTGATATTTCTGAAAAAACAGTAAATGGAATAGAAAATAAATCTTTGTCACCTGATGAAGAAAGACTTGTCTCAGGTATATTTTAGCAAAAGTGGGATAATTTTATTTAGAAGATCAGCTGACTTTCTTGAAATATGTTATTTTTTTTAGTCTGATTTGACCATGCCTTATTTCAACAATTATTTTATGTTTAATGTGAAGTATATGAAAAACTAACCGATTGGACATCAAATGTGTCTACTTGTTTTTCTTGTCAACTTCTCCATCAAGGTCTCAAGGATTTAAACTATACACTTTCTCTTCTAGTTATATTAATAAATGAAGTAGTCTACCATTTTTAAATTTCTTTAATAGCACAGAATAATCTATGAGAATAGCACAGAATAATAAGCAGTGGTAGGTTGGGTATGGTGGCTCACGCCTGTAATCCCAGCACTTTGGGAGGCCAAGGTGGGTGGATCGCTTGAGGTCAGGAGTTCGAGACCACTCTGGGCAACATGAAACCCAGCACCTACTAAAAATACAAAAAATAGCTGGATGTGGTGGTGCATGCCAGTAATCCCAGTTACTTGGGAGGCTGAGGCGGGAGAATGGCTTGAACCTATGAGGCAGAGGTTGCAGTGAGCTGAGATTACGCCACTGCACTCCAGCCTGGGCAATAGAATGAGGCTCCATCTCATAATAATAATAAGCAGCAGCGGCAGCTCTGGTAGATTTTTTTGTGTGCTTGTCCTCATGAAGACTTAAGCCTGCTCTCTCAATTTGAAACCTAGGCACTTGGACTAACTTAAAAGATCATGTAAAAAATTTAATTTTTGTCTGGTATAGATTTAATTGTGGTTTTTTTTTTCTCTTTTAGATATAATTGATCCTGTTGCTTTAGAAATTCCATTATCCAAAAACCTTCTGGCACAGATTAGTGCTCTTGCTCTTCAGCTGGATTCAGAAGATCTTCATAATTATTCAGGAAGCCAACTATTTGAAATGCACGAGAAACTAAGTTGTATGGCAAACTCTGTAATAAAAAATCTACAGTCACGTTGGAGATCACCATCCCATGAAAATTCTATTTAGTATTTTCAGAGAAAATTGAAGGTTTTTTTAAACATCACTGGATTTCTTGATTGAGGAAACAAGTTCTGAAATAATAGCACAATTTCAAAGAAGAGACTCTTTGCAAAGTTGATAACATTTCAAACCCTGAAGGACAGTGACTTATTATGTAAGTTCAATTTTGTAAGTTCATTATGTAAGATCCTTTTTTTTTTCATAATATGTATTCTTGGCTGCTATGCGTGGTTTTTCAGGAAATTTAATTATCTTACTGAGATGTGAAAGCAAAACTAGTAACAGAACTTACATTTTATTTCATGCTTTCTTAAACCCGTGCATATTCTGGTGAAACATGTAAAATACTTTAAGTAAAATTGAACATTTTTATTTGAATTTTTGCTGAACTGATAAAGGTGTTTATATTTTTGTTTGTTGGTTTGTTTAATTCATGTTTGTTGGGACTGAGGTTTAGGAAGTTTGTTACTGGTTAAAAACCTCAAATGAAATGCGAAAGAATTTGAATTTTTCCTGCATATGTCAACTTTGGACAGCTTTCAAGAAAAATGAGAAAAGTTTCAACTTCTGGCGGTTAAAATATTAATGCAGAATTTACTAAGATTTTATTCATTTGCATTAGCAAATATTCATGCAGCAGCAGTTGACTGAAAATTTATTCTTATGAGACGTATAGTATTCATTTTTAAATGCATGATTGTACATTATGTATAGACGACAATGTTTTTAATTTATAAATTTCATTCTTTGTTAATTGCATGGGTTTTTCTGCAGCTTATTGTGAATACCTTGGTTCTGTTCAATAGAAACATTTTGTATATATTAAATACTGAAATATCAGTATCGACGGTGGAAGTGCTTCATGGGCTTGCTGCACATATTTGTAGGATACTGTATCTGCAAATGCAACAACAAATAGTTTTGTACTTGGTTAACAGTCTTAGTTAAAACATGAGTTTATTTTCTAAAAGTATCCAGAATAAGTAAAATTATAGAAATAAGAAAATGTTACACAACTTTGCTGTTCATACCCTTACCTTCTTACTACTTTTGGTTTGGAGGAGGGTATCACCACTAGAAAGTGTGCCTCCTTAAGATTTCTTAAAGGAAAGTTAGTTTCAGTATTTCACAGCAAGTTGGACTACAAAATCTAGAGTTGATCTGCTTTTTAAACCTTCATTTAAAAGCAAACTTGGAAGAAATTTGAAACTGATGTTTTTAATATATGTCTGTGTTGCCTAGGTTTTCTTTTTTTAAAGAGGTATGTAATTAAAACCTTTGTAAAATTTGCCAACTAATATTAGTGCCTGACTTCCCATATTTGTTTCATCTTTTTAACTGACAGTATATCTCACTTCTTCTTTGAATAGAATGAGTGAGTGATCTCAGTTTTCACATTTTATTCAGAAGCTAATCCCTACTTAGCAAGGCACACATTCTACAGCAAGTCATAGAAAGTTTAATCCTTGTGCCTCCTTAGCTCTCGTATATTCAGGGATCTCTATAAAAGTTGGTGTCTTTTTTCATCATCATAAATTCATCATAATCACAGATATTTTTGGGTCTAAGATATTCATATACCAAGGATGGTTTTGTAAAGAATTCTGGGATCATTGAATTAAGGATTGTGGCTTGAAGTAACTAAAGAAAAATACTAATTTCCTTAAAAGGAATTATAATTATGATTTACATTTTACATCATTAATTTCCCAAATTATATTTAACCGTAAGGAGGTGCACATGAGTTTTTAGCAAACAGGTATGAATAAGCAGCTATGTATATGTGTTTGGGGCAGAGGGGAGCAGATTACTTTAACACACTTCAGAATTAAAATCAGTTCGTTTCATGACTCTGTGCCTTAACGTTTGTGTGAACTAAACTTGCTGATTGAATGAAATTCTTGGGAAGCCGAACAGTAATAGCAGAAAATGTGACCAAATGAGTATCATGTACTTAAATCACTGAATTTTATATAAGCACAAGTATTAATTTTAAAAACATTATAGTTTAATAAAGCTGCATTTAAAAATATTTGGGAGCAAAGACAAGCATGCTAAATCTTCATTTTGCTATGGCTATAAGCATATATTTTTGGCAACTTATTTGCAATATTCTTGCCTTAAAGTTTCCTGCAAATTTCCCCCTTAGTAATTCCCGAATAGCAAAACATTAATATTCCATGATTAGCTCTACTGTGTTGTCTCACTATTAAAATGGAATTCGTTTTTTCAGATCTTTTCTAATGGTTAATAAAACAAATGTCAGATCATAATAACACTCAAATGTGTCTTAATTGTCTTATGCATATTTAAGAAGAAAAAACTAGTGGCATACAGGATTGTCATGTAGTATCTTTTTTTTTTTTTGAGACACAGTCTTGCTCTGTTGCCTATGCTGGAGTGCAATGGTGCGATCTCGGTTCACTGCAAGCTCTGCCTCCCAGGTTTACACCATTCTCCTGCCTCAGCCTCCCAAGTAGCTGGGACTACAGGTGCCCGCCACCATGCCCGGCTAATTTTTTATATTTTTAGTAGAGAAGGGGTTCACTGTGTTAGCCAGGATGGTCTTGATCTGACCTCGTGATCCGCCTGCCTCGGCCTCCCAAAGTGCTGGGATTACAGGCGTGAGCCACCCCACCTGGCCATTTTCTTTTTTTTTTGAGGTGGAGTTTTCGCCCTTGCTGCCCAGGCTGGAGTGCAGTGGTACGATCTCAGCTCACTGCAACCTCCACCTCCTGGGTTCAAGCGATTCTCCTGCCTCAGCCTCCCAAATAGCTGGGATTACAGGTGCCTGCCACCACCACTGGTTAATTTTTGTATTTTTAGTAGATACGGGGTTTCACCATGTCAGCCAGGCTGGTCTCAAACTTCTGACCTCAGATATCCACCTGCCTCAGCCTCCTAAAATGGTGGCATTACAGGCGTGAGCCACCGCTCCTGGCCCATCATTTCCATATCTATGAAATCTATTTTGGATTTTAGAGTGGATTTAAATTTTCAATATTTCAGTGACCTCATTGTTAAAGCTGCTTTGCCACTTGTACAAGTTTGAAAACCATTGTTGAATCATATGGAGCTTTACTCTAATTCCAAATAGTTAAAGGATGAATCAGGTTAAATAATGCTGTTGGATAATACAGGCAAAAACAGGATTTAAACCCGCACATTAAAAGCATGACTGAAGGCCCGGCAGGTGGATCACTTTGGCCCAGGAGTTCAAAACTGACCTGAACAATGTGGCGAAATCCTGTCTCTACTAAAAATACAAAAACCAGCCAGGCATGTTGGCGCATACTTGTAATCTCAGCTACTCAGGAGGCTGAGACATGAGAATTGCTTGAACCTTTTAGGCGGAGGTTGCAGTGAGCCGAGATCATGCCATTGCGCGACAGAGCAAGTCTCTGTCTCGCAAAAAAAAAAAAAAAGTTTAATTCTAACATTGCCCATGGATTTTTTTTTTTCTGTACAGCTTGAAGATAAGATAGTTAAAGACTCTGTTACAATTTAAACATCATAAAAATGTGAAGAGTAAGTGGTGAGGCAAGAAACAAAATTGGGGGAAATGGTGGGGATCGTGAATATATAAGTGAAGTTTTATTTTTTTAAGGTGTAAAGGAGTGAGAATAGAGTAATTGCTTTTTAAAAAGAAAGTATAAATGGGTTAATTTTTTTCTTCCAACTTTGACTTTAATTCAGTAAGAAAGGCCTAGGTTTCATCTCATATTCTTCATAATTGATTTTCAAGAAGTTAATTTGTCATTCAGCCTAGGAGGCTATAAAACAGCAGTTAGTTGGCATTATTAGACTAAAACTTGGGTGGGGGGAGGAGACTGTTTCCTCATTGCTGCAACCCATGGTCTATCCTATTCCTAAGCCATTAGAAAGACCTTGTACTTTGTATAGAAACATTAGAGTGAGGTTTTGATTTTTAACATAGTACTCTCAAACTTTGATGTGCATATGAACAAGTGGATTCTGATTCAGTAGATCTGCATTGGGCCCCGTGAGTCTTTTTAAACACAGTCCCAGGTGATTCATGCAGATGCCTGTGAACTGCGCTGGTAGATGGGCCTAAGAGGCTTCAGGCTGTGTTTTAGGTTTTGGTAAGCCAGGCAGATTCAAGTCCTTTTATAACTGTCAATTTTGTGAATTGGGGATGCAGACTGGTTTTGAAGGCTTAAAGTTCAAAAATTATAAGAAAGTTAAGAATTTTGCTTAAGAGCCTTTTAAAAATATGGACGATTTATTTTTTAAGTAGGCAGACTAAGAATTTCAAGTTATAAAGAATCTTATTGATAAGGCAAAGTAGACAAAGTATTTTCTCATGAGTATTTGTGGGTTATGTTTTTGTTAATATAAAAGTTGATTTCTAAGTATTAGAATATATTTAGTCTCTAAATAAATCTTGCCTTCTATTATGGATCATCGTTATTAATAAACATGGAAAATCAACACTACCCCTAATATTAATCTGGCAGTTAAATTTAGTAGTGCTATAATGAATAAGTCAGTCTAGCAGATATGCCCTGTCATTATACTGCGGACCTCTGGTCACTTAATTTTCTGTTATATTATGTGGTTGAAAATTCCTGTTTCATCGTAAAGTGAAATTTGAAAGATGGAGTTGAATAATATGATTCTCGAAAAGTGAGTTTTTCTTGGAATTCTGTTAAGGTGTTAGATTTTCCTCACATATTTAAATAATCTGTAAGAACTACCCTGAAAGCACTAAGGAAAATGTAGCCGAAAGTTAAGTAATAGGTTTTAAAAATTTATCAAAATTTATTGATAGTTTGATCTGTAAAACAAATTGGGTTTCGTGCTTTCTGATGTCCAGTTAATAAGTATATTATGTGCCAGGCTTTACATATTGCTCTTTGCAAGTAGCCGTTAAAGTGTAAGTCATTGAAGTTTGAAGATCTATAAATATTTAATATAGTAGTCTAAACAGTTGTGAGAATTTACTCAGTTCTGAAATAGAATGTTAAATTTTCCGATGTGGTCCTAATCATTTTTTTCTTTACATACTAAGCCTTCCTTTCTCCAAAGAACAGTTAAAACCAAATGTGTTATGGTAAGCTGTAAATACCGTTGGAATAAAAGATAACCGTTCATCTTACCTAAAAAATTGAAGACAATATTTTCCATTGTTGATGTCACAAGTAAGAAAAAAACTCTAACTTTTGTACTCTACTTGTAGCAGAGGGAATATTTTTGGCCACAGTGTGCCAATTTATAATTGTAGATAAAGCTGAATTTACTGGGCAGCAAGCTTATATGCTGATAGAAGTTGATGCACTGAGAAGTGATGAGTTGAAGAGAATGGAAAAGGCAGATTGAGCTGGAATTTTAATGCATAGTACATTTAGTAGAGAGACAAGCTGTCCTATATACTCCTGTATACTTCAGAAATAGCTGATAGCCTATAGTCTCTGAGAGCTATTCTGTACATAGCACAGTATTATAATTGATGTTCATAAATACCCTGAGAGATTATGTTAAAATACATTATTAATACTCCCACAAAAGCAGTAAGTTAATAAGTATTTCCAACAAAAGGCAGCTTTGTTTCTTAAACGGATAAACAACATATAACTAGGAAGATCATCTTCAAAATAAAGTGTCATGGAACTGAAAATAGAGTATAGTCTAACAATTATTTTGATACACTATTGAATAGCTAACAAGTGTCTAAAGAATTTTTTATTTTTATAGAATAGGAAGTTTCTAAAAGAAAACAATTAAGAGCAAAATTGGTTTTGAGTATAGAAACTGAAGGATGGCAGTCTTAACTCCTAAGTTTTTTACAGAGCACAGATTGGTAAACTAGCATGCCACCTGTTTTTTGTACTATCTGTGAGCTGAGACTGGTTTTTACATTTTTTAATGGTGAAAAAAGTCAAAAGAAGGACATTTTGTGACACATGAAAACATATTAAATTAAAATTTCAGTATCCAGAAATAAAGTTTTATTGGAACAGCTGTGCTTATTGTCTTTAGCTGCTTTCCTGGTACAGTGGCTGAGTTTAGTAGTATAGCAGAGTCTGTATGGCTTCCAACAGTCAAAATACTGCCTGGCCTTTTAAAGAGTTTGTCAATCCCTTTTATGGAGGAAGGTTTTGCTCATGCATGGCATGTTAGTCAATTTAGTTATTTGCTTCTAGCTGGCAGAATGTGGTCTTGATTACTTAATTTCTGTTACCCCTGTGTTTTCCAGAATGGCTTCTCCTGATTTTACTTACGTGTTTTACTATTGCTCAAATTACAGATACTAGGAAACACTACTACTTTATAAGTACACTTCTTTTTCCTACTTAAACTCTCAAACTACAGTTACGTATTTGCCATGATGTTAAGGGACCTTGATGGTCTGTGAATTATCAGTTGCTTTCTGCACTACCTCCTGTAGATAGACCTGACTGATAGCACTTACAAAAAGACTGATAGATGCCAAATCAGTCATTTATTAACCCTCTAATATTGTTGTCCCGATCATTTGGTAAACGCTAAGAGAGCTTAGTTTTACATTCACAAAGTATTTGTATTTGATAAGTCTTAAAAATGATTTAAGTTGAAGCCTAACAGAAGTACTTGTTCATTCCTCAGTTACCTGCAAATAATGGAAATAATGGTGCAGTCAGTTTTATTTGATTGTGTAATGCTTTATACTAGGGGTCTCAAACCCCTGGGTGGCATTAGATTCTTACAGGAGCGTGAACCCTATTGTGAACTGCACATGCAAGAGATCTAGGTTGTGCGCTCATTATGAGAATCTAATACCCGATGATCTGAGGTGGAACAGTCTCATCCTGAAACCATCTACCCCAACACCTGTGTCTGTGGAAATTGTCTCCACGAAACCGGTCCCTGTTGAAAAAAGGTTAGGGGACCACTGCTTTATACAGTGTTTGAAGTAGGCACACTTACAGTTACTATTTCTGGTTCTTTATGACTGTTGAGGGGGGGCAGAATTCTATGTTTGATTCACAGTAAAACTTTTCATGAATCATTGAGGGTTAACTGTTATCACTTGCCAATGGAAACTGGATATTGAAACATTTTTTTAAGAAATGCACTTTTACCTGAAATAAAACTATAAAAACTAAACTCTGGTACTTGTTTTTGTTGGCTACATTTTGGTTTTTTGTTTTGTTGTTTTCGTGAGATCTGAAATGAGTATGAATAGTTTAATTCAAATACCACAAAGTGTATGTTATATTCCTCCACAAACATGAACCCTTCCTTTTCTTTTTCCCCTTTTATGGCCTGCTTTTTAACCACAGAGGTTTTCTGATTTATGCATAGTTTTATGGGTTCCACTGGTTTCTAAATCCAGAGGTGGTGGTTTTTCTGTTGTTGTTGTTGTTAATGAGTTCAGTTTCTCATTGAACTTGTTAGAAGAGAGGTTTCGTCAAATAAGGGCTGAGTAGATGCAGGCAAGCTTGGAGAGGCAGTCCACATGGTGTGGGCGAGGGCAGAGGTGGCACTGCCAGGCTAGTCACCAGATGAAGTAAATGCCTCACCCCAACATGACCTTAACTTCCTCTGCAGAACCAAGCATGTTGATGGCAGCCGAAGAAAAGCTCCATAGTTTTAAGGAAAACAACAACAACAACAATTAGGGTAAACAGTGATGTTGAAAGACACTGTATTAGTTTCCTAGGGCTGCTGTAACAGTACCACAAACCTAATAAGTTAAACAACTGAAATGTATTGTCTCAGTTTTGAATAGTAGAGGTCTGAGATATGGTATCAGCAGGGTTTGTTCCTTCTAAGGACTGTGTGGAAGTTATCTGTCCCATACCTCTCCCCAGCTAGCTTGGTGGTGTGCTGGCCATTTTTGACAGGTAGAGGTATTTCCCCAATCTCCCATCTTCATATGACTTTCTACCTATGTGCCTGTGTATTTGTCTAAATTTCCCTTTTATAAGGATAGCAAGGCCATTGGATTAGGGCCTCATCTGAATTAACAGCATCTGCAAGGATCCTATTTACAAGGTCACATTCTGAGGCCTTGGGGGTTAGGACTTAACATGAATTTGGGGGTGGGAGGGTGGGACACAATACAGTTCATACATTTGAGTGAGATTTGATTGAGATGTAACCCATAGACCTAATTTCTCCCTTTTATAGTTTCTTGAAGATGGCTCTTTGCAGCCTACGTGGTAGTGGAGATATATACAAAGGACTTCCCTAGTATCGTTGGACCAACAAGCACAAGCAGATGGCAGGAAGATTAGAACATTGGATATTGATTGCCAGTTTTTAAGGTGTGTTAATTTTCTTGTGATTAATGTTTTAAGAGTCCTTTATAAGATACACACTGAAAGGTGACTAATCTATAATGAGATTCAGTATAAGGAAGTTACAAGGTAATGAGAGGAGTGCATTGGTTTGGTGGAGAGGAAACAGGGTTAACCATGAGTTGATAATTTTTGAGGCTAGTTGGTGGATGTAGGATTATTCTCTACTTTTATATATACAGTCATCCCTCAATATCCATGGGGTATTGGTTTCAGGACCACCCCTACCTTATGGATATTAAAATCCCTAGTGTAAAATGACCTAATATTAGCATATAACCTATGCACATTCTCCCATATACTTTAAATCAGGGTTCCCCAACCCACGGGCTGTGGAGTGGTACAGGTCCATGGCCTGTTAGGAAACAGGCTGTACAGCAGGAGGTCGAGTGGCCGGTGAGCAAGCATTACCACCTGAGCTCTGCCTCCTGTCAGCTCACTGGCCGCAGTAAATTCTTCATGAACTGCACATGCGAGGGATCTAGGTTTGTGCTCCTTATGAGAACCTAACACCTGATCTGAGGTGGAACAGTTTCGTTCCCCACTGTGTGGAAAAATTGTCTTCCACAAAACTGGTCCCTAGTGCCAAAAAGGCTGGGGACCTGTGCTTTAAATCATCTCTTGATTATAATACCTAATATAATGTAAATGTATGTAAATATGTTATACTGTATTGTTTAAGGACTAATCACAAGAAGAAAGTCTAGCTGTTCAGTACAGATGTGACCATCTTTTTTTTTCTGAATATTTTTGATTCATGGTTGGTTGAATTTGTGGATGTGGAACTCAAGGATCTTGGAAAGCCAGCTGCATGTTGAACATTTTCCAGGCTTTAAAGAAAAATCTGTAAGAGACAAAGGTTCTGTTGTTCTTTGCAATAGCACCTGCAAAGTGTGCCTTGGCAAACCGATAAAGTAAATAGGAAATTTAAAACTAAACCAGCCAGGCCAGGTCCAGTGGCTCAGGCCTGTAATCCCAGCACTTTGGGAGGCTGAGGTGGTCGGATCACCTGAAGTCAGGAGTTCAAGACCAGTCTGGCCAATATGGCAAAACCCTGTCTGTACTGAAAATACAAACATTAGCCCAGAGTGGTGGCGCACGCCTGTAGTCCCAGCTACTCAGGAGGCTGAGACACAAGAATCACTTGAACCCAGGAGGGAGAGGTTGCAGTGAGTAGAGATTGGGCCACTGCACTCCAGCCTGGGCAACAGAGGGAGACTCTGTCTCCAAACAAAAAAATGGCTCATTGTAATGGAGATAGCATATACTTTAGTATTCTAAAAGTTTGGGAGTTGGAAATCACAATAGGATTGTTGCCTACTTGCATTTTTATCCAGTTTAAGGCAAGATGGAAGACTTGGGAGCAGGAGAGTAGCACCATTTGGCACCATTTGGATGGTTAAGCATAATCTGCCTTTTCTTGGGTCTGCAAATTCCCTAAGGGCATCAACTGTCTCTTGTTCTTCACTTGAGCTTCAGCCTCTAACCCAGTGCCTGGCATAGAGGTGTACGTTGGTCATTCGCAAGTGAGTGCGCTCTCTTCACAAGAGCATTTTCTCCCTGTGAGTCTCAGACACATTAAGAAGCTTGAGGCAGCATTACTACGGCTGTAAAGTTACAGGGACTTACCTACCTTCTAGGAAGAACAGTCTGTAAACTTAAACATTAAGCCATTATGGTTGCTTCTTCTCCCTTTGCCTTTGCCACATGCTGCCATCCTACTGGATACAGATGGGAAAGATGCCCTTGAAGTTAGGATTGGAGTCCACAGATGTTCTTAAAACTGTAATAGAAGCTTGCTGAATGCAAGTATAGATAGAATTTTGAGAATGTCTACTCTTAGGCATAACAGTACATTTTTTAAATTTAGATAATTTTTTAGTAATTTTATGTACAATTTGCTTCATTGAATTTTTATAGGTAGATATTAAAACCATTAAACATAAATAATGCTCATTCCATCCACAGAGTTGCAGAATTAGAGGTTTTATTAGTTGCTGGTTTGTATTGATTATAAGTTTATAACTTCAGAACTGAATTAGAAATAATAAGCATTAGCAATCAGCAAGGAAAAGGTGAACATCTCTGCTATTTTTCCTTTAATGTGTTTGGCATATTCAAAATCCCTGTTTTAGAAAAGAAATAATGTTAAAACATGTTTATAATGGAGAAAGACTCTAGGCACAGAAATAATATTGCAGAAGCTTTTAAAGTGTCTGTTCTGCAACTTATTTTAAAACCCAAAGGAGAAAGGATGGTACTACCATAAATCACATTGACACAGAAAAACCATAGGCAGCTTGAGAACTTAGGTAACAGTGGAGAGTCTAAACCGAAACATTGACTGCAGGATCTGTAAGTCCTGCAGACAAGTGTGATGCTTTGAAATGCCTAAATAGCTTCAACGTAGTTGGCTGGGAGCATTCCGGTCCTGCCAGTCCTCTGCACAGTGCCATACATCCAGCCTTCATCAATTGCTTGAACATTTATGATGGCATCTCCATCCTTGAAGGACACCTCATCTGCATCAGCAGCCATATAGTCATACATGGCACGGAAGATTTTCTATTCGTGGGGATGGAAAAGGGGAAATATTATATGTTGGATTTGCAACAGTTAACACACATCTATTTGTAAGATCTCTCATGACTGACTCCACAAACTTAAGTTGAACAAAAGAGAATGTGCAAGCATCAACAAAGTAAAAGGAACCCACAAAATAGGAAATACTTGCAAGTCATGTATCTGATAGGCAATTAATATCCAGAACATATGACGAACTCCTACAACTCAATGCCTTCCCCCACCAAAAGAGGCAAAGGATATGAATAGACATTTCTCCAAAAAAGATAGACAAATAGCCAAAAAGCACACAAAAGGATGCTCAAAATTAGTCATCTGGAAAATGCAAATTATTAAAACCACAATGAGATACCCCTTCACACATGCCAGAATGGTGATGATAAAAAAGACAGACAATAACAGACATTAGAAAGGATGTGGAGAAATTGGGTCCTTCATAAACCACTGGTGGAAGTGGAAAAGAGTGCAGCCACCTTGGAAAAGAATTTGGCAGTTATCACATGTTAAATACAGCATTACCCTATGGCCCAGCAAATTCCACTCCTAGGTGTATACCCAAGAAGAATGAAGACATAGGTCTGCACAATAATTTGTACATCCATGTCCGTAGCAGCATTACTCATAATAGCCAAAAAGTGGAAACAACTTAAATGCCCACCAACTGATGAATGCATAAGCAAGATCTGGTATATCCATACAGATCTATTATTGGGTAGTAACAAGAATGGGGTAGTAACAAGAATGAAGTACTGACACATGATACAACATGGATGAACTTCAAAAGTAAAGGACGCCATGCACCAAGGTCAGTATATTGTATGGTTTTATTTATATGAAATGTCTTAGGTAGCCAAATAATATAGTGACAGGAAATGGATACCTAGGATTGGATGGAGCAGAAAGGGGATGGAGAATGAATGCCAATGGGCACCAGCATTTGTTTGTTTGTTTTAATTCACCAGAAGAGTTTTGAATACAGTTTTTTTTATGGTGATGAAAGTATTCTAAAATTAGATTATGGAGATGGTTGGAAAAAAAGCTTAAAATCATTGTACACTTTATGAACTTCATACTAAGTTATGTATGCATGAAATTGTGTGTGTGTGCGCATGTGCGTGTGTGTGTACTGACAGAAAAGACAGAATATGCTGCTAATTTTATTTATGGCCTTTTTCTACCTTTCGAAGAGGTCAGTCTTGTATTTTAGAGAAGAATTTGAAAACCCGTAGCACTATTGCATGTCATCTTTCACTCTGGGAATTTGGGAGCATACGAGTAGTAAAAGTTTCTCAAAGCTATCCTCCACAGTGTTAAAATTGTAATAATTTGGAGGTATATAATAAGTGATAATATCAAAAGTTTCTTCCTAGGAGCAGCCACTGGTTAGTAGTTTTGGATGTAACCTATATGGTTTTTTCTTGCATTTTGAAATTCACATGCATATATTCAAAATCACATGCATATATTCAAATTCACAAATAGATTTCCTTTCCCCTTTGCATAAGTGGAACATTACTATAAATAATACTGTGATTTGTTCTTTCCATTTAATATAGCTTGGAAGTCTTTCCATGTAAATATAGCTGTATCTTACCCTTTTTGACTGCTGCAGAGAATTTCACATTTTAATAATATCACGAATTATTCAGCCATTTTCATTTTTCTGGACATTTAGTTGTCACCATTTTTTCTTACACTATAATGAGCATCCTACCGTTTATCTTTGGGCAAATAATTTCTGAAGAAAAAGCTTTTGAAGGTAAAAGTTTTAGGTCAAATGGCATGTGTGTTTAAACTTATTTTATACATACACACATATATATATATGTATAAAATAATTTTACAAATAGAGATGGGGTTTTGCCTTGTTGCATAGGCTGGTCTTAAACTCCTGGACTCAAGCAGTCCTCCCACCTCCTAAAGTGCTGGGATTACAGGTGTGAGCCACTATTCCTGACCTAATTTTTTAAGTTTTCTGTTAAAATGTTCGAATATGATACAATATGATATTTGATTCAATTTGATACTTTGTATTATGTACTTTATCTTATTTTTATATTCTTGGTTACTAGCACTTTTATTTTTATATTCCTGGTTACTAGTCATGGTGAACACCTTTTTCTGTTGGCCATTTATATTTATTTTGCCATAAATTATCTATTCTTAGTCTTCCAAGTCCTATTTTGAGGGCGAGGGGAATAATTTATCAGTGAATTTTAGAGTTCTTTATTCTTTTTCAATATTAATATTTTTGTTATGTATGCTGTAAATGTTTTCTCCCAGTCTGACATGTTTGTATTTATTTGTTATAGAAACATTTAAAATTTTATGATCAAATTGGCCAGACTTTTATACTTCTAGATTTTGGAATTTGCCTGGGAAGGCTTTCCCCTTTATATTTTAAAATAATTGTGGCCGGGCTGAGTGGCTGATGCCTGTAATCCCAGCATTTTAGGAGGCCAAAGCAGGCAGAGGGCTTGAGCCTAGGGGTTTGAGACCAGCCTGGGCAACATAGTGAGCCTCTACCAAAAAAAAAAAAAAAAAAATTAGCCTAGAATGGCATATACACCTGTAGTCCTAGCTATTCTGGTGGCTGAGGCTGGAGGATTGCTTGAGTCCATGAAGTCGAGACTGCAGCGAGCTGTGATCATGCCACCACACTGCAGCCTGGGTGATAGAGTGAGACCCTGTCTCTAAAAATAAAAAAAAAGTATTCTGTATTATTCTTTGTACTTCTACAATTTTGTATTTTACATCTAAATCTTTGGTACAGCTACAGTTTATGCTTTGAGATGGGTATCTAATTTTATTATTTTACTAAATAGATAACTGGTTACCTCAGATCATATAATTAAATAACTTACCCCTTTCTTGCTGATTTATAATTCTTTTAGGGTCTGTTTCTGGACTTCATCTATTTTTGTATCTATTGCCATGCTAAATCGATATTTTGTATCTATTGCCATGCTAAATCCATATTTAATTTTAATAGCTTTATAGTATGTTTTGTTCTTTTTTAGTTGAGTCCTTAAGTATTATCATTTTCAAATTTTACTTGATTATCCTTGCAGCTTTTTCAAATTTTAGGGTTAGCACAGTTTCTTTAAATGCTATTGGGATTTATATTGGAATTGAATGCATTGGTTTATTTCAGGGAAAATTAGAACTTTACAGTATTCCCTTCCTTAAATATAATAGGTCTAACACTTATTTAGACCTTCTTGTATGTCATTTAATAAAGACAGTTGTCTTCATACAAAGATTGTTCATATCAATCCTAAAGTATTAGGCTTTTGAGGATATTATGAATGAGATCCAGGGTTTTAAACTAAGAGTTGTGAAGTAGTCTGGTGAACTGTGAAGATGATTTGGCTTACCATTTCTATATATATTAATAGGGGAGATCTAAGATAAGGCATGTATATATGTGGGCACATTGCATACATCTATACATTCTTGATTTTTGAGACAGGGTCTCCCTCTGTCATCCAGGCTGGAGTACAGTGGTGCAGTTATGGCTCACTGCAACCTCAAATTTCCAGGCTCAAGCAATCCTCCCACCTCAACTTCCTCAGTAGCTGGGGCTATAGATGCACCACCACACCTGGCTAATTTTTTGGTTTTTAGTAGAGATGAAGTCTCACTATGTTGCCTAGGCTGGTCTCAAACTCCTGAGCTCAAGCAATCCTCCTGCATCAGCGTCCCAAAGTGCTGGCATTATAGGCATGATTCACTATGCCCAGCAAATGTTTAAGATAGTAGGTGAGACCAATGAGCCAAAACTGATGCTTTGCTCTAGGTTTGGGTTTTTTTTTTAAGTTATTGAATAATGCTTTTCATTAATTTGAGTTAGATAATGAAAGTTTTCTGATATCATTAATATGAAACATGTAATAAAAGAGCATTATATAAAATAGAAGGTTTGGTTAAAAAAAACCGTAATACCTAATACTTATAATCATGTTTGCACATATCAAAAATTAAGAATAATTTATTTAAGTGAGTTGTTATTCACTTACTCCAGCAGTAGATGGATGAGATGGGATGGAAGATACCGTTGTCTGTTGGGTAGCAACTGAAGATGATCGTTGTTGTGGGAGCTCTGTGGTTTTTGCATGTTTGTAAGCTGAAAAAAAGGGGGCAAATTCTTTATAAGAAGAAAAATGGCTAGGTATCCTTTAATCTGTGTTTAGCAGCTGAGTGATGTCTTTTTCCCCCAACTTAGAATGATTTCCAAAAAGAGAAATCAAAGAAAATGAAACATCTAACTTCATGCAGCCCTCCACAATTCTAGTCTTTTCTCATTAAAGGAAAGGATGAAAAATTTTTAAATTTGTTTTTGTACTCAAAGCATCTCTTATAGTAACCATCAATGAGCTGGCCGGGTGGGACTGCCAAAATCAGCGCCAGGCACTTGTACCTGTTGAGACTGCAAAGACACCCCCGTCGCTGTAAGTCGAAAGGTGGTGGTCTGGTGCTTCTGAATGCTCAGACTTCTCCTCACCCCCACTGATGCTTAGTGCACTGGCAGATCGTGACTGCTCCCGGCTCCGGCGCTGAGCTTGGACTGGGAGAGATGCAGTTGGGGGAGATGTAGCAAACATGAAATTTCTATGGTAGTAATGCCTAACAGTGATTGAATCTCAGTTATTGTTATCTTTGCCAAGCATGGTTTTAAGTACTTTCCCATGGGTCAAACCCTCACAGTTATTCTGATGTAGGTTTGTCTTTCTTATTTTTACAGATGAGAGCTTACGTACATGACCAAAGGTCATGGAACAGTTAAGTTGTACAGCCAGGTTTCAAATCCAAGAGTCTATTTGTAACATCTCCCCTCCACCCTGCCAATTTTCCTGGCTCACCAAAATGAATAAATAGTAATATTCACATTCAGACTCCATCTTTAACTTCTCCAGAAAGTCCTCCCTAACTGCAAATCAATTTAGAGTCTTTCTCTGTGTTCCCAAAATACCATGGGCAGACCTTTAAAATTGCACATGTCAGAATGCAACCATGGATTTACTTCTGTGTCTTGATCAGAAAACTGGAGTATAAATCCTTTGAGGACTGTCTCTACATAATATCCTTTTTTTTTTTTTTTGAGATGGGGTCTCTGTTGCTCAGGCTGAAGGGCAGTGGTACAATCACGGCTCACTGCAGCTTCAACTTTCTAGGCTCAAGCTATCCTCCCACTTCAGCCCCCTGAACAGCTGGTACTACAGGTGTACAACACCACTCGCGGCTAATTTTTTTTTACTGTTTGTAGAAAAGGGGTCTCATTCTCTTTTCCAGGCTAGTATTCTGCTTTTTAACATGAAAAGAAGGAATGAAGTTGTGCAGCCTGCTTTGTGTAATGAATAAACTTCCTTGATGCAATAGAGCTCAGGAAGTTCCTACAGGTCAAATCCTTTCTCTTCCCTTTGCCTATGTATTTTATGTATTTTCATTATTTCTCCAATAGAATTACTACTGTTTTTTCTTTGGAAGAAAAATTAGAAATGATAATAATGGGAGACATGCACTGAGGCAGTGAAACAAAATTTTTTCTAACTTGAACTTATCTAGAAAGTAAGTTTTGCTCACTAGTTAACAAGGTATTTTTATGCCAAATGGGCAGCTCAGAAAATGGAAAACTCTGGAGGGAAGGAACTTCAGAGCCCAAATGAAAGTCATTGACTCTAGCATACTAAATGGTGATGTTTATGTTGTAAGCCTTTTTCAGCTAACACACCATTAATCATGTGTAAGCTTCGGGACTGGATGTTGTCTTCTGCTGGATCATAGTCAAAAACCGAACCAGGATTAGTACGCCAGACACGTAAACCTGAAAGGGAAACCAGTGATCAGAACAAGTGTTCTTGGAGTTTTCCAATAACTTGAAAACCAAGGCATGAATTTTAACAACCACCAAAGGATTGAATCACACTTATTCCAGCTTAGGTTCTGGGTCATGTCTTTTCCTCAGAGGAGAACAAAGATAAGGTAGAAATCAGCTTTGTAAACTATGAGATAATAGGAGCTTTCTTGCACCTCTAGAAAAACAGATTGAAGTCCTTTATGTTTTGACTTGATGTAGGTAATGCTACTTTTGTTCTTCTACCCCCTCACTTAAAGTTAATCCCCTCCCCCAACCCAGGCTCAGTTACCTGTAATAGTCTCCTGATCTTGGTCATTCCGTTTTTGTTCCATTTCTACCACTTTCCTCTGAATACCTCGGTAGTTAATGTCACTGAAGTCCTGCATGTTCTTCTTTACTCGTTCAGTGATAGGATCTGTCACCACTGGTGTGAAGCAACCCTTGTGTTTCTCAAAGTCTTCATGATATTTCACCTGAAATGTCATGAATTTGCTTTATGAAAATATGATGGTGTGACTATATCCCTTTTTACACATTCTGACAGGCAGCCAGCCAATCCTAAAGAATTCCTGACTCACCGTTGAGATGTGCCGTTGGGTCTCCCTCACCCGTCTCATCTCGGGGGTATCCAATACATAGGCAGCTTTGCCTTGTATTTGTTTCCGGAAACTATCAGAATAAAGAACCTGATGCAGGAGAGACCGTGAATGAGTGGTGCTGTCCTAAATCTGAAACCTCAAAGCCTTTCCAGCAGATAGAGATGGATAGGAGCTGGTGAGGGACGCTTGGGTCAACTGAAGGGGCCCAGTGAGACACATGACCAATTTTGGAACAGGCTAATCTGGGGACCAGAAGGGCCCGCCAGTGGAAGAGAAAGGACTTGTTTTGACTTCGAAAATGAAACTCATTTTCAAAGAAGGGGCACGGTATAATTTTGAAAAGAGAGTGACCTCTTGAAATTTGCTAGGAATTACAGCATCAACATATTCGATGGTATTTGGCTCTAAATCTGACATTGTAGGGAATTTGAAAGAACTGTCCTTTAAAACAAGTGATTATTTTCCTTAGGTTGTGTCCAGACTTCATAAACCAATATGCTAATATAGAAATCAAAGTCCTCCAGACACTAAAACCCCAAAATATATCCAAAGAAGGCATCCATTTCAGAGTATTACCCATGTCATAAAGTATCTTAAAACTAAAGGAGAGCAGAAGATTGAGGATGTTAGGAAGTAAATTTGTTATAGTTGGTTACGTAGAACTACCTCAAAGTATAGGGGAAGGAAAACATTGGCAATTAACTTGTTATGTTTAGTATGATGGTTTGGAATGTAAAAGCACAGTTAATGTCTATTTTAGTGTAAATTTTCAGTTGAATAAGTGCAAATTTTTATGGTGTTAAAACGTTACTTTCCAAGATGTTGCATTTTTCTCTTTTAAAATTTTAGTGTGTTTTTCAGTTGAATGAGAAAGGCGTGTTTTTATGATGTTAAAATGTTATTTTCCAAGTTGTTGCACTATTTCTTTTTAGTCCTAGAAAATACCGAGCTAATGTTTTCTTGGTTGCGCTTAGCTCTCTCCATCTCTGGAGTAACAGGTGTCGGAGTTGCTTTTCTCATGTTCTCTTTGTACAATACCTAGGGAAGCCAAAAGAGCATCTAGGCATCAGACAGCAGAAAACCAGGTCTGAAAATCATCACTTAGCTGGTGTTATGGCTCATGTTATGGCTCAGTTATATCACACTGAAGGTAAAGCTATTAAAATGTTACGGTAGGAAGCAAAAGTTTAAGAAAGAAGTAAAATCACTGTGACCTCGTGGGGTTGGTTTGTTGTTTTTAAGTGGACAAGGAAGAATTTTTAAAGATACACAAAAGTTTTGGAAAAACTGTAAGATAAATTAGTGGTACAACCATGTTTGCCAGGGCTGTTAAGATTTTAAGGATTTATTTTTCCTTTCTAAAATACCGAGCTAAAGTTTTCTTGATTGCGTTTCACTCTTTCCATCTCAGGAGTAAAGGGTGTGGGGGTTGCTTTCCCCAGGTTCTCTTTGTATAACACCTGTGAGATACAAAGTCATGCCCGAAAGTCACTACGAGGTAATAATCACTATTAATTATATTGCAAGTTGGGGGGAAATGTTATGTTTAATCTATTACTATTAGTGAGAACACCTCTCAAGAAGAAAGCTTAAAAATAGTTAATGGCTACAGTAAATGTAGTGTGATATTTAGAGCAGATGCAAATGTAACTGGCATTTTGTTTGTTTTTAACCTGGGACAGGGTTAGGAGCAGGCCAAACTGCAAGAGTTATTTTGCAAAATTAAAAGCACTTTTGTTTCTCAAGACAATACCGAGCTAATGTTTTCTTGATTGCGTTTGACTCTCTGCATCTCAGGAGTGACAGGGGTTGCGGTGGCTTTCCCCACATTTTCTTTGTACAAAACCTATGGGAATCCAATGGGTCCAAAAAGCCAAAAAGAAAAAGAGTTAACAGTTACCAAAAAAGGAAATGGTACAGATAACTTTTGATTATCTTTAGGGCCCCAAACCATTTGGGCAATTAGGTTAGATGGAAAGTAGTATGTTTCCTAAGGAAGTTAAGTGTAGTTACAGCAAGACACAACCAGGATAGGCACCTGCCCTGAAACCCTTGAGGACTGCAAGAGAGACCTGTGGTGTTCCTCAAAAGGATGAGAAACCACCATCATTTTACCGCTAGTCTCTCAATGTCAAGCCCCTGAGAGATGATCCAAACAGGAGTTACAGGCATGAGCTTCAATCACACTGAGAAGGTTGAGGCTGTTCCTAATACATCAGCTGTTTGTTTTTTTTTGTTTTGTTTTGTTTTGTTTTTGAGACAGAGGAGTCTTGCTCTGTCACCCAGGCTGGAGTGCAATGGCACGATCCCTGCTCACTGCAACCTCCGCCTCCCGGGTTCAAGTGATTCTTCTGCCTCAGCCTCCTGAGTAGCTGGGATTACAGGCGTGCACCACCATGCCCGGCTAATTTTTGTATTTTTTAGTAGAGACGGGGTTTCACTAT
The DNA here is from genome assembly GCF_000001405.40 of Homo sapiens. Taxonomy (NCBI): domain Eukaryota; kingdom Metazoa; phylum Chordata; class Mammalia; order Primates; family Hominidae; genus Homo; species Homo sapiens. The sequence continues at coordinate 151,494,852 of NC_000002.12, forward strand.
GTTGGTCTTGCTGGTCTTGAACTGCTGACCTTGTGATCCGCCCACCTTGGCCTCCCAAAGTGCTGGGATTACAGGCGTGAGCCACCACACCTGGCCCACAGCAGCTGTTTTTTTACTGGACTGTTTTGCAGCACTTAAACTCTCATAGACATATCAGTAAAACTGTAGGCCCTCAGACAAAGCAAAGGGTTTCCCCTACCCTCTTTTTCTTTGCTATCCTCTATGCTCTGCCTCTTGCTTTAGTTTCATACAACATTCAGCTTATCATTAAGGAATAAGGTTTTTGGCTCTTATATCACTATCATGGCGAATCAGTGGAAAATGAGAAACATAGTAACACATCATGATAAATCCTCAACCTCGGTATCTCCCCTCAGTGTCATTCTTGGAAACGTGGGAGATTTAGGAAATGACATTGAAGAGGAAGAATTCTGTTGAAATAGTGATTCTCAACGTGGGGTCCTTGGACAGCAAGGTCAGTAATGAGAACTTGTTAAAAATGCAAATTCTCTGGCCCCCTCTATAACAGACCTACAGAATGAGAAACTAGAGCAGGACCCAGCAATCTGGCTTCACAAACCCTGCACGTTATTCTGATGCGTGCTAATGTTTTAGAAGCACTGTACTCAAGTACTGGAGAAACCTACAGATAGTGGAAATGTGGACACCACAAGGTTGTTTGCTACTGAAAGCTGAAGTCCCCCTGCAAACCTCAATCCCTAGGTAATTTACAACCATATATAATGTCACAGAGCACAAGCTTACGGGAAATGGTTTACTAAAGTTTGCAGTTAAAGACTACAGTAAAACTAAAGAACAACAACAACAACAAACAAAAAACGAAAACTGGTAAAACAAAAAGCCATTCTGGTGACACTTTCATTTTTAAGTAAGTAAATTGATAATCAATAATTGCCAAAACTACTATTGGATCATAATTTATATCATTATTCTTGAAGGAGGGGATCAGGGATTATTTTTCCCAAGGTCTCTTTGTCCAAATCTGACAGGGTAAATTAGAACCTGAAGTCATTGACACAAAAACACAACAAAATCATATTTAAGAAAGAGCCGCATTGGACCTACTCCACCACCCCACACGTACCCGTCCTAAATTTCAAGCATATCTAAAACAAAGAGACCTTGGGGGTAGTGGATAGAGAGTAAGTTTGGAGAGAGAGAAGCAAAAGGATGTTTTATAGGAAAATCTGTTACTTCTTGATATTAGAACTTTATGGATTAAAGCAACCTTGTTATTATGGGGTTAGGCTAGAAGTAGCCCAAAGGAAAAAAGGGTAAATTTGCTAAAGAAATTTCACAAAATTTAAGTTGTCTTTAAAAAGTAGGATTAATATGTATTATTTTAAATCATAAAAGTAGTTTTTAAAATCAGTAAGTAGTTTTTTTCTTTTCTCGCCAAGTACCGAGCTAATATTTTCTTGATTGTGTTTGACTCGCTCCATCTCGGGAGTGACAGCTAAAGGAGTTCCCTTGCCCATGTTTTCTTTGTATAACACCTGTGCGATGAGAAAGCATCCAGAAAAACAACCATGAGTAACATTTCATTTGTTGAGAGGTTTTAAGGGTAAGGTCAACTTCCTTGTTAAGAAAACACAGTCGTCCAAGGAGCCAGAAGTTATATGCTGACAAAATGCCACCAGCTACTTTAGTGGAAGCTGTTGTTGGGATGGGGAATCTGCACCCTCTAGAGAAGCAGGGACCTCAGCTGCTGGGGAAAGGCTGTCAGAGTTATCCATGTTATTTTTTTTCATTTTTGTGAGTACGGTGCCTCCTAAACAATCACATGAGGATTTGAGACTGTTAGAACTCAGTGTTGTTATCCACACAAACGGAAAAACTCATTTTTAAAAAATGATTGAAAATATCAGATGAAATAAAAAATCAAAATTAACTGTATTATGGAAATGGTGTTAGGCTAGAAGTAGCCCAAAGGAAAAAAGGATAAATTTGCTAAAGAAAGAAGTTCACAAAATTTGTCTTTAGAAAATAGGATTAATATGTATTATTTTAAATCATGAAATAGTTTTTAAAATCAGTAAGTAGTTTTTTTCTTTTCTTGCCCAAGTACCGAGCTAATATTTTCTTGATTGTGTTTGACTCTCTCCATCTCAGGAGTGACAGGTAGAGGGGTTCCCTTGCCCATGTTTTCTTTGTATAACACCTGTGCGATAAGAAAGCAACCAGAAAAACAACCATGAGTAACATTTCATTTGTTGAAAGGTTTTAAGGGTAAGGTCAGCTTCCTTGTTAAGACAAAACACAGTTGTCCAAGGAGCCAGAAGTTATATGCTGACAAAATGCCACCGACTACTTTACTTTAGTGGAAGTTGTTGGGATGGGGAATCTGCACCCTCTAGAGAAGCAGGGACCTCAGCTGCTGGGGAAAGGCTGTCAGAGTTATCCATGTTATTTTTTTTTTTCCTTTTTTGTGAGTACCATGCCTCCTAAACAATTATATGAGGATTTGAGACAGTTAGAACTCAGTGGTGTTATCCACACAAACTGAAAAACTCATTATTTTAAAAAAAAGATTGAAAATACCAGATGAAATAAAAAATTGAAATTAACTGTATTATAGAAATGGGAATGGTGTTAGGCTAGAAGTAGCCCAAAGGAAAAAAGGATAAATTTGCTAAAGAAATTCACAAAATTTAAGTTGTCTTTAAAAAGTAGGATTAATACGTATTATTTTAAATCATGAAAGTTTTCAAAATCATTAAATAAGTAGTTTTTTTCTTTTCTTGCCAAAGTACCGAGCTAATATTTTCTTGATTGTGTTTGACTCTTTCCATCTCGGGAGTGACAGGTAAAGGGGTTCCCTTGCCCATGTTTTCTTTGTATAACACCTGTGCGATAAGAAAGCATCCAGAAAAACAACCATGAGTAACATTTCATTTCTTGGGACTTTTTAAGGATGAGGAAAAAACACAGTCATCCAAGGAGCCAGAAGTTATATGCTGACAAAATGCCACCGACTACTTTAGTGGAAGCTGTTGTTGGGATAGGGAATCTGCACCCTCTAGAGAAGCAGGGACTTCAGCTGCTGAGGAAGGGCTGTCAGAGTTATCCATGTTATTTTTTTTCATTTTTGTGAGTACGGTGCCTCCTAAACAATCACATGAGGATTTGAGACTGTTAGAACTCGGTGTTGTTATCCACACAAATGGAAACATTCATTATTTTTAAAACATGTTTGTTTGTAAATATCAGATGAAGTAAAAAATTGACATTAACTGTATTATAGAAATGGGAAAGTATATCCTTTTGTAATATAAGATGTATTAGAAGCAAAGAAGGGAAATGGGCTTCAAACAAAAATAAATAAATGTAAAGATCAGTTTAATTCTGAAGTTAAGTGGCATTTTTTCCCCTTTCTTTCCAAAATACCGAGCTAAGGTTTTCTTGATTGTGTTTGACTCTCTGCATCTCAGGAGTGATGGGGATTGGAATTCCTGTCCCCAGGTTTTCTTTGTATAGCACCTGTATGATGAGAAAGCATCCAGAACAAAAAAAGCAATCAATCAGTCATTTTCCCCCTGCTTTGGAGCAGTTGGGAGTGGGAAGGGAGGAAGAGAGTAAGTTAGAGGAAGAGAAATACCAGAAGCTTTTAGACTCAACCTGTTTGTTTGAGCCTAAAGACATCTTCAAAAGCAAAGGAATGCAGGAAAGAGCAGCAAAAACTAAGAAATAGGAAAAGAAAGGTTGTTATTTTCATTGTTTGAACTAATCTCTGCAGCACTGAGCAACCGTGAAAGAGCAATTAGTCTTTTCCCACCTTGTTACAAGGAGGGAAAAAAGTAGAAACAGACAAGAAACCAAGGAAGTTACTTTTGATTTGAAAATGCTGTTAATCACATAGGGATATTTGGGTTTTACAAACATTGTGTATATGGAGACACATACACACAACTCTTCTTTTGTTCACTTTCAAAAGAAGTCAGAGTATTTAATTTTTAGTTTGGGTGAACACATTGAGAACAACGATGTTTAAGGCAAATGGAGAGCAATGATAAGGTGCTAAAAAAAAGAAACTTCAAAATATCTGTACAAATAACAGTAGAGATAGAAAAGGTTAGAATAAGAAACGAGGATAATAGTCGGATCTTTGCAAAATACATTTGTTTAAGCTTTAGGTTCAGATCAAATTTGCCAAAGCAGTATAAATGTGGATGCTTAGACACTGAGAATGTTACATTTGTAAAAGCAGGAATATAATACTGAACACTTTTTTTATTAAGTTAAATGATTATATTAATGTTTTACCAAAATGGGGAAAACTGATTCATAGGAAATGGCAGCATTAAGTTGGGAAAAAGACAGGTCAAATTTTTTATTGGGATGAGTTGATTAGATTTTTAAAATCTAGCCATTAATCTTTTTAAACATTTTTTTAAATAATTAAAGGGATTTTTTATTTTTAAATACCGAACTAAAGTTTTCTTGATTGTGTTTGACTCTCTCCATCTCTGGAGTGATGGGGATTGGAATCCCTTTTCCAACGTTTTCTTTATACAACACCTGTATGACACAAGAAAGCATCCAGAAAAAACAAGAGCAGTCAAAACAGCCCTTTCATCTACCTTGTGGGGAACCTGGTATAAAACTACAGACGTCAGACAGAAAAGACAGATTCAACAAGTCAACCTCTCTGTTCAGGCACAGATCTGGGTGAGAACATGTTTTGTATTTCCTTAGTGAAATATCAGTGTATTTGATATTCATCATCTTTTTATTGTAACTTGAATATATTTATTTCCTGTGCCAGGAATTAAGGAAAAAAATACAAATAATTTCCTAAGACCACTAAAATACTCAGTGTACAATAGAAAAATTGCTTAAGTTAGATTAGCAAGTATTTATTTTCTCTACAAAAAGCGTTTGTCTTACGGTCTAACAAATATTTAACAGGCCAAATCTATGCAATATGGCAATTTGGTCCTTGTCATTAAGTTCAAGTTGTTGTAGAGATGGTCAAGTATAGAGGTTCAATATGTGGCATTGTCTATTTTCCACAGTATCTAATAGGCTTATGCACCACTGGGCAATTTTGCCTAAATGCAATCTGTGTAAAAATTAACACAAATGGTTACTTTAAAAAAAGTCCAGGATCATTAAGGTTTCAAATAGATACAAATAATAATATACTTACTGTAGTATACAAGAAAATAATTAGAAAATAATTTTGAAAATCGTTGCAAGCCTTTCAATAAAAGGAATAATAATTACAACCCACAGGGAAAACAATGAGTATAACATTCCAAAAGACATATTAACATTGAAAATTTAACAAAATTGAAGGATTGTTAGTGAATAGTAATTAAAAAACAAAACAGAACAAAAAGACAGTGGGACCAAAGAAAGTTACTGATCTAATTATGTCAAAGAATCAAACTTTTAGAATATATTTAAACTGACAATTAAAAATATTTTGGATTAATTCCCACTCCCCAGAAAAAAATCCATCTAAATTTTCCTAATGACATTTGATTCTCCATCACAGGTATAAGTGAACCTAAGGTCTTGATATAGAAGCTTCAGAGTTGTATATAATACACAAATAATTTGTGTGTTAGAGTTTTTCAGCAACAATATTAATAAAAGATAACATTAAATATAAGCTCATGATCTGATTTGTATATTAAAAAAAAATCAGAAGGCCTGGATTTCTATTCATGAAATGGCTTGTTTTGAATAAGTATCAAAATAAGATTTCTTTCTTCCTTTTTTTTTTTTTTTTTTTTGAAACAGGGTCTCACTCCTGTTGCCTAGGCTGGAGTACAGTGGCACAATCACGGCTCACTGCAGCCTTGACTTCCTAGGGTTCAGATGAACCTCCCACCTCAGCCTCCCAAGTAGCTGAGACTACAGGCATGTGCCACCACGCTTGGCTAATTTTTTCTATTTTTAGCAGAGATGGAATTTCACCATGTTGGCTAGGCTGGTCTCGACCTCCTGGGCTCAAGTGATCTGCCTGCCTCGACCTCCCAAAGTGCTGAGGTGACAGGTGTGAGCCACCACGCCTGGCCCCAAATAAGATTTCTTTTGGTTTCAATATGGAGCAATTTTCTTTCTTGGTGCTATTGTTTATCTGAATAGGGTCTATGTTAAGATGATCCCTGTTCCTAAGGAAGAGCCACCATTTCTATATGTGGCTTCAAGTCCAGTATCTTTTCTTGCATCTCTAACCCAGAAACATCAGATAAAAAGAGTTCCAAGTAAATAAGAGCTTTAGTGTTTGGTTTTTCTTTTCTGGAAATCAATTAACTTCAACAGTCCCAACAACATAAAGATGAAAAGAGAAGGAAAGAAAAAGTTTTAAGGGACTATTATAGAAAGTATAAAATGTTTGTTAGAATCAAATGGTGAGTAGGAGATCTGGAAAACAGAAGGATTCAGTTGATGTGATTAAAAAAAGATTTTGTTAAATTGATTATTATAAAGGGATGAACAGTGAGATGTTCTGTTTTGTAGAAATTATTATTTTTTAATATGGAGTTAAAGAGCTTTCTCCCAAATACCGAGCTAAAGTTTTCTTGATTGAGTTTGACTCGCTCCATCTCAGGAGTGACAGGTAGGGGAGTCCCCTTGCTCAAGTTCTCTTTGTACAATATCTGTGTGCACAAAACCAACAAACAAATCAACCTGGACCCATCATTTTTTAGGTAGACTTAACCTAAAAAAACAGCCTAAAAGAAGTATTTTTATTGTTGTTTTTATGATGAAGTACCTCAGTAACTTTTAAAAATAGAGTTAACTATAGATCCCCTTTGGACATTTAGTCACACACAGGATGTCTGTCTCTAAAAGACATCAGTAAAACACAGCTGCCAGGCTGCCGGCAGGAGTGGCTTGACTTATGTAGGCCTTCTCTCAAAGACCAGAGTATCAAATAGCATTCAAACTAATTGAAATTAATATCCATGAGTTGTTGGTAACATTAAATTAGGGAACCAAAGAAAGAGGAGAGAGAGAGACAGGTAGGTTTGGGGGAACAAAATAAAGAATAAATGTTGAAAGCTAAATAATACTAGCTTTCAATGATACTGAAAGTTTTCCAAAGGAAAAATTAATTTATATCTTACATAGCATACAAAAAATAGCCAAGACAAGTAAATTATATTTACTGTGAATTGCTGTGTTGTCTTTGAATGAAAATGTTTAAGAATGACATTCTTTTAAGAAAAGCTGCAAACCAGTGACCTCTAATGAGATTGGAGACTAGTATTGTAAGTGAAGTAACTCAGGAATGGAAAACCAAACATTGTATGTTCTCACTGATATGTGGGAACTAAGCTATGAGGATGCAAAGGCATAAGAATGATACAGTGAACTTTGGGGACTTGCAGGAAAGAGTGGAAGTGAGGCGAGGGAATAAAACACTACAAATATGGTGCAGTGTATACTGCTTGGGTGATGGGTGCACCAAAATCTCACAAGTCACCACTAAAGAACTTAGTAACCAAATACCACCTGTACCTCCCAAACTTATGGAAAAATAAATAAACATCTAAACATAAAAAAAAAAAAACTTAAAAGCTGCAAACATAAAGAATACATTAAACAGCCACAATAAATACAAATAAAATTCTAATTAACATTGTCCTTTTGAAAGGGTGTTAGATTTTACTTTTGACTGTGTTACACCAGTTAGAAACACCTACTGTTATTAAAGGAGGAATGGAGGAAGAAAACAGAGTATTACAGGTTTTTAAAGAAAGTGATAAATATCTATGTTTTAGAGAAAACACAGTTAAAATTTCACACCAGAACTAAATACTAAATTAGATTTGGGTTGAAAACTGAGGTAATATTTGGTATCATTATTTTCATTATATGAATTTAGTAATTTTACATTTGTAAGGTGTTATTATTTTAAATAAAATTAAGGGATTTTTTTTTTTTTGGCCCCCTAAGAAATACCGAGCTAAAGTTCTCTTGATTGCGTTTGACTCTCTCCATCTCTGGAGTGATAGGTGTTGGGATTCCTTTCCCCAAATTTTCTTTGTACAAAACCTGTGAGATACAAGAAAGTACCCAGAGGACATTTAAAACAGGCACAGAGAGTAAGGAAGGAAGGAAATGGGGGAAGGGGTTATATGTGAGGAGGCAGTTTTTTAGTAAGTAATATTTAGTAAGGATAATGTTTTTACTTTTTTCACAGTTTTAATGATGAACTCTACAATGCTAATTCTGGAAATGAAAAAGTACAATGGAAAGCATTAAGTTATATAACGCTGAGGAATCTTGTTAATTCTACTTATAGTATTTCAAATCTAGTCAAGTCACTGAAAATGTTCAAGTATAATCGGAAATGTGAGTCATTTTGTATTAACATAATTTTGGTCAGGTAATAATACACAACACACACAGACACACACAGAATTGCTGTTAAGATGTTACTTTCTTTAAAAAAGATGGGTTATTGTGGTAAATTTTTTATGGGAAATAGTTTCTTATATGATATATTTGTAAATACCGAGCTAAAGTTCTCTTGATTGCGTTTGACTCTCTCAATCTCTGGAGTCACAGTGGTTGGAATGCCTGTTCCCAAGTTTTCTTTGTACATAACCTGTAGAAAATAATTAGAATACCCAGAAAGGTAAAATGACCGTAAATCCTTTAGATAGCAGCCACATGTGGGCTATTTGGGGGAAACTCATAAAAACAATCTAGCTCTCAAATATAACATTCAAGGAACAGGGGGGAAAATTCCATGAATATTTATGTTGTCTTTTCCAAAATAGTAAAAATTTTTACTACTTTGAAAACTGGGCACTAAATTATGCATTTTCTGTAACCACTTAGTGCATGCCTAAAATGCATTAATAAATAAATTTACCAATGAGAAAAATCTAACCATTTTGTTGCATCTAGCTTTGGTGCCTCAAATATAGTAGGCCTGCAGTAGACTTGTACTTAATGAATAGATTGCTTGGTTTAAAATTTTCCAATCATAGGATACTCTATTCCTTCAGGCTTATTGAGAATTTTCTTTTTGTTTTGTATGTTCTAATGAATGTTCCTCGCTGGCTCCTAATCTGTAGGAGCCTAGTCCCTGGATGTGAGATGGCTTAATCAGTTTATTTTTCAGGAAGAGCATCTTTACCTGAAATTTTTACTGCTAATTGCTGGATCAAGTAAACTAGTGTTTTCTGAATTGGGAGAAGTCCATATTTTTTAGTAGTAGTATCTAAGGACTATGCATTTTAATGAAAACATTAAGGAACCTCCACTCTCTGAGCCTCCTTAACTCTTAACATTAAGTTTTCAGCCTAAAGGACTGAATGAGTTCTTTTAAATGGATGGATTCCCTGGTGTATTAGTGCATGGCGTGGGGAGCAACGTACCCAGATTTTAATTCTTAAAATCAGTGACAAGCTAGGCGTGATAGCTTTGTTTTGCAAGGAAGCTTCTAGGAACCTTTGAACATCTACCTTCTTGGTAACAAAGTTGCATTTCTTTACTCTTCACCCAACAAAGCAGCAGAATTGATCTCGGACAACAGCACAAAGCAAAATTAAAGAAAACCAAGAAGTTGTAATGCAAAGTGACAAAGGAGCCTAGGCTAGCTTTCTCAACTCTTATTAGAGGACACAAAACTCTAAATGAAATTTGTACCACAAGGAAATCTGTACCACAGAGTATAAGCAGAGAGTGAGAAGGGAATGAGATCTAAATAATATGAACAACCTGCAAGAGAAATATCAAGTATCCTAAAGAAAATCAAATGAGAGTTCAGTCCTCCATTGACCAGGGGAATCCCAAGACCAAGGTCCTCCCCTTTTATTGGCCATAAACTATTTCCCAAACTTCACATAGTCTTTTGCTAGTAGCCAACACCTGCCTAGAATCTGCGTATGGATGGGAAAAGGGGTGGGTGCAGAGCCAGGGCTTGCTTGACAAAAGGTCAGGAGAAATGTGCTAACCTGATATTTCAGGTGTGGGGGACACGTGCCCTGCAATAAACTGCACAGGTGCCTGAAATTCCCATGACAGAACAGGCTTAATGTATAATATACCATTGTAGGTAGATCGCAGCCTGTACCACTGCATTTACTAGATGGAGAGAGCAAAGAATACAGGAGAAGAAACCTTGAAAGGGAGGGGAGAAGAGACTTCACATGTCTACCCAGGGTCTTTTTGGACACTGGGAATCCTATCATTCATATGATGTGTCATACATACACACACACATGTTTTATATATATACACAAAACCAAAGTATGTTATACTACTTATATGTTTATATGTATATGCTTTTAGTTAAATTACTTGAGATCATCCCAATAACCTTATTACTACCATCAAAACATTTTACTTTGGAAACGAATGGCATGATAATTAATTAAGAAGCCAAGTCCATGAGCTTCAAGTCAGTGACAGGTAGGAAAAGAAAGCCAAATCCCTTCTACTCCTTGATTATGAGAAAAGTGGTTTCTTATCTACTTTTGCAACCTGTAGTGACCCCATCAAGACTAAGGGAGAATTCACAACATCCCCAAGGCATGGAAGCTCTTGATAGGAAGCAGAAAGATGAGAGAGCACCAGGGTAGCAATTGAGAGATGGCCAGTCACACAAATGGAAGCTGAGAGTATGGCCACTACCGAGCTAATGTGCTTCTGCGTCTCCTTCACACGTTTCACTTCAGGCAGGTCAGGGATTGGAGTTCCTTGTCCTATTGCTTCCTTATACTTCACCTGCAGATTTAAAAATGGGAAAAGAAAGGTATTATTACATGCTGGACTGTTATTCTTCCCAACATGTACATGTTTTTTGTAGCCCCCAAATTAAAAAAATTAACAGTGTAAATAACGCAGGCTTTATACTTAGTGTGAATGGGACCTCATTCTGATACTGGGTAAGAGGAGAACAATTCCAAGGACAGGGACGCTTTGTCTCTCTCTCGTCTCTTTGGGGCAGGGATGGGGGCCCCTATTTAGACTGCAGCCCTTTCCTGTATACTCCAATGTCTTTATGCCCAGCAGGTCGTTTGACTAGGATAAACAGATTGACATACATATATCCAGGAAGGTTGGTTCTTTGACTGTACCGGATTCTACCTTCTCACAAGCCTCTCTGTTTTTCAGATCTAATCTCTCCCTCATGAAAACCGCCAAGGCACTGCACTGAATATGAGATGACTCTAGCCACTGTGTGGTGGTGGTACACAGGCACCTATTTTAGCAATATAAGCTGTTTCTGGTGACAGAGGCTTTGAGTGCAACTCATAGGTCATTGTAAATTATCAAAGGGAGGCAGAAAATATTGCAAGTGCATTCACTGTGTCTTTACCGAGCTAATGTGGTCCTGTGTTTGTTTCACTCTCATCATCTCAGGTGTCTTTCCGATAGCCGTTCCTGGTGAGACATCCTCTTTATATAAAACCTGGGCATTCAGAATCAGGACAGTGTTAACACAGAAGAAAAGAAAACCCAGCAGTTCCTGGAGAAAGACTAGGACACATGGCTTTTGTGAAAACAAGACACTAGACGATGTTCCCAGGCAAGTGCCAGAGCATCGCACCTGACATTTCCATGTCAGTATCAGTGACTCAGACCAGTTATACAACATGGATCTTTCCAGATCTTAAGATTTCTTCTAAGATTGTGGTATACCATACTAACACAGGATGAGAAGAGCCAGGAAATGTTGATTAACAACAAAACCCTCCCCATATGTAACACAAAATCCATTAAAGAAATGCAAACTCAGTCAGTTATTTGGGGGAGGGATAACAAAAGAAATCACAATGTCAAAAAGAAATCCATCTTCTTGGAGCAAGACAACACATGTTACTGCCCTGGGATTAAAAAATTTAAAAATAAAAGTTACGTTGTTAGCAGATTTAAAGTTATTTCAAATGGTCTCTGGAGATGATTTTGGAGCAAAGTATTGGGGATTTTAGCAAATCACTGCTAGTATTACTGAGGAGGTTAGATGTTAATTGTGTGTATCAATATAAGGCTAGTATATTTTTAAAGAGGAGAGTGAAATGACTAGGTTAGCATTAAATGCAAAATAAATAGTAAATATACCGAGCTGAAATTCTTCTGATTTTCTTTTACACGCAGTATTTCTGGCGTGTCTTGAACAACTGTAATTTTTCCTTTACTGTTTTTAAGGTCACACTGGTATTGGAGCTATGAAGAAAGAGTAAACATCTTGTTAAGATTTCAACATTGCTTTGTTTTCTTTATTTGTCCTATATTATGTGAAGAAAATTAAAATCCTGTATCTTTAAAAAAAAGTCTATGCACAATAATTATGGTCTGGTAGCCCAAGGGAAATTATTTGATAAGAATTTTGTGGAGAAACTAATTTTAAAAAACATATAAAGCTAGGGGTTTGTTTTTGTTTAAGTATCCCTTGCTTAGTAGATTTAACTTTGAAAAAGATAGATGTCTCCACTAATGGAAAGCAGTGATAGTTCACATTCAGTAAAGGAAGCCACTGACAGGGTTTAGGATACACTACCCCAAAATAATGGCACCTTGGCATTTGAAAAAACAGCAGAAGCAGGAGGGTTTTTCTGGCCTTCTCTGTTTTTTCCTGAAGCAGATAATAATTATCTGACCTTCATTTAAAGCAGGCAATAAGCCTCTCCTTCCAGAAGGGTCCTCCCTAGACCCAGAGGAAAGGAGCCAAAGACACAGAGATACTAGGAGAATCTGAACAAACAGCCATCGCTAAATCCCCTGTTTATTACCATTGGATCATACCCCTCTTTGTCCAATCACACTTCCGCATCTCTATCCATAAAAATACACATATTTCCCTGTTTCTTTGGGTAGTCATTTCTGAAGCTTTTATTGAATAAATTGTGTGTCTCTCTTGTTAATCTGTCTTTTGTTACAGGGGTTTTCGCCATGAACCTTGCCATGGGTGAGGAAAAGATACTATATTTTCTCCCCAATACCACCAACGAAGTAACAGATGAGTCTTTCATGCTGTGATTTGGGATTAAGATACAAGGTGAGCCCAGAGATGAATTGGGCACACATTTCCTGGGGCAGGATGGGAGTTGTGGAGGGCTGCACAACAGCCCCACTGCAAGCCTGGGATATCCAGAGGCATCTTCCTCAGCACCCCTAGGTGCCTGTGGGCTGTGCCTTACATTTAATAAAAACTTACAAGGCTGAAGTTCTTTTGGTTCTCCCGGACTCTCTGTATCTCTGGGGTGTCCAAAACAGTCTCATAATACGACATGGACTTCTCAGCATCTTCCTTGTACTTTTTCTGGGAATAGATTCCAAGAAATAAGGAGGGTAAACACCACAGGGATATAGGCCAATGGGACCTAAAATAGGCTATTTTAGCCCTTCCAGGCTCAGCAGAGGGAAAGTCCTTTGTATTTTCTTAACTGTCCAAGGATGTTAGGGCATCGCAAGGAAGAACCCTCTCAGTCAAAGAAAGAGCACCATACTTTTTCTTTCCAGGAAAGCTAAGCCCAGACATTCAGTAGGACCTATTGTCATGGCAAAGCTGGCAGAGGGGGAACCTTGCTAGCTGGTCCACAGGAGGAAGGTCACAGCCAGCAAGGCCCAGAGAGGGAGATGGGGATGCCTCCAGTGGCAGTAGTCCTCGCTGGGCTGGATGAAGCTATGTAGCCAGACTGTTCAACAGGCAGGCGGAGAGAAGCTGGAGGGTTAAGAGTCAAAGACATGACCTCTAGAAAGCCTTAGCTGGTGACAAGATGTTCACTGAGCCATGAGCAGGTGCGGTCAGGGCTCCCAGCTATAGGACTGAGCCGGCAGTCAGACAGGCAGGCCCAGAGGCATTTCCAGAATATGGCTCTTGATGCTGCAGAAAGCAGCCTGACAGGACTGGCAGCTCTACCAAACAGACACACCTGGAGCACTACTAAGGCCAGCTGACTGGCCAAGGACTGCTCTGAACCAGACATCACTATTCCTTGGGCTCCCCTGTCCTGCCCCAGCCTTTGGCTGGAGAGACGTGTCCATATAGAGGCTGCTCTTCCAGACACCAGTGGGCAGTCAATCTCACCACCAAACTGATGATTGTTTTTATTCTCTGCAGCAGAACACTTTAGAGCCTTATTTTTCTTTCATCATCGCTTGTCACTGTCCTTTCACTTTTCTCTCTAGCTTAACTTAGCTCCAGTTTTTCCCACTCTTCAGGGAAGTTTTAGTTTGTAGGGCTGAGGGCTGAGGAATGAGACTAGCCACTGTTATAATGGGGATAAAACTATTCTGTCTGTCTCTATGTACTTTGTTAATATAGGAATTACATTTATAAGTATTGAAATTTGTAATCTTGCCAGAGACAACAAACAAGCAGTTTCAGCCAATGAGAGATGTAGGCCTAGATTTTGTTCATCTAAATGGAAGCGAATTAAAGCCAGATTTTTCGGAAGAAACGGTAGTTCATCATGAACAAATGTTTTGTTCATGAAAAAGTCACCTGGATGACTCCTTAGCTATGTAGATGTAAGGAAAACAGTTCTCATTGTCCTGGGAAAAGAATAGAAACAATCGTCCTTTTATTTTATTTTTATTGTTTTTCTTTTATTTTTTCCAAGATTAAGCAAAAGCTACCTCAACTGGTTTGCAGAGCTGGTGCTAATCCCTTAGAGGGATAATCACATTTGCACACAGAACTTGGATGTATTCTGGGAGAAAGGGACCTGAACTCCCTGGTGTTCCCAGACCAAATTGAGGGTTGGACTGCTATTTCTCGTGGCCCAATAATGAAATGCAGATGAACTGGGGAGGAAGAGAGGTTTTTTTTTTGTTTGTTTGGTTTTTTGTTTTTTGAGGCGGAGTTTCGCAGTGTCTCCAGGCTAGAGTCCAGTGACGTGATCTTGGCTCACTGCAACCTCTGACTCCCTGGTTCAAGCAATTCTCCTGCCTCAGGCTTCCGAGTAGCTGGGATTACAGGTGTGCACCACCACAACCAGCTAATGATGGGGTTTCACCATGTTGGTCAGGATGGTCTCAATCTCCTGACCTCATGATCCACCCACCTCGGTCTCCCAAAGTCCTGGGATTACAGGCGCGAGCCACTGCGCCCGACCAAGAGTTTTTATTTCTGTAACTGGTTACCGGGAGAAGGCCTGGAAATTATCACCAGGCCAACTCAAAATTACAAAGTTTTTCAGAGCTTACCTTTTAAGCTATATGTCTTTGTGTAAGTGTTCATTCATCTAAAGACATAAGTGATTAACTTCTTTTAATTTATAACTAAGGTCTGAGTTCTGAAGACCTTCCTCTGGAGCCTCAGTAAATTTACTTAATTTAAATGGGTTCAGGTGCTGGGGTGATTACTCGTATGTTGTCTCCTGCTAAATCAGGGAGGTTTGAGGAGTTTCTTCAGACCCCCAATAAACTTGTTTGTGGAGGCCTGGGGAGTTTTTTTTAGACCCACAGTAAAACTTGTTTAATTCTACATGGGTCCTGTTAAGAATTCCTTCATTATTTTGTTATGCTTTAAGGCCCAGGAAAGGCCTAGCCGAAACTTTTGGTGGGCTTTTGTTACATCCCAGCCTTTGTACAGGGACACTGGCTTTTAATATCTAACTTAACCATTCATTTAGTACTCAAACAGTTGTTAGTGAGACCTGGCCTGCCATACTGGCATTAAGTATTCAGTACAGTAGTCCCCACTTATCTGAGGTTTCACTTTCCACGGTTTCAGTTAACTGTAGTCAACCTCGGTCAAAAATAAGAGTACATTACAATAAGATATTCTGAGGGAGAGAGAGAGACCACATTCATGTAACTATATAACTTTTATTACAGTATATTGTTATAATTGTTCTATTTTATTAGTTATTGTTGTTAATCTCTTACTGTGCTAATTTACAAATTAAGCTTTGTCATAGGTGTATATGTATAGGAAAAACCAGTATATATAGGGTTAGGTATTGTCTGTAATTTCAGGCATCCACTAGAGGTCTTGGAACATATCCCCCTCGGATAAGAGGAGACTACTGTATAGTATCCTAAATTTGTGAGTCAGCTTACATTGCTTGTATTAACCCCCAAGTATGAGGTTTAAGAGTTATAAATACAGATTCTCCATTGGAAATCGAGAAGCAAGTTTGTGGAAACACAAGCACCATCTCACCAGTATTTACCATTCAACTGTAAATACTGATCTGAATTGGGGAGGAACTAACTTGCCTGGCTATATTTTAGGCCTTGAGGAACCAGCCAAAGAGAGCCCCAGGAGAGCAGAGCAAGTGACGTGATCCCACACTGGGATAGGTCCACATGCTGAAGCTTTCGTTAAAGATCAGCAGTGTCAAAAGCAGAAGGTAAAAGGCTGGTGAGGCTCTCACAGCCCAAAGAATATCAGCCTCCCTGGCTCCCTCAGTGAACACAACATGGTAATTTGGAGCCCATATCATTTTGGTAGTTTTTAAAAAGCTAATTATTCTTCTGCATCCCTACCCTTCAAAGAAAAGAAACATTTCCACCATTTGAATATACCTGCTTCCTAATCAAACCACTCTCTAGTGATAACTATATTTTTCATGTGTAATTTTACAATATACAACTATATGTTTCCAGTAAAGGGTTGAAATCCTTGATTCCCCAACCTGATTGGTCATTAAGAGATCATCTGTGAAAATTAAAAACAAACAAAAATAGATTTCCAGAGCCTACCACAGATTTACTAGCATCAAAATTCCAGAGTTGGACCAGCGAATCTACATCCCCAGGTGCCTATAAAGCACAGCTAGGGCACGTTAACTATGGCTTTGGAACTCATTGATCAGAAGACAAGCACAAATTCTAATCTGGCACCACTCAAACAAATTGCAGACTCCTGACCATCACTGACAATCGTTCATACAAGTGAAGGCCTATCCCAGGGTGTGAAGGATGGCCTACTTTTCTTCATCTCTCTATTTGTAGGAAGATGATGGAGAGTTATTCATCATGAGGGGAGTCAGGGGTTAGACTGTGTGGTCTCAATCTCAGTCTTGTTTGAGATTGGTAATCCAAATGTGGGCTACTTTGTTTCTTCCAGATCTGCGCACACATTTTTAAAGCCACATCATAAGAGATTTTACATGTTAAAATATTGATTCATTAATTACAAGTTGTACCATGTTCTTCAGTACCTTAAAAGAGTTCTTCACTACCTTAAAATTCCTGCATCATAGGTTACCCTCTCACTCTTTTTTTTTTTTTTTTTTTTTTTTTTTTTGAGACAGAGTCTTGCTGTGCTGCCCAGGCTGGAGTGCAGTGGCGTGATCTCGGCTCACTGCAAGCTCTGCCTCCCGGGTTCACGCCATTCTCCTGCCTCAGCCTCCCAAGTAGCTGGGACTACAGGTGCCTGCCACCACGCCCGGCTAATTTTTGTGTATTTTTTTTAGTAGAGATAGAGTTTCACCGTGTTAGCCAGGATGGTCTGGATCTCCTGACCTTGTGATCCACCCACCTCGGCCTCCCAAAGTGCTGGGAATACAGGCATGAGCCACCATGCCGGGCTTCTCTCTTTTTTTTTTAAGAGTCTCACCCTGTCACCCAGGGGACTGCAGTGGTGCAGTCACAGCTGACTGCAGCCTCAACCGCCTGGGCTCAATTGATCTTCCCACCTCAGCCTTCCTAGAAGCTGGGACTGGCGTGCACCACCACACCTGGCCAATTTTTGTAGGGACAGGGTTTTGCCATATTGTCCAGGCTGATCTCAAACTCGTGGACTTAAATGATCCACTTTCCTTGGCCTCCCAAAGTGCTGGGAATACAGACGTGAGCCACTGCACCTGGTGAATCTCTTTTTTATTGGGAAAAACTGATCTGAAGAATCTCTTAAGGTATTTATTAATGGAAGGACTTCCATTCTTTCATGATTGGGGTTTATGAGTGATGGCATGACGAATGTCCTTACCTGGCTTGAAAGATTCTTGACTTGTTGGGCATGAATGATCTCTGGAGTATCAACCACAGAAGTGAAATTGGCTTTCTCCATTTCTGCTGATTGCTTATACTTAATCTGTAAAACAACACCGAATAGTTGGGTAAATGTTTGCAATGTGCACAACAGTTGTTGGCTTGATTTGATTAAGAGGTGAGCCATATTTCTTTTCCAAGAGGGACTCATTCATTTGACATTCAACAGATATTTCTTCCTATTTTGTTCATAGTTTTATACCAAAGAGTGAGATTCAGTAAGAAAGGTCAAGTCCTAGCTGTTGAGAGAAGATTTAGTTGGATGCAGGATGGGATATGGGTAAGGAGGGATCATCAACAGATAGTAAGGCATGGATTGTTTACATACGAGCTGGGAGGATGACAAATAAGCAAAAGACCCATACCAATGAGCATTAGACAAGCTAAGATGCCTAAAAACTGTTCTAAACTTAGGGCTTGAAAGGAGAGGAAGAACTCCCAAGATATTCTAAGCAAGGAATTCCTGGCATCAAATGAGTGGACTGACTCAGAAATAAGGCCAAGATGTCGAGTTTGCCCCAGCTCCAAACAGCTACTTAATTCCTCAGTTTCTGCCCTTTGCTCTGAATGTCCCCAGAGCCTATAGACTTAGAAAGGTAGACAGCAATGAGCCTGGCAAAGGGTCCTCCATCCTTTCATTGGGATGGCTTCCTCCAGGCAGATGTTCAAGAATGCCATTGTATGCATGTGACTGTCACCAATAAATCAGATGACAGAGGGACACTTTATGTCCTTAAAGTTACAACTACTTTCCTGAAAGATTGACATCGAATAGTAGCACTGACCTGACTGGCAATATCAGTAGCATTCCTGGCCCTCATAAAATCCGGAGTTTCATTGGCCATGGCATTCAGGCCTCTTCCTTTGACTTCCAGTTCCAGGTCTCGCTTATATTCTTTCTATAGTAGCATTAAAAGAAAAAAAAAAGGTACCTAAATGCTACTACTAGGTAATAAACATACAGGGTGAATGTAAATCCACATAACACGCCACCCCAGTTGTCACAGATAGTGTCGCTTGCTACTCTTCACCTTCGCTCTTCCGTGTGGTAGGATGAAGTGGTGTCTTCAGAAGCCCTCTGGAGGAAACTATTCTATGCAAGTCAGTATGGGTCAACAGAGGTCTCCTTTTGAATACTTTTAGCATTCTCTGCTTAGAAGATTAGAGTATAAAGTAAATTGTACATCTAGTTTGGTACATAACTAAGATTACACTTAGGTGCACACCACTCCAGTGTAGTGTTTTCGTGTAGATGAGCACACCAAATATATCAAGTTAAATCAAATAATATTAGATAATAGATTATGATAACCACTACAGAAACACACTGTTACAATATCCATTCATCAGAAATTGAGGTATATTTTATGTAATGGTTAACAATTATGTTGATATGGAATCTGAAAATGAAAAGCTCTGTTTTTCTCTGTTCTCTGTTTTTGTTTTGCTTTTTCTGGTGTAATTTGGCTAACAAAGAAATGATGCTGTATGAATTACGTGCAGGCAGTCAGCTGTGGGCCTACCTCATTGAGGATTTGAGTGGCATTCTTTGCTCTTAGCATGTCAGGTGTATCTTCCATTTCAGTGAGGCCCTTCCCACGGATGCTTTCCTCTAGATCTTTCCTGTACTCTTTCTATATCATGAAAGAAAAGCAACAACATTGACAAGAAAGCCCAGATTGATTCTCTCAGGCAAAGAAGAAAATAAAAAACAATTCCAATTTTTAAAGGGTTCACAGTTTAGTAAGTAAAAATATGAATACAGGCAGGGTATAAGCATGATCAGTTAACATTAAATATCAAATGAAAGCTTGAAGTTAATAGAATGCTAAGGTAATATTCAAATAAAAAATTAGAAGAATTAACATGGGTAATAGATTAGGTGGTAGTACCAAGCACATGAGAACCCAATTTGAAACCCACAGTTAGGTGGTGATGTAAATGGTAGGAGGAACACATTAATGAGTGTCACTAGTGCAATTATTTGGATTAAGAGGGAAAGAAAAGACCAAGTGGGCACTACCTCGCTTGCTATTTTAGTTGCATATTTGACATGTAACAAAGCTGGCGTGACCTCCAGGCCAGTCAGGTTTCTGCCTTTAATGGACTCTTCATAATCTTTCCTATATTCTTTCTAATGTAAGTAGGAAGGAAAGACAAGTTAAAAAAAAATCTTTATTACAATATATCTCTCCATCTCAGGAAGAAAAAAAAAACAGCATTTTCTATGTATGGGCTCTTAATCATAGTTCTGCTAATGGTCACACATTTGAAACATGTATGATTGTACTTGAAATACTTTGTCTGGAGCAAATGGCCACAAGGAAATTCAGGCTGAGACACTTTGATGGGCCCCTCACTCATCAGTCTAATGTTGTGACTGGGGCAGGCCCTTCACAGAGTGGAAGGATGGATGCACCATCAGGACTCTGAATCCTCTGTTGTCTCTTCTGAACTTTCCCACACCTTTCTTAAGGTGACAAAAGACTTTATTTCAGAATTACAAGTCAGTGAGGCAAGGGGAAAAAAATCGCAGTGGAAGGAGAGCCTAAGGCTACCAAATGCTAACTTGCTTTTTTTCCTAATCATGACCTGTTTTTTTAATATGGGGTCTTGCTATGATGCCCAGGCTGGTCTCAAACTCCTGAGCTGAAGTGAGCCTCCTGCCTCAGCCTGCTGAGTAGCTGGGACTACAGGTGTATGCCACCACACTGAGTTTTGACCTGTTTTTTAAAAATCACTGAATAGCTTAGGTGGGCAGTGAGGCACAGAGGAATTGTATGGTTTTGTCCACTCTGCCTCCCTGCCCCATCTCCTCTCCAGTCTCCAGACTTAGCTGACTCACAGAGGGGCTTGGAATAGATGTTGGAACTCTACTTTTGTAATTTTGTTATTTTAATAGAATTTTAAATTTACAGGAAAGTCACAAGAACAGTATAAGAAACTCCTATAGATCCTTTACTCAGATTGACCAATTGTTTGAAGCCATTTTAAAGTTTTGATGACCTGACATTCTATCACCAGAAAGCTCCACAAACTGCTGCTTTTATTTAAAACAATTTTTCTTTATAGTTGGAGGAAGAGAGGCAAATGGAAATTCCAAATAAGCCCATTTCCCACTGAAGACAGACTAAGATTTAAAATAAGATTCCATTCTCTACTCTTGGTTAAAAATGACCAAAAGAAAATTTAGTGCTTCTGCTTACAATTCTAAAATAACGAATATGGCATCTTCACTTTTGATTATCTGGGGTCTTGATAAACATCTTGATCACAAATACCCTTTTGTTTGGCTTGGGGCATTCTACTAAGAGTAGAGCATTTCAAAGCCAAAGGGGTGTCTGTGTGGAGGGAACTTTTCATTCATAAAGGAAAATCCAAATTACATTCAGTATAATTTGTGTTGGGAATAGTTTTCCATGTTCTAATTTTACAGAAATGGCTGTTGAAATAAGACATATGGTAAATATTTACTACCTAGAGCATTTTTAAAAAATAACTGAACCATAGGATTTCTGAGATGGAGAAGATTTTAGTGATCACATGATAAAAAGTTTCATCAGCTACCACTTTTGGATGACAGGAAACTGGCCATGTCATGGGCAGAGCTTGTGTTCAGTAGTGTGATGGATCATTGTTGTGTGGTGTGGTTTTTTTGACTTACCCCACTCTGCATCTGCTGAGACTCTTTGGCAGTGATGTACGTTGGTGTTTCAAAGTCCAGCATGGGTTTTCCTCGTTCCTTTTCATACTTTTCTTTGTATTTCACCTGGTGATAGAAAGCCATGTTAGATATCTCTCCTCTGGTCAATTCCTAGACAGCAGTTTAAGGATAGTATTTTTTAATTGATATGTTCTGTCAATTGGATGGCATCTCATTGCCACTCAAAACAGTTTCCTGTTATGTTTCAGATCCAGTACATTTTTGTTGTTGTCTAGGTGTTGAGGGGATGGGTACCATTACTGTCTGCAAGGCATAATTAGGATTTGGATTCAATTCAAGGACACAAAAGAATCATTGACAAGAGCCAGCTGAGAGAAATGCTGATGCAAGAAAACGCATGGGGAAAATTACCCAGGTAGATGAGGTTGGTCAATAATTGATGGGTAGCTGTAAACACTTTAAAATTATTAATGCTATTAGCATTAATCAATATTTCTGATAAAAATCCTTAGTTTTTCTTTCACAAGAACTTTTATCAGAGACCTGGGGTCTAGATTGAATGGATAACACATGGAGCTTTATTTATAAGTAAACAACTCTATGTGGGTCCTGACTGGCCATATATTTAATGCAGCCAATAAATTGGTATAAAAATGAAAACTAGTTTACATATTGACTGACTTGTTAAAAAACCTGACAGTCTCAAAAGATCCTCAAGCCTGTTGTATAAATAAAATTTTCTCATCCTCATAACATGTGGTTAAGAATCAGGGGAGCCACATAAATGTATGTGACAGAGAACTTCTGGAAAAACAGGCGAAGACCCTCATGCACGCAGCACCTTGATGGCACTGCTCAATCTCCGAGCTCTTGGGTTGTAACAAGATGTTGGAATAAAGGCCTGGGGGCACATACTGCCCTACAGAAGACACGAGGACGTTTCTAATAGTTAGTCCTCATGGTTAATGCCCAACAGGGGACCTAAATAATGCTGAATTTGTGATATAGGAGGTCATGTGATAGTAAGTTCTTTCCTCTGAGAATCTTCAATTATAGTCATGAATTGCTTAACAACTGGGATATGTTATGAGAAAGGCTTTGTTATGCAATTTCATCATTGTGTGAACATCACAGAGTACACTTACACAAACCTAGATGGTATAGCCTACTACACACCTAGGCTATATGGTATGGCCTGTTGCTCCTAGGCTAGAAACCTGTACAGCATATTATTTTACTGAAATCTGTAGGCACTTGTAACACAAGAGTATTTGTGTATCTTGATACCTCTAAGCATAGAAAAGGTACAGTAAAAATATGGTATTAAAGGTTTTAAAATGGTACACCTGCATAGGGTAGCTCCATTATAATCTTATGGGACCACTGTCATACAGGTGGTCTGCTGTTGACCAAAAACATCATGCGGTATATGACTGTATCTTAAAAATTTAGTAATTTTGTAAATTCCCAGAACTGCTTTCAGTAGTAGACCTGATCGTATCACTTCTCTGTTTGAAATCTTCCTGACTCCCTATAATCTACTGTAGTGTTCCCTAACCTGGGGCACAAACCCATGGGGCACATTGGAGTTACCATGAGGGGTTTGTCCCCTCATAAAACACACTCTTTATGCTTCCAGCCCCTGCCAGTAGCACATAATTGCATGTATATTTCTCAACTATATGTAGATGTTGTTGTAATTTATAACATAAGAATTTGTTTCAAAAAGTTACCAGATTCAAAACCCCTTATATCTTTGTGCATTTTCTCAAACAATGGAGGGAATCTATGAAATTTTTTTTCACATTGTACTGTGGATGAATGTGCGCCAGAGGAAAAATCGGTCTTGATCCACTTACTATACTCTGTAATTCTGTGGCCTCTTTTAGGTGAAGCTGCTCCAGATTATCGGGTATGGTGTGGTAGTGGCCTTTACTCTTCTCATACTTCTTCTTGTACTGGTACTGAGGGGAAGGCGGCAAAAAAGGCACATTGATGGAGAAGCTGCTCAGCATTCCTATTTTTCCTCTTTAGATTAGACGTTTACACAGCACCATTGTCAAGATCAAACTAAAAATGGCAAACACTAAACAGGAGGTTAAGAAAAAGTTTTAAAAATGAGGATCCAAGTTCAGTATTGTCCGTTAAGATGTAAACACTTAGGTTATGTGGCTTGTTCAAAGTAGGTGTTATAAGTAAAAAGTTAAAAGTGAAAGAAACTATTCCAGAGGGTATTTCTATGTCCTTAGAGAAAAGGGAATGGTTAATTGGAGGGCAAAGTTTAAATATTTTTTAAAAAGAAGCATTTTTACATTCTGAGAGGTGTTACAGACAATGGAGAATTGGTAGATTAATGTTGTCATTTGGAAGAATACACTCAAATGAGAACAGTTTTGTAATAAATCTAGGGTATCAGTAGCAGAGAAGAAGATGCATCTGGGCTCAGAAAGAATTTAGTTCCAAATGGGTAAAACAAGCTGTTTCTGGAGCAAATGACTGAGCTTACAGAACTGGCAAGTTGGCTTGTATTCAGGACATGATTCATGATCAGAGACTCCTTCATGTCAGTCACGGGTTTGTGAAGTTTCTTCAGGTCAGCCTTGTATTTAACCTGTGTGTTATGGGGGAAGAAAGGAAATCACGTAAATAGGAAATGGAACAGCACTAATGGAAATCAAAGTGAGATAGCCCATCGTCAAACAAATGCTGGAGATGGTGATGAAAAATCATACCTCATTCATAGTAGCCAGAAGGCAGAAACAACCCAAGTGTCTGTCAGCAGATGAATGGATAAACAAAATGTGGCATATACATACAATGGAATATTATTTAGCCATAAAAGGAATGAAGTTCTGATATATCCTACAACATGGATGGACCTTGAACATATTATGCTAAGTAAAATAAGCCAGACACCAAAGGACAGATACTGTTTGATTCCATTTATATGCACTCTCTAAAACAGGCAAATGCATAGAGACAAAAAGTAGATAAGAGGTTCCCAGGAGCTGACGGGAGGAGGGAATGGAGAGTTTTTGCTTAATGGTTATAGTTTCTGTTGGTATGAAAACATTTTGGAAATAGTGACAGTAGTTGGATAATATTGTGAGTGTTATAAATGCTACTGAATTGCACACTTAAAAACAGTTAAAATGGCAAATACCATGTTATATATTTTACCACAATTTTAGAAACATACCTCACTTGCAAGATTATTAGCATCTTTCATGACTTTGTAGAGCTGGCTGTCTTTTGGATTGTATTTTGGTGTCTTGCCCTTTTCTTTATCGAAATTTTCTCGGTATTTAACCTAACAGCAAATGCAAACATCCAAATTATTCCTGGACATCAATCAATTTGGGAATTGGGGAATAGTAGAAACACAAATGCCAAAGAATATGCATTGTACATAGAGTGATCATATAATCTATTATCCAAACTGGGACATTTAGAGTAAAGAAGACACTATTAATAATTAAGAATGACAAGACAACAGGCATTCAAATATATGATCACTGGCCTTGCTCATTTTTATATTATTCCAAGGTATAAAAAGTAATCACCTCTTTCTAATGCAAAACAAAAAAAAAAAAAAATGGAAAAGGCTTCAGGCTAAATTCAGAGATGTGATTTAATGTACTTGATTTGGAGCATTTTAGCACTCCTAACTAGCAAAACCAACAGCAATTTAAGTCTGTGAAATCCAAAGAAGGGCTGTAAATGATCAAGAAGGTTGAAAAATAAAGAATCTGTTAAATTAGGAGAATTTATTGTTATTTTAAAATAGTACTTTGGCTATATCATTTAAAAATTATTAAACTTGGCCAAAAATGGTATAACTCCTGAGTAAACAAATATGAGAGTTTGGGGGTTAATGGCTTCAAGTGTGATTTCAGACTAGAAGTAGGAAAAAAGTGAGATACTTCAGAATAATGAGAAAAAATAAGATTAAATATACTTTTAGTATACATAAAAATAAGTTTAGGTAGGCAGAGGGCTAAATAACTCCAATTTAAAAAATAAGCACAATGCCTTGCACTAATAGTTGCTCAATAAATGTGATTTGATTGAATGGAAGGAAGAGACAGTCATTATGTCTAGGTAAAATATCTAAAGAGGATGATAGCCAGGTGTGGTGGCTCATGCCTGTAATCTCAGCACTTTAGGAGGCCAAGGTGGGTGAATTACTTGAGCCCAGGAGTTTGAGACCAGCCTGGGCACGTGCTGAAACCCCATCTCCACTAAAAATACAAAAATTAACTGGGCATTGTGGTGCACCCCTGTAGTCTCAGCTACTCAGGAGGCTGAAGTGGGAGGATCACTTGAGCCCGGGAGGTGGAGGCTGCAGTGAGTCAGGATCGCACCACTGCACTCCATCGTGGGCAACAGAGCAAGACCCTGTCTCACAAAATAAATAAGAGGATTTATTTATAGGAGAATTCAACAGAATGGAAAGTGACAGAAACATCTCCTAATTGAAAAACAAACTGATGCTTTTGTCAACAGTATTGCAGAATTAAGGCCAGAAGTAGAATTCTACTAGTTATTCACTCTAGGAGGAATGAAAACTGAGCTGTTTCTAGATGTTAGCCAACCAAAAGGGCAATATTTAACCCTCAGGGAATCCTAGAGTTTCTGTTATTGTTAAGATGAAAGACTCACTAACACCAGTACCCCTCATGGTTCATCACTGCTCTTCACCTCCCCCAACTTGACACATCCAGCACAACAGACACAAAATAACAATGAAATCTGCCACATCAGAGAAAATGCATTCACAATGCTGAGACTCCTTTACTTTGAATAAATCCTCAGTGGAAATGCAGAGAAAAAATAAGCATGCAGAACAGTTCAGCATGATGCAGGCACACTGAGACACACAAAGTAAAGGAAAAAGAAACGTAAACAAATGCTACAATGGCTCTTCTCTGAAAAAGTTTCACTCTCAACATAAAGAAGTGGAAGGCCTGCTAAGGAAGGTCTGAGGTGTGAGCTGGTGTCTGGACCAAAGGCAACTTTTCCTAAGAGATATAGAAGTCCATAAAACTAGGAGATGTTCCCAAGAGTTGTGAAACACAGAAAAGCAAACCAGATATGCAGAGTCAGAGTAGGGAAGAAAAGAAGCAAAAGCCCATCTCAAATGAGAATAAAATCTGCTTTTTTTAGAAGCATACTAAAAGTCCTCCTTCTGTCTTTTAGAAGATACTTGTTTCTGAAGAGGTATTTTTCAAGCAGCAATCCCATTGATTCCACTTCAGTTTCTTTTTCTTCTGTTAATTTCAAGTTAACTTCAACCTTTTTAACTGAAAAAAAGTTATGGCTCCCTTCTCCATAGGAAGTCCTCTAAACAAATGCAGCTTTTTACAACTACTAATATGAATCTGAGTTCAGCACTTTTGGCCTTCCTTTTTGACTGGATCTTCTTAAAACTAGTATAGTTTGAAAGGTAAGGACATGTACCAGGTTTAGGACTCTAGGAATTCTTGGAATGGTGTTTGACTAGGGAGTAATGTAGTAAAACTACATACACTTGGCATTAGGGAATGGTGAAGCTTTTTCCCATTAACCATGGGAGCTAAGAGGCAACTCTGCAATGCCATGTCTCGGCAAGTGGCAGCCCCCGGGGTTTATAATCCCATCAGGCTCAGAAATTGGGCCTATTATGGATGTAGTATAGGAAAGTGATTTTGCATTAATTATATTTTTAGGAGTTTAATTGTATTTGAAGTTTAAGATCTAATTTTTTAGCTCCTTTTTATTGAATTGAGATGTATACTGGTGCTTCTAAAGACTGAAGAACAGTCCCGAGAATTAGAAAAGCTATTAAAAGTTTATACTGTTGATTCATAGAAGGCCTGAACTGAGAAACTATATTAAATACCAATCTTCAGTATATTAAAAATCAAAAATGGCAGATAACTTCAGAAGAGGCAGAGGTTTCTTTGGTTGAAGATGAGATTCTCAGTTTGTTTTCATTTCATCATTTAACTTGATCAGTGTCAGCAACCTAACATACACATACATTAGGAGTCCATCTCTGAGTCTAGTCTACCTTCCTATTCCAAGTGGTATGTTCCAGATGGAAAGTTTCATGCAGGAAAAGAAGGGTGTATGCAAAAGTATATCCTTCAACAAATTTCCACAGCAATCTACACGTTCCAACACAAAAATCAACAGAAAAGAATGCAACCTGGTCAGTCTCCTGACCAATGCCAAGAAAGTAGACAAGAATCAGAGGAAGACAGAAATAATGGCTTGCTGGTCTCAGTCTTTCTTACATCACTGATGTGTACATTAATTTTCTTAAGATGCCTCATCATAGGGGTGTCATAAGATGCAGCGCCGTGCCCTCTCCTTTGGCCTTTGAGGTATTCCGCCTAGAGTACGCAGCAAGACAGCAAAGTCAGAACAGGGAAAGCCCACACACAGCTGAAGCGCCCTTGGGCCCAGGGCCACACCATGAAGCTGTCAATCCGGAGACCAGCCTTTCACAGGAAGTAAATGGGACCCATAGGGTCCCATTCTCCATACCATAGGATTCACTTAGTACTAGAAATAGGAGCCTCTTGATTTTCAAAAACAATAAAGTTTTCAAAATTTCAACATCATAGTCGTTTGTTTTTAAATTATAATGATATGACCTTGTACATTTAAAAACATTAACTTTTTGCATTAATAAGTTCTTGTTACATCTCATTACTCTTAGAGATTCCACTGTTTTTTTGTTGGTGGTGGTGATCCCATATCTTAGTTTCAAATACTTATACAATTCCATTAATTTATAATAAAATATGTTACATAGGAATTTTAAGTTTAAAAACTTTTAAAAAATAATATTTGCTTTTCATCAGTCATCTGACCCTCTTGTGTTTTCATAATTCTAACTTGTTCTGTCACTTGACATTACTGCATTATATCTTCCAAAAGATTGGAATCCCATGTTTGCTATTGCTGAAAGTCAGTCACTCACGACAACCAAATGTATATCCCAAACCTATTTCTTCAAACAGATACCTGAGAGGACAAGGAAAAAGAAGGTAGGATCTGTAAATTGGAGGAGAAATGAGATATTCTTAAGCTAAAGTCCTATAGGATCAAACTTGCACTCTGATAGGTCTGGTGGTAGATGATGGGATCTCTGAGCTAAAGTCTGAAAACCTGTCATAACTTGGGGAATTTTAGATAATTGGCCTAACAAGGGAAAATAAGTCATGTGGTAACTGGGTTTGGGCAACACATTTCTGAGTCCATTTGCTTCTCAATAATATGAGATCTGCAAGAATGTGGCATTCTCCATCAGCACCCTGTGCATACCCTGATCAAACACTTGCCAAACAAAATTTTAATGATTTATCCATGGACAAGTAATCTGAAGACATCTGCTCATCCCTACTTCCTAGCCCGGGCAGTTAATATATGTATGTTTAA
The DNA here is from genome assembly GCF_000001405.40 of Homo sapiens. Classification (NCBI taxonomy): domain Eukaryota; kingdom Metazoa; phylum Chordata; class Mammalia; order Primates; family Hominidae; genus Homo; species Homo sapiens. The sequence goes on from NC_000002.12 coordinate 151,523,887, forward strand.
TGAAAAAAAAATGAATATTTTCATCTGGTTGGATTCTAGAAGTTAGAATTTCATTGCTCTTCATGTTAAATCTATCCCAGGTGACTCAAGTATGAATCAGACCCCGAGGATGAAACTCTTAAGGCCTGGGGAGAGGTTCCAGTAGGATCTCATGAACTGATGTTTTTGTCACATAAAGATAGTTAAGCACACAGACACCCAGACAAATGCCCATAAATGGTAAAGTGGAGAACAAGAAAGGTCTAGACAGCTTAGAGGGAAACGAGAAAAGGCCCTCAGTGCACTTTTTATAACTCTTGGAAGCTTTGCAGTACTATTACAGACCCAGCATCCCTTTGCATTTTCAATCTGGAAATCACTTCTTCCTGCAAGGTCTTTTATAATCTCCTCACATGAGAGCCACCAGTGCACCCATCTGCATTACCTGGCTGCTCAGCTTGGCTGCCTTCTTGGCCATTTCTATGTCTGGGCGACCGAGCATGCTTAAGCCATGGCTGCCTTCCTTGCGGTGCTTGGCTCTGTACTCCACCTGAATCAGAGAAAACCAAAATGGGCAACAGGTGATGGTTGCCTGGCATGCCTTGGCAATGGCTGTTGGGGACTGGGGACATTTTCATGACACCCTTACCTCACTGGCCTGTTTGGCTGCCTGTGTGGCCTTCTTGATGTCTGGTCGATCAGCCACTGTGGTGTAATGCAGGTTCTCTTTGGCATCTTTTCTGTAAGCGACCTTTATTGGGGAAGAAAATGTTTACTCAAGAGAGAGGCTTTTTTTTTTTTTTTTTTTTTTTTTTTTTTGAGATGGAATCTCACTCTGTTGCCCAGGCTTGAGTGCAGTGGTACAATCTCAGCTCACTGCAACTTCTGTCTCCCGGATTCAAGTGATTCTTCTGCCTCAGCCTCCCGAGTAGCTGGGGACTGCAGGTGTGCACCACCATGCCCGGCTGATTTTTGTGTTTTTAGTAGAGACAGGGTTTCACCATATTGGCCAGGCTGGTCTCGAACTCCTGACCTCGTGATCTGCCTGTCTTGGGCTCCCAAAGTGCTGGGATTATAGGCATGAGCCACCACGCCCAGCCGAGATATGCTATCTTTCTAAAAGTCCCCATTAAGCACAATCAGCTTTTTTCCTTAAACCCAAACCAATTCTCGCCACTAACTTTTTGAAACTACCACAGAGGAATTAGAGTGACCACACACTGGAACAAGAGAATGCACCAATCTGGGTTCCACTGCTTCAAATGGGCCCCCAAGAGTGTTGAGAGGGAAAACTTACATCACTTTGCTTCTTGGCCACTTCCATAGCATGTTTCACCTCTGGTGGCTCCAGCATGATGGAGTAGTTGGATTTTCCTTTCTCCTTGACAAACTTCTTTTTGTAATTTGTCTAAATAGAGCCAGAATTACTTTTATGAGTAGAGGAAGCTGGGAACAGAGTTGGTTTACTTGAAGAACTGTGAAATCTCCAGGAAAATCCATGCTCCCCATTTTGGCGTCAGTCTGGGACTTAGATAAGACCCATATTCTAGTTCTTCTCTGTCATTTGTGTCCTGCAACCCAACACTAGAACCACCTGGCAATCTTCGGAGAACCTGGGTAGAGGCAAATTAAGCTCTTTTATTTACTATTTCTACCTTTTAAAAATATATGGAACCATATGGGACTCATATAATACCAAGGTTACTACAGCATTATTGATAAGGATAGAGCAGGCAGAGATTACTGAGGCCCAAAGAGGTAGTTTTACCTTTCTAAAATTGGGTAGCAGTTTAATAATAGGAGAGGCCACTCCTAATCAACAATGTTTCCTTCTGTTATTAATAGGTTAGTAATATCTGATATGGCTAGATTACATGTCCTGTAGCAAAACCCACATTTGCCATAATTGCCAGAATTGGAAAGCCAATAAATACTGGGTCATTTTAAAAGTCAGAGTTTAAGATTCACATGTAGATATTGATGGTAAGAGTGAAGCTACATAAAGGAAGCAAAAGGCAACTGACATTATTTCACCAGATTCTACAGTCAAGTGGCATTGTTGCTGCCAAGAGACCGGTGGTTGATCACTTACATCACTGACATGCTTGGTCACTTCCTTGACGTGAACAGTGTCCCGGGTCTCTGGTAGTGTTGTGTATGAGCCCTGTGCCAAGTGCTTCTTGACATGGTCCTTGTACTTGTTCTGGGGGAATCCATAGAGAGCTCATTAAGGCATCTGCCTGGGGCGTTCTCCCAAGAGGGAAGCAGAACTCATGGGCGGCTGGGGGTTACCTCAGACACCAGGTTGCTGACAGTCTTCGCCAGCAGGATCTGAGGCGTGTCAGGTACGGCATGGCAGGTTCCTCTTTCCTTGACATGTTTCTCTTTGTATTTCAGCTTCAGGGGCAGGAAAAGGGGCATTTCTTTAGCTCTGCTGGATATCCTACATATTTTTATTACACCCTCAAACCAGTAGAACAGCAGCGTTGACAATACTAAACTCAATAAAAGATGTGATACTTGCAAATTTTGGGAAATATTCAAAAGGGTTTTTTCCTTATCTCTAGCAAGTTGTGGTTTTAATAACAATCAAAATGGATCTCGTGATGAATCTTTATATAGTCACACTTACGTTCACAGCACGCTCAGATATGCCATTTGTCCCTCCCATAAGCCCTCCATGAGCCCATTATTATTCCGTCTTTACAGAGGAGGAAACTGTAGTGAAGGGAAAGTATGATCCCATAGAAAACAAATCATGGCGTTTCCATAAAGAGTCCAGCCAGGCCTTCAGGGTCCTAATTCCTGCTGTGTGAACTCTCTGCTGGTGCAGTATAAATCGAGGACTGTCACCTGGATCTAATGGCCCTTGCACTGCTGCTGCCCTGCTTGACTGCTGGCGCCCCTCACAGGACAGGCCATAATTCAGGACCCATACCTGAGCCCTGATGGAAGCAGCTCTTCTCCATCCTTCCCTGGTGTCCCTGGGGACTGTACCATGGAAGATGGCCCTGAGTGAGGTTAGGCATCATGGAAGGAACTAGGTACTTACATCACTTTCTATTAAAGTATTCCTGAGGGCGAGCACCGTGTTTTTGTCATCAGTGACAGAAAGCTTGCAACCCTTGAGGAACTCCCGGTCCAGCTTATATTCAAACTGTGATAGAAGAAAGGCAGAAGAAAAGGGAAGGGTGACAGCACAGGAGGAAGCTGGGCATTTGATTAAACACACAGGGAGTCCTCTTAAGGAGAGGACAAAGACTTGCTACCAGAATGAGGAGAAGAGCTTCTTGGTCCCTCACTGCATTTTGGACTCCTCCTTTTCAGCCTAGCTGCCAGGACCAAGCCCCTCCATCCCCAGTCTTCCCCCAGACTCTCCCCAGCCTCAGTCAGAACTCAGTCATTTGTGTCCAGGCCCAGCCAAAGGAGAATAGGCTCCATGGGCAGGTTTGGGTTCTGAGCTCGCCTATCGCTCCCCCAACCATCCTCCTCTCCTTCTCGGATCTCAAACGAGCAAGGGTTAACACTCATGATAGTGGTTATTATAAATAATTATTCATTGTATTTCTCAGGTGCAGTATGCAGTTACAATCGTCTGTGTCTCTCCTGTCTTACATCGCTTTGCTGCAGGGATGACTTGGCAGCCTGGAGGAAGTCCGGTCGGTCAGGAGTCCACTTCCAGTGGGCTTTGTTGGCTTCGTACTGTTTCTTATAGTCCAGCTGTTTTTAACAGGAGAGAAAGGAATCACTTGATTCAGTAGGCTAAATTCATAAACACACACATGGCACAGAGGGGCTCTTGCATTTCAAAACATCTCAAATCATGATTCCTAATGCAAGAGGAAGCCCCAATTGAAATTTCTGTACAATTTATGCAGCTAGTCATCCACTCAGAGGTCATCTGTTGGGACCCTGTGGTCCCGAAATAGAGGCTAAAATTTTTAAAGGCCTCCGGGTGAAATGATTCTTCAATCTCTCTAGTTCTGCCAGTCCAGCCTAATCATCTTCAGAATCGAGTACTTTTAATTTCAAACTAAATTCGGGTTTAATTTTTACCAAAAATGATCAAACACTAGGTATTTATTTTCTGCCAGGCACTTTTCTAAGTTCTTTACAAATTACAAAACTAATTAAATGAATTATAAAATTTTATAAAATTAATTCACCTAATCTTCATAACAACTGCATGAAATAGACAGCTGAAGAACTGGATAGAAAGGTTAAGTAAACTTCCCAAGGTGAGACTTAGCAATTGGTGGAGCTGGAATTTAAACCCAGGCAGTCTGGCTGCAGAGGGGCTTGCATGCTTCCTAGACCCTTCAGGGCTGGAGAACTGGCTGCATTGGGCCAAATCTGAGCCACAGAAGTGTATGTAATTTAATTTGAGTGTCCTTGGGAGGAGCCTGCACTATTAGGCACATTTCTTTCCTCATTCTTTCTCTCTTTTTAAAATTGAGGTATAATTTATACACAATACAATGCACATGCTTTTATGTATACTATTTAATAAGGTTTTTTTCCCCTCATTTTATTTTGAAAAATTTCAAACATACAAAAATGTTGCAAGAATATTACAGAGAATACCCATACAACCTGGATTTTGCAAGGTACGTTTTACTGCATTTGCTTTATCTCACATCTGTCCTTCTATCCGTCTGCCCTCAATCCATCCTCAGGATACGTACAAGCTCTTTGCCAGCTCCTACAGGGATTCCAGTTTGCTAGCCCTCATAAATATATGTCCCCTCTAGCACTAGTGGGTACTAATTCGGTTACAATGGTTTCATTGTATAACCATTTAATATATTTTTAAGAAGTCAGTGCTCATCTAAATGCACAAAATTATTTCTGTAGTTGAGGCCTTAAGATGCTGCACCCAAGAAGAGAGTCAACGCAGGGAATATCTGAGCAGGAAGAAGGTCTAGGCCAATGCCTGATGGCACCAAATGGCTCAATGTTTTCTTCATCAGAAGAAGCAGATTGTAGAGTTTGAGGCAGGAGGAGAGCACAGGGAAAGAGAATGAAAAATGCTCAGGCACTTTCCAAAAATGCAACCTACATTTCAGAATTAAACGTCCCATTTCTCAGCCACCCACCGCAAAAGCTGAGTGGGTGTAGCATCCATGGCATGGGATGAAGCTTCCTTTGCTCTTCCCTATGCTCCTTTGTGAGGACCAATGCAGCATTTATATTTTAGCATCATTGTTCATGCTCCTGGGGCCTGACTCTTGCTTTGGAATCAATCACTAGAGCTGAATTGCCTGAAGAGATGTAAAAAGAGGCCATGTGTCCTACAGAAGCTGGTAAATCCCCCACCATGCTTGGGGAAGTTTCTGGAACTTACATTGGTGTTGACTTTGTAGGCGTCCTTGGCTGCTTTGATATGAACAGCATCTGGCTCAATGGTGCAGTTGGATTTATTTCTTTGGTATACTTCTTTGTATTTCAGCTGTGGGAGGAAACACAGTGACAAGATTAATTTTTTTATAGCAGCATACTGAGCATCTTAAAAAACAAGAAATTAAATCCATGCATGACTATAGTACACAATGCTCCTTAAGACGGAATTTTAAAAATCTGCTGTGGAGCAAGGATACAGCCATGCAGAGATGCACCTTCCTATCTCAGATCAGGGCACACTGACTATGGTCATCAGTGTTGCCATATAATTTTTTTTTTTTTTTTAACAGATTCTCTCTCTGTCACCCAGGCTGGAGTACAATGGTGTGATCTCAGCTCACTGCAACCTCCGCCTCCCAGGTTCAAGCAATTCTCCTGCCTCAGCCTCCTGAGTACCTGGGACCACAGGCATGCGCCACCTCACCCGGCTAATTTTGTATTTTAGTAGAGATGGGGTTTCGCCACGTTGGCCAGGCTGGTCTCGAACTCGTGACCTCAGGTGATCCCGCCCACCTCAGCCTTTCAAAGTGCTGGGATTACAGGTGTGAGCCACTGTGCCCAGCCTGCCATATAATTTTTGTTTCTGTGCTTGTGCTGAAAGGACCAGTTGGAACCCTATTCATTCAGGTTTTCCTTTCCCCAAATCAGCAAATCTTGAGTTCAGAACATCTTGATAACTGCTGATGGAAGAGAAGCCTTTCCCTACCAGCTCACCCAGACAGAATTAGTCTTGCTCTCCTTCTGTGCTCCGGCAGTTATAGCTATTATCATATCGTGTTATAATTTTTTTTAATCTGCCTATTCTTTCCATTAAGGACCCCTTAAGGGCAAAAACTGTTTATCATCCATCATCTCATTCCTAGTGTCAGGCACATAGACAATATTTGATGAATGAATGAACTGATGAATACAGCAATCATTCTGCCTTTTAAAAATATATAGAACTGTATATTGTCATTGCTGGAGACATACCTAGCAAGTTTTGGTATATGTGGGTTTGGATAGGAGGGAAAGGCACAGAGAAGGCTTAGCATCTGCAGGCCCAACAGGCAGTTTTTCCATCCTGGGCCTGGGACTTCCAGCTTCACCCACTTTTGCTCTTCTTAAATTTCAGGGTCGAGGGCCTCGATCTGGGCTTTTTCATTAATCGTTGGGGAAGGATCCTAGGTTTTAATGTGACTAAGGCCAAAGTAAACTGTTCCGAGGGAGCCATAGTGGGGTTTACTAAACTGATCATAGGAATCACAATTTTCCTGGCTTTGCCATAGACCTAGTTTACCAATTTACTTATCAGTATCTTTAGGAGAAAGTCGTGGAAATTCATTTTTAAAAAATCAGTACCTCAGGATATGTTTAAGCCACGTGGAGACCCATCTGGGGAGAAGTCCCAGGCATGTGGAGAGGCCACATGAAGGGGTTCCTGTCTCGTCTACACAATAGCCCAGCTCCCAGCCCGCAGCCATCACCAATGGCTAGCCATGGGAGTGAGCCACCTGGATGTCCTGGCTTGACTGAGCCCCAGGTGTCTGCCAGCAACATGGGGAGCAGGACTGTTCAGCTGTGTCCAGTCAACTTACCGAATCATGAGCAAAAGAGATGACTATTATTTTAAGCCACTAAGTTTTAGGGTGGTTGTTACACAGGAATAGATAACTGGACCAGGGTTTGTTACATCTCATTAGAAGGAGGCCAAGATGAGAGGGACTGCTAAACCATTCTAGTACTTACATCACTGACTTCATCTTTAACCTTGCGGACATGCAGCAACATGGGTGTGTCGTGGATTGTGGTGTAGCCTCTGGGTTTGGCCTTGTTGTATTCCAATTTATAAAGGATCTGAAAGATCAAAAAGCAGAAAGACATCATGTCATGCTTCTCAATGTATAATATCAAAATATAAATGCAAAGTTTTTTCCTGAGTGAATATAAAGGAAAGAGAATTCTATGAATTTGACAGGTGCTTTCATGCTCTCTGCTAAGACTTCAGTGTTTCCAGCTGGCGTGTCTGCCAGTTTGGTCACAACAACTCTCTTTTTTTCTTTCTTTTTTTTTTTTTTTTTTTTTTTTTTGAGACAGAGTCTCACTTTGCCACCCAGGCTGGAGTGCAGTGGCATGATCTTGGTTCACTGCAACCTCCATCTCCTGGGCTCAAGCAATTGTCACGCCTCAGCCTCCTGAGTAGCTGGGACCACAGGCATGCACCACTGCATCTGGCTAATTTTTATATTTTTAGTAGAGATGGGGTTTTGCCATATTGGCCAGGCTGGTCTCAAACTCGTGGCCTCAAGTGATCCACCTGCCTTGGCTTCCCAAAGTGCTGGAATTACAGGCATAAGCCACCACGCCCGGCCACAACAATTCTTTATTGGGGAGGAGAATCCTGTGCATAACAGGACATCTCGCACCCCTGCCTCCCTCCCACTAAATGGCAGTAGTCTCCCAGACTTTGTGACAATTTAAAATGCCCCTCCATGTTTGCAGATGCCCCCTGAGTTTGAGAAGGTATTCAGTGTTTCTTGCACTTACATCGCTGATTTGTTTGTTGACTTTTGTAGTACGCAGGTGTTCTGGAGTATCCACAATTGAGGTAAATTTGTCCTTTGATTTTTCATAGTTTTTCCTGTATTTGATCTAAATTGTGGAAGAGAAGAAAGAGCTCTAAGAAGTTGTAGAGTGGGCTTTAAGGTATCTAATTGTCCTCTTGAAACACCAGAGTGGGAGATGGTATCTAGCTTTCTCTTTAATTCCTAACTGGAAATGTTTACTATAAATTTGTGTCTGATAGCAAAAGTGAAATGGAGTGAGCAGATGATACTACTACTAATAATTTCCTTTTTTTGTTTCCCTCCGAGACGGAGTCTTACTCTGTCACCCAGGCTGGAGTGCAGTGGTGCGATCTCGGCTCACTGCAACCTCCACCTCCCAGATTCAAGCAATTCTTCTGCCTCAGCCTCCCAAGTTCCAATATGTTTTATACACATGTACTCGGAGGCCCCCAGAGGTTACGAGACTGACCCAAGGGCACATTTAGACCAAATCTCAGAGCAGGACTAGAACCTGTTCTCTGGAGTCTGACAAATATTGTTTTACTCATAACATATTGTATTGAACATGTACAATCTCCAAAGGCATTTTTCCATGTCAAAGATGAAACAGGGATGTAAAATAAAGAATGAGTATATATGAAGTATTTATCATTTTAAAAAATTCATTTGTTTTTGCAATTTTCAAGTCATAATTATTTTCATGCACAGAAGCTGTTTTAAGCAGGACAGATACAGAGAGCACCATAAAATTTCATGCACAACTATTTGAGGATCATATAAGGACAAAGGAGGAAGTTCAGGCAAACAGGATATTTATAGGAGGAGAAATGAGGAGGTTAAGCTCTTAATTGGAGCTTAACCTCCTCATTTCACATATTGATTTCATGGTAAACTAAAATGACAAAACAAGTTGCTAAGAGGAAAGCTCAATTAACTTTTTTTTTTTGGTCTGGGAAAAATGGTATTATTACTAACATTGTGTCTGGTAGTTACCAATTATCACTGTTTATTGCTGCATCAAATTTACCTTTCAGCATGTGCTGGAAAGTGCATGCTTCAGTTGGCCTTCTAAAAAGGCATTATTATCAGAGACACTGTTAACCTGTGTGTGTGGGATCAGATGTGCTGGAAATAACCTAGCAATTCAGCATCAAAGTCAAGAGGCGCCATGAATATATACAATATTCATAGAGCTGCACGGTAATCCTCATCTCCCTGCAACAGTTGTAGTGATAATTGAACAAGAGACACATTAGATGAAAACATTAAATATTCAGACCTTTTACATGCTGTTGAATCTACTTACTATCTTCAATCTCTAAGGAATCTATTTCTTTGAGGCAAATACTGAAAAGTATAAATTAATGTTATACCACTTTGGAAATAACACTTGAAAGAATCAGTTAATTTTATTAAGAGTTCTGAAAGTGTCAGATGATGTACGGATGACCACTGTCCCATCACCTTTGGCCACATTCAGAGATCATTTACAAGGAATGAATATTTACATAGCTTTACCATATGAAGCCAGCATGGGCAGGGAGTGGAAGAGGAAATCAATGAAAGCATACAAGGGAATGCATCCAAGACTTCTTCTAAACCTCCTTCTTCACATCCCATCAGACATTACCTGGCTCCACATATGCGAATTGTAGAGAGCAGTCAACATATCTGGACGCAGAATTTCATTACATCCATGTTGCAGAAACATCTTGGCACTAGATTTATATTTTCTCTGTCCATGCAAAGAGCAGTGAAGCACAAAAGAGACTTATGAAGACAGAAAAGAACACGGCTCTATATCCCAATCACCTCTGAGTGAAGAGATGTAGGCATACACACTTTATGTACTCACATATGTGCGGGTGAAGACATCAAATACATTATAATGTGAAGCAGAATGACTGCAATGCTTGCGGTTGGCCATTCATAGTCCTTGTGAATGGGGAATGATACAGCTAGTTTCACTTACGTTACCACCAAAATAGCTTTATAGAAAAGAAGACATCTTTGGAATAGAAAGATATATAGTAAGGAGTTATGTCTTCTTTCCTTCCATTAATTTTTGTTTGTTTTTTGTTGTTGTTTGTTTATTTTTTGCTTTTGCAACTCAATCTGCAGTTTACAGTTGCAGTTTTCAAACAGGTTCTCCAGAAGAGTAAAGGATGGGAGGACCCAGCTTTTCCTTTCATCTTCACCACAGCACAAGTGAGAACACAGAGCATGGACTGGCACACTCAAATAGCTGACGGGCTTTTTGGGTGGCTAGACAGATACTTTGAAACAGAACAACCCAATATCATAGGCAGAACCTATGACATCCTTGCAGCAGACGGGATGACATCTCATGAGAAACTGGGAGCACAGTCCTGCCTGGGCCACCGGCCAGCCCCATCACAGTACCTGACTGATCTGGTCGCCTGCGGTCTTAGCCAGCAGATGTCTAGGCTCATCGACTACCAGGTGGTATTTATCTTTCCGCTGCTCATAATCAGCTCTGTATTTTTTCTGCTCAAACATCATAGCATATTATAGCAAGAGTACAACTTCAAGGCTACACAAAAATGTCTCAAGGTAAACACTCCAGAGGGCCAGAACATGTCATCTCTAGTGGCGGGCTCCCAACATACCCAAGACAATAAAAACAGGGAAGCAAAGAGAGTCAAGTGGAGGAAGATTACCTGAAGAAGGCTGGAGTGTGGGATAGGTCAGATTTATGACACCAAAATTAGAGTTCCTTGTGCCCAAACATTTTCCATCTTTGCATATGATGCCATTAACAACATTAGGTTTTATGGCATCTAACGGTATATTTAAAATAGGGTACTGATCAGCTACAGCTTTACCAACTAAGGCTGTGAGAATCTCAAAGCATAACTGATGCTAAAACATCCACGGGAAATTTGTAATAGTCTTCTAATGCTATTAATTTACTGGATTATAAAGGAGACCTGGAAATTCTTCATGAAATAGAAAAATAGAAACAAAATATATCAAGATTGTATTCATAGGAAGCTACTGGCAGTAATTCTTCAGGGTTGTCCAGTCTGGAAATCTACTGAAAGTGAACTGAATCAAATGTAAAGACAACAAACAAAAAAGTCATACATTTAAGTAAATATACCATTGGCTATATTTTCATTTTTAGAAATATTGTACTAATTTTCTCACGGAATTTTTGAACTTACAGAAACTGTAAAAAATCTGAAAATAGGAAATTAAATACAACTTTAACTATAAAACCATCCCAACTAAATAAATTCATAGCTTGTTTATTTCAGCCATCTTGAGCTAAATTTAACTTAAATTATTGCAAAGATGGTTACAGGAAAGGCTGGATAAAATAGAAAGAAAAAATTTGGGTGCAGATGGATACTTCTGTGCACCAATATATGTGGGAGTAACAATGGCAATATCTTTGAAGCATGAATCACAACTATTCCTTTAGCGTAGCTCTTCTAACAACTGACATTTTGGTGCCTTAGTAGAGGATACTAAATTAACCTTGAACTTCTGTGTCTTCCAAATCTACACAATATAGATTGTGTAATATATAAGGGAGTTCCGCTGACAGTCAAGAAAATCCTTTACCTGCCTGGTATTGTCACCCGCAGGGCTGTGCTGCCCTGTGTTTGTGCAGAGGTGCTGATGTTTGCGGGGCTCTCCCACCACTGAACGGTCCCTTCACTTGTTCTTATTTGTAGTTTGGCAGAGCTTGTTGGATGGTGACATTATAGAGTCTTTTCCAAATCTTTAGTTAAAATGAAAACTTAGGATGGCTTTCCTGTCATTCTGTGTATTGGGCTTTAATTTAAAAAAACTCTGAGACTTCTTTAGGGAATTGAATAGGCTTAATTGGAGCAGTTTATTCATACATACCTCATTCATCAATTGAGTTGCATACTTGAAATGCCTATTGATCGGAGAGTCGGCAACATACTTGAAATCTGACTTTGTCCTTTCAAATACTTCTTTATACTTATACTAGAAAAAACAGAACATGGTTACTTGACAGCAGGCTATGATTATCTTAAGAATGAGACATGCTGTTTATCATATGATATAATTGTGATAATTAATTCATAGAACTAACACATATTCGTTTGTTTGTTTTGAGACAGGGTTTCACTCTGTTGCCCAGGCTGGACTGCAAGGCACAGTCATAGCTCACTGCAACCTCCGCCTCCCAGGCTCCATCGATCTTCCCACCTCAGCCTCCCAAGTAGGTGGGACTACAGGTTGTACACCACCATGCCTGGCTAATTTACGTATATTTTGTAGAGATGGGGTTTTGTCATATTGCCCAGGCTGGTCTCAAACTCCTGGGCTCAGGCTATCCGCCTGCCTTGGCCTCCCAAGTGCTGGGATTACATGTGTGAGCCACAGAACCCAGCCAAGCTAACACATATTTACTGATTGTTTATTCTGCCTCCAAGACAGTAAAGGGTAGAACTGCCTAGATGTCTTGAAAACTAGCCCAAAAGTGGACACGACGAAAACACTTCCATTGAATGGATGCCAAATAGATTTATTTTCCATATTGGGCAAAAATTTAAATCAATGTCTAGTTTATTTCTATATATTATAATTATTATTTAACTTTGAAAGTATTTTCATGTGCACTTGAAGGTTTTTAGTACATTAATTTGAAGAGTTTTCCAGTAATTAATCAGATAATCATAATCTTCTAAGAGCAGGTGTGGGGTATGACCCAGCTAGCATGCCACCTGTTTTTAAACAGCTTCATGAATTAGAATGGGTTTCACCATTCCACAGTATTGTAACAAACAAAGAAGAATATGCCCTAGAATGAATCTGGCCCATAACATCTTCTTAGATGTTTTATTTACTATCTGGCATTTTTCAGGAAAAAGTTTGCTGGATCCTATTGTACAACCCAAATGCAAGTGAATTGAATTGCTTTATGTTGTAAATAGGAAAATGAGGCTATAAAAACTAGGTGGTTTGCCCCACGTCATACATTATTTGTGGATTAAAATAATCCCACTTTATATTGGCTGTCATATCAGCTTTAATAGGAGAAACCACCCAGAGACATATTAATAAGGAGAGAGTTCTAGAAGAATCATGAGGGGTTGAACAGAGTTGATTTTTCATCAAATTCAAATAAATGCCTTCAGTCAATGAGATTAAAACCCAAGAGTTTCCTAGCAGTGAACAAGTAAGTATGTACTCAGACTATAAGGTCTAGAAGCCATGATAGGGATGGAAACATGAAAGACTATTTCTCAGTGCTAATTCTCTCTGGGTACAGGTATATGTCGAATGGATGAGGCCAATTCTCCTTGAGTATATATACCTTGCTGTAGAGAGTCTTGTTCTTTTCAGCCAGAGTGAAATCAGGGGTATCATAGGCATAGCAACCAATGCCTTTAAGCCAAGTCAAGTCTTCTTTATATTTTACCTGGGAGAAGAAGAACATCAAAGAGTTCTAAGAAGCCATCTCCAAACAGCAATAAGTTAGTATCTATACAAGTGGAACAAACAGAAGCACTACCCCTTGAGGTATATAAAATAATAAAGTATTAAAACAATTATTTAAAAGACATTTTCAGTAATACTGACCTTTGGTATATTGTTTTATAACATATGGAAGTTTTCCATTTTTAATACTAATTAAAGCAATTCAAATTTAACAGGCATACTTTCCTAGATAGTATATCATTAGCTTGGCAGCTATATTTTCATACACAGAGCTGAACTTTCTAAGTGAGCATTGTTATGTGTCTTAATTGCTTCATGAAGTTGTCACTTCATTGGATCAAAATAGGCTATTTCCTAGATGATATATATCACTTCCAGTCCTGTAATATGATATCATACATTTAGGAGAAAAATGAGGTTTATAAATTTGAATATATATTTCCTTCTCCCAAGTTGAAATTCACTCACTTAGCAATTGAGTTTTATGATTTAAACATCCACACACAAAATCTAAAATCTAGCCAAGAGTTTCTTCAGTTTTTATGCCATGTATGATTTCAGAGCTTATATGGGAATATGAATTTATATGTGAAAATAGAAGATGTCAACACTCACATCACTGACTGTGTCAGTGACTGCTCGGTGGTGGAAATGCTCTGGACGATCAGGAATGGACCTCCAGATACCCAACTGGCTCATGTAGTTCTCCTTGTATTTTATCTGTTATAAAAAACACAAAGACAGCTGTAAGTCTTACCCAAAGTTAATGTAAATATGGCTTCTTTCTGGAGAATTTCAGAAGAGGGAGGTTGCTAAAAAATATATGTATATGTATATGGTGAGTTGTAGAGCCCAACACAAGTAGAAATATTTAGGGACATACTTTACTGATGTCATCTGTGACTTTGCGATGATAGACAATGTCTAGGGCATCTTTCACCGTGTGGTATTTCCCTTTGGTCTTTTGAAATGTTTCTTTGTAGCGTAGCTAGAAAGAGAAAAAACACATGAATTACAAAAAAACTACCAAGTTAAATAATTGAGCTCTTTTAAGCATGAACTCTCTTGTCTTCTCTCTGGTTTTCCCATGAATACATTTAGGAAAAATTTAAAAGCTTATTTCAGACCCTAGAAGAGAAAAAGAACACTAGGGAAAACTAATGAAATCCAAAGCAACTATGGAGTTTAACCGATCATAATGTATCAATCTTGGTTCACTGATCATGGCAAATCTACGATGGTGATACAGGTGTTAGCAACAGGAGGATATGGGTGTTCCCCTGGGTGTGGGGCATGTGATAACTCTGTACAATTTCGGTAAATCTAAGACTACTTAAAATAGAAAGTTTATTTAAATATAAAACATAAACCAAAAGTTCATTTGAGAGAAAAAAAAAACCCAAACAAACAACATTGTTGAGCCCAAGATATGCTAATGTACATGGAAAAGGGAAAAAGGTTTAGCTTCTAACTCCTAGTATTAAAATGCCTTCTTCACTAAGCAGTCTTAAAACTTCATTTCATTATAATCTTTATCTTTGTGATATTTCAAGAGAAAACAGCTCTGATTCTAACCTGAGAATATCATAGATGATTCATCTAATCTACACAAGATGGGTGCTTCTCTGCACAACCTATTTTCAACGTCAAACAGTTCTTTTCTTTTGGGGTTAACTGAGCAAACACACAGTGAAAGATGTCTTTTCTTTGACTTTGTAATTTTGTTTTTTAGATGGATCATAAGATTGCTTAGATCTACTTGTGGGGCTAGCCATGGTTAATACTGAATTAAATGCCAGATACTACCCTTGTTACATTAGACTATTGTAAAGATTAGAGTTATCAGAATTGCTACTGATAAAGCCCTAGGGATGGTGCTGTCCAGTGGGGCATGATGAATCCCAGGGCCAATTTCAATGTGTGGCCACCGCTGTAAGATATTAATTCAGCTTGGTTCAAATAAATATTCAACAGTAACTTTGAAGTGATAATGATGAAGGATGTCACAAGAAGACTAAAAATATCCTAGAAGGTAGATTTTGAGGGGAGTATATGATTTTTTCCCAGCTTACATTTTAAGCACTAACTGGCATTGCCTTTTTCTAACTAGTAGGCTCTTCTCTTCTCCAAATAAAAATTCCTAACAAAATTATGGAACTGAGATATTGTTCACATTTGCTGTGCCTTCTCTTTTCTGCCTCGGGCTTACTGCAATTACCTTAAGATGCCTTGAAATCCTAGAGCTATGTTGCTAAGTTGAGGGGGTCATGAAGTTGGCTTGATTTTTGGCTCAGTTTAAGTCCCAACATGTCTAGTCCTCTAGGGGTGTGGCTCTGGTAATGGGTACAGTGAATTCCTGGTTGGACCCTGAGACACAAAACCCGTAAGGATTGGCTATTTACCTTGGATTCACTACTTCACATCTTCATTAACAGATTATTAACAGATTATTACCATTAAAAGGCAGCCTTGCCCTCGATTGTGTGATATGGAAAATGAACATCTGTCCCCCCTAATTTTAACCACTGTGTCATGCATCATTCACATGATCTATATGCAATTAAGAGAAAAAAGGGAACAAACATTTTCTGAGTAACTAGGAGCCCAGCAGCATGCTAGACACTTATACATTATCTTGTTTGGTTTTATTTAATTATCACAATTCTCATTATCATTCCACATATATGAAAAGAGACTCGGAAAAATTAGACAGATGATATAGAGTCATACAGCAGGCAAGTAACAGCATCAGGATTTGAATCCATGTCTGGCTGACTGCAAGACCATAATTTTATGGATAAGTAAATTAACTGTCAAGTATCCCCAGAAAATGCTGCTGAAGAATTATAAGAAAGGGTCATATTTTTATTCAGGAGAGAATTGAGAAGAATAGGCTTCTGGTATCTCTCAGCTATTTTGCCTGACTAGTATTGTTTGGGCATTTTTTTTTCTCTTTAAAAAAATGTGTGTTTTTTTCCTAGGCCATGGTTTAGAACTATGGATATGGCTGAAATATGTTATGTTTCTTAGGTACTTCAACCTCAGCTCTCCCCATCACAACAGAAGAAAAAAGGAAGGGATGCATACATCACTGGCATTCCAGTAAGCCCTCTTGGCTCTGATGAGGATTGGCGTATCTGGAACCGGAGTGTACTTGTCTTTCATCTTTTCATATTGAATCTTGTACTTTTTCTGAGAAATAAATGCAGAAGAGAGAGACAAGCTTAAGTGTCTTCCCAATTTCCAACCAAGCCACCTACAGGTCTTGTGGAGGGGCACAATGTGTTACACACTTTAAGAGAATAGCTCTGCCTTTTGTGTTTTGATGATGCTGAGCACCATTTATAGTAATGAGCTCTCTGATCAGAGGTAGCAGGGGAAGGTTTTAACAAAGTATTTTTCTTTTTACCCAGTGCCTCAGTGCTGAATTCCCATCTTACCTCACTGACCATGTCCTTCACGTCTTTAGCATGCTTCAAGGCTGTGGTCTGGTTTCCAGCGTGATGATGGGGTCTCTCTTTGGTGGCAAGTTCAACATACAGATACTGAATAATAGAAGAAAGTGAGGTGTCATAGAGATAAAGCATTTAGTATTTAGCATTCAGTCCACTTCATTCATTTCTAACCATTCAGTGGGAAGGTGGTATCTGCTTACTGTCCTGATGTTTGTTTGCTTGTTTTTTTGTTATATGCGTTTCTGTTCATTTGTTTCTCTGTGTCTCATATTTGAAAACAAATACACATACTCCAGTTATCTAATATGCCTACCACTGAGTATGATCCAAGCAAAGCCATGTGATAAAGAATGCTAACAGAAGTATGAGAAGATTCTGATAGACCCCTCAACATATTTTCCCCTGATTTTTGCGTGACTGCATGAAATACAGCTTCGTTTGTCTGCGGATAACAGGAAGATTCTATAGAATGATCAAGCAATTATTTTCATTACTCCAAAACACAAGTTTTATAACACTTAGGAAAGAAGATGTGGCATCCCTTACCTGAGTAAAACACAACCATAATTATCATGGCCCAAAAGAGAACTGCTTCTTCAAGTGCAGTGTTAATGGGCATGAGGTTGCAGCCAGGACAACCAAGTGTGTGAGTCTGCCACTGGCCAGGTGAGGCCAGGCACATATAATCACCCCCTGTGATGCCTGAGTGGCAGGCTTATGAACCTCTGAGCTTACCTGACTCTGAAGCTTCTGCCCTCGCTTGGCTCTTAAAAGATCAGGAGTATCAGGAACTGAAGTAAAGATTGACTTCTGCTTCTTGCCTGCAGCTCTGTAGACCAGCTAGACATAAACCAAGTTATCACCATCATTTCTGTTTCATGGGCATGTTATGTTCTCTGCAGATGCCTTCACTGCTTTTACATAGAAAAGGCAGGAGCCCTCCCACTGCAACGATTGCAGTTTCTTCCCAATAAACCAACCTTTTATTTACCTCCTGCACCCTCCTTTTCTTTTTTCCCTTGTGTCAAAACAAGAGACATTCTCTAGCCTGTCCAAAATTCAAGACTCCTGCTGTGTTCTTGGTCCCATTTGCAGTTGTCCCTTCTAGTACCCTATTCCAGCAACTGTCTCCATCTCCTCTGTATCTTCCACCCTTCCTGTTTTCCCAATCCCCTCTTTTCACCTGCAAACAGACTCAAGACCTCCTGTCATTAATTAAGCCTTTTCCAGTCTCTAGCCAATGGCCTTCATTCTTCTTTTCTCAGCCAAGTTGCCTGTGTTTCTTCTTTGCCTCTCTTTTGATTAATTTCTCAAGACCATAGTTTGGCTCCCACCTACCCACATCAGTGAAGTCACACTCATTGAGACTACCAAGAACTTCATGATTGCCATGAACACTTCTCTGTAGCAACTGAAGCTGCTCAGTGTTTCATTCCTGAAAACTCTCTTCTCTGGCTTCCATTCAACCATTCTTCCCTAGGTGGCTTCCTGTCTTTTAGACCTCCTCATCAGCCTTCCTCTGGTTCTGCCCTCATGCAAAGGCTGCTGTTAACTGGGGTGAAGGATTGGCCCCTTTCACCCAGTACATTCTCCCGGGGTGATCTCATCTGTACCTGTGATCTCAAGCATCACTTTGAGATTGATAACTTCCAAATCTACATATCCAGTGTCTTTCCTGAGCTCCAGACCCAAGTTTTCTACAACTTTCTGAATTTAGGTGATTTACCATGTTCAATATATAATTCTTTATATTGCCTCTATCTCTATCTCAAATTGCTGCTTCTCCTATTTTCTCTATTTTGCTAAATGACTTGTTGATATCCCAGTTACTCGGGCCAGAAACTTGGGGGAGTCATCCTAGGCTCCTCCCTTATTCCTACATCAAAATGGTCATGAATCCTGGGCTCCTCACTTTGTGATATTCCTGAAATCTGATTATTTGCCAACACCACTGCCCTAGTTCAGCCTTCCATCTTATTTTCTACATGTCAAAACCACCTGCTCAACTCCTCTATTGGACCACCCCACGTGAGTCACCCATCTTTCAAAAGTCTGAGACACATATTTTCTTAATGCTCAAATCTATTCTTCATAGAAATAATTCTTCAATGATTTTTCATAAAGTCCAAGGTCATTTATATAACACCTACAAGTCTTTATAACCTGGCTCCAACCCATGTTTCTATAATAGCTTCATTTACCAGCATCCTTCCACACCCTCCATGTGCTATGTAAACTAGTCCCAGTTACTGGAACTCATTATGGCTGCTTTCACAGACTGTCTTTCCTGCCTTGAATGTTCTTCTCCCTTTTATTTGCCTGGAAAACTCCAAGAGTCCATGCTGTCTTGACTGTTCCTATATAAAGCCATTTATCACACCAATGCCTGTTTCTTCTCCGAGACTAGGGCACAGCAGTTCAGTGGTACGATCCTTTCATCAACTAGAGCTCAGACAAAGGGCCTAAAAAATAATAGTTGCTAATAAATGTTGAAGGAATTTAATGTAATGCGGCAAATGAGAAAGAACAAATGGATACCAAATAAATTCTAATCATGGATATAAATACCAGTTGAACAGATAAAACGTAAGAAACACAGGCACACACATCAATTTCTTTAAATCTGAATTATATACAACTGCAAGTTAAAACAAAATGTAACTCATGTGTTTGGGGCTGTTTTTTCATGTTACTATTGAAAGAGATAAACTAAATGAAAACTTAATGCTTCTTCCAAGCTAAATTTTGAGTAAAGTAAATCAACAACTCTTAGAATTTTATGGCTAAAAGGAGCTCAAATCATCATTTAGTCCAACTCTTCAGTTTAGGAAATTAGGGTGCTAAAGTTGTGAATTACATAAGATCATATAGCTAATTGGAAGTAAATCTGGGACTAAAACCCAATTCTCCCAAGCAATTTTTTTCTTATTTTTAAATTTTATTTATGTATTGATTTTTAGAGACGGGGTCTCACTATATTGCCCAGGCTGGCCTCAAACTCCTGCACTCCAGTGATCCTCTGGTCTCAGCCTCCCAAGTAGCTAGGACAATAGGTATGTACCACTGTGCTTGGCCTCTATGCCATTTCTAGAATTATACATTTCACTGTGTATTATATTTCCCCTGTACTTAGGTATGCATTGCTTATGCTTCTTGGGACAACGTCCCTGCTTCCTAGTACTACAAATGTGTATATGTCAAGAATCTATACAATTGAAAACTCAAAAGTCGGTAACTTCTTTTGGCCATCACACTTTTTACTAACTCAATGTTTTCCAAACTTTCCTGATATTAACCCTCCCCCGCTCTCCATGGTTTTTATTAAAAACAGATTCGTAGGCTGTCTCCCAACCCTTCTAAATTCAGGGGAGTGGCTTGGATCAGCATTTTATCAAGCCTGGGTCATTCTTATGGAGAGGCAAATGTGGTGCAAACTGCTCCACTGAAAAATATCCATTCTTCTTCCTCAGTGCTGATGCACAACTTGCCCAAAATCCCTCTGGGAACTGGGAAGAGGAGAAACTAAAGTTTTAGATAATTCTGAGCCCAGAAAGCCAAAAAGAGTAAAGGTATTTCAGAGTTATCTTTACTCTGAAGCACTATAAGTTACCAATTGTTTTAAATTATTACTTGGTAGCTGGAGGAGAGATGTGGTGCGGTGGTTTTCAACACAGGCTACATATTATTAAACAGAATCTCTATGGAGCATCTAAAAGTGTATAGATGCCCAGACACGGAGAATCAGTCTGGTGTGGAACAAGGGGTCAGGGCCCTCTCTGGGTGGATTTTAAATATTCCACAGGTGATTCTCATACTGAGCCAGAGTGGAAAAGCACAACTTTAGCAGGATAAAAATAACGTAAGCGTTCTAGTCTGAGTGCGAGTGCGGGCTGAAATAACACAGTGAAGCTTTTAGGAAAGCAAATTGGCTCAATGTTGCATTTGCAAAAGCTGAAGAGTTAGTCATCCTCTGATTCTGGCTCACTGAGTGTAGGAAGCTGCATATCCCTCCACTGAGGGTGACATTTGGTATTTCAGGGCATCGCTAAGAGCCTAAGATTCCTAATCAGCAGCCATCAGAGCTACTGAGAAGGATGAAATGGCCTGGAAGCCAATGCTCAGCTGGGTGAAGCCACAATACAGAATGGTGAATGCACAAACTGATGAATGGAGCTACAATACCAGAGTGACAGTAGAATGAGAATGGCCAACTGACCTATAAGAAGAGCAACCATTTACACTTGTGAAATGCCCTTTGGCAAACATGCACATCTATTATGGCCAAGGCACTATGGGACACATGTAAATAACATGGGGTCCAATCATCAAGGAACCAACACTCTAGGTGAGAGAATCAGATCTATTCACAAATAACTGCAATATATCAGGAGCCTCAATGCCAGATGAAAATGAAACTAAGTAGTCTGAATTGTACTGAATGGGCAGCAGAGCAGGGAGCCACTGAAGACTTCTCCAATGGCACTGCCATGCTCGGGGCTCCTGATAGCAGGAATTAAAGAGAAAGAAAATTTTGAAATAAGTTTAGAGACAACAAAAATAATAAGTAAAATTATTATTTCTAGGCCAGGCGTGGTGGCTCACGCCTGTAATTCCAGTACTTTGGAAGGCTGAGGCGGGCGGATCACCTGAGGTTGGGAGTTCGAGACCAGCCTGGCCAACATGGAGAAACCCCATCACTACTAAAAATACAAAATTAGCCAGGCGTGGTGGCACATGCCTGTAATCCCAGCTACTCTGGAGGCTGAGGCAGGAGAATCGCATGAACCCAGGAGACAGAGGTTGCAGTGAGCCGAGATTGCGCCATTGCACTTCAGACTGGGCAACAAGAGCAAAACTCCATCTCAAAAAAAAAAAGAAAAAGAAAGGTCTTTCTAATCTATAAAATCATGCAAAACCCCTCATCAGCCCTAGACATAGGAAGAGCCAGTATGAATATGCGTATCTTACCAAAAGGGGGCAAAATAAGTAAACTGAGGTAAAGTGCAGTTGGTTGACTTGCTTAGACATAGTAGCCATTCCACAGTTAAGAGGGGAAATATTTTACCTGCCGCAGTTGCCTGAACAGCGATCACTAGAGGAACTAAGAGCCTTGTGGAGTAATTCAGTTTGTACTGGTCAATTTGATTGACTTCAATGACAAGTAAAGCGTCCTTACCTCACTCAGATGTGTCTTCAGTTCTTGCACTTTTCTGTATTCTGGAGTGTCAAGCACCACTTTGTATTTGTCTCGCATCTTCCTTGCCTTATCAGTGTATAGGTAATTAGACTTAAAAAAAAAAAAAAAAACAGAAATACAAGTTGATTAATCATTTAAGGGATTCATGTCATATTGTCTTTCAAATGTCTGGCATGTGTAAGCTGAGCAGGGCTTTCATGTGTCCTGGATGTCTTCCCAGGCAGGAGCAAAAACAATTGTCATTTAACTAAGCTCAGCACCTTTCATAGGAGGCACAGATCACATTAAAGTGATAATCTGCTCAAGTGAGTTAATGATAAATTTCCCCTTAAAAGTAGCTGCAGGCTAAGATCCCTTCTGCCTAGCCCTGGAGGCTGGTGATGGGGGCATCCAGCTGTGCGGGGGGTAATTATGCATTGTGATGATGTGCACTCACCCAGAGCTTCCGCAGGTGCCGGGAGCGGACCATGTCAGGAGTGTCATACAGGAAGCAGCCAAATCCCTTCAGGACCTGCAAGTCCTCTTTGTATTTAATCTGAGAGGCAAACACAGAAATATAGCTGGTCATAAGCAAATGTAAGTCAGGAAACACAAAAGATGGAGTAGCAACACTTCTTAATTACTGTGTCTTTCATTTTGGTTCATCTACTTTTTTTTTTTTTTTTTTGAGACAGAGTTTCATTCTTGTTGCCCAGGCTGGAGTGCAATGCCAAGATCTTGGCTGACTGCAACCTCCGCCTCCCGAGTTCAAGCGATTCTCCTGCCTCAGCCTCCCTAGTAGCTGGGATTACAGGCGTACATCATCGTGCCTGGCTAATTTTTGTATTTTTAGTAGAGACAGGGTTTCACCATGTTGGCCAGGCTGGTCTCGAACTCCTGACCTCAGGTGATCTGCCCACCTCAGCCTCCCAAAGTGCTGGGATTACAGGCGTGAGCCACCGTGCCCAGCCAGTTCATCTACCTTGTACTCTTAGTTTACTTGCACCCAAATAAGTCATGTTTTTTTTCATTTAAGTCTCTAACCCTGAGCTGAGGAGAGAACACTGCTATTATTTTATTACTATAACATTGATTGGAGAAAAGAACAGATTGAATGGATTGGTCTTTTAGGAGGAGAGAACATACAAGGAGAATGAAAAAAATGGCAGCAAGAAGTTGCTAATGAGGTCAGAGTAGGGATGAGTGAGAGGAAAATACTCAACATGACCTGGGATGGAGGCCACACAGGGAGTTAGGGAGTGAGGAGTTGGAATGATTCCATGTTGAATGTAGAATGGTGGTCACTGAGTGATCAAGAATGATGGCAATTCTGTCTTCCCCAGGTGGTCCTCTTATTACTGTTTCCATAGCTGTAGAATTGTGGCATCCTTCTCCCACACTGTCTTACCTCCAACTTGTACTCTTTGTTTAGAAGTGCTTATCAGAAAAGGCTGTTCAAAGACCACTGGTTGTTTTAACTGCTGAAAGCAAGCCTGCGTCTTGGTAAGACTACTCCAGAAAGACCCCTACGAGATGCTTACATCACTGGTGATGTCTCCCACATAGCGGCAATGGATCACTTGGGGTGTGTATGGCAGAGAGATCATGTGGCCCTGCATCTTGAAGAAGTCTGATTTGTAGATCAACTAAAGAAAAAAAAATACCCCAAAACATATGTATTAGAGACCGAATGATTAACATTCATCCCTAGTCTCTACTCCCTGTCTTTCCTAAGAAAATACCCACCTCACTGACAGCCTCTTGTGTCTTCTTGACTTGGCGGATCTCAGGGGTATCGGGAGTTGTATGGATCTTGTCTTTCAGTTTGTGGTACAATTCCCGATACAGTCTCTACGTTGGAGGAAATATCATTACAGGCATTTAGTAGGGGACGACGAGGGCATCTACTGACTAATCAAGAATAAAATATTTTACATAAGGAAGAGGGGAGGAAATATCGAGGATATAGAAAATGATTGAGATTAGGAAAAAAGGAGAAAATGAGAGTTATTTCATTTAGGTGAAGAATTCTGAGCACAAAGCCTTCCACTTTCTATCAGATGGTTGCATAGTAGGATCAGATATGCAAACCAATAGTTGGTGTAGAAAACCAGGATCATGAGTCAGACTAAAATGCAACCTTATTAAAGATTTTTGAATATAAATGTCAAAAGAAGAAATTATTTCTTTAGAAAAGTTTTGCATCATAATCTATGGAACCGAGTCTCTCCAAGGCATTACCAAATACAAAAAACCACTACCAAGAAATATCAGTATCAAAATGTGACAATAAGGACCTTTTTCATTTTTTGCTGGTATGTAAGTTTACAACTGAAATAAGATTAATTCTTAATGCATTTCAAACAAAGCCATGGCTATTGAAACTCAATATGTCTCTTGGAGAATCAGCATTCAGGTACCTCGCTGGTAACATTGTTGACTCTCCGGACGTGGACAAATGGAACATCTTTGGGGCCAAGTGTATACCCATATGCCTTGGTGTGTTCATAGGCTTCTTTGTACTTGAACTGCAAAAGCAAAGTCAGAATGAGATCAATGATGGGTAAACAAGGACCAACATTACATTTCTCCAAATAGAAAAGAGATGTCACCTTTATTTGAAAAATTGCTCTTTTTAAGGATTAAGTATGTAGAAAAGTCATTGACAAAATTTCAATATTAATCCAGGCCTTGAAAATTATGTGTTGGAAAATAAAACCAGGCCAAGAAAAGAATAAAATTTGACCTTGCCTAGGTGAAATCTGTTTGTCGGAAGGTATGCAAAATGCCAGAGAAAAATCTTTATTTTTAGCCCCAGTGTGGCTAGAAAATTAGAAAATACAAAGAAGAAACAAGAGAATGTATTTAAGACTGACAAATAGCTTCGTGGACTGATTTTAACCAACCATTTTAACACATCCTTTAGGTGTTAGATTATTAAATCTGTGACTGTCTACTTTGGAAGTACATTATTGAGCCACAGGTTATTGGGTCCTTTCTGGCCACTAGGTTTGATTCCCAGGAATATGAAGGGTAGCACAGAGGGAGAGCTTATTATTCCACCAGCGGCTCATTGTGGTCTGCAGGCCAGACTTACTGGGATGGCCACGATTTCCCTAAGCCTTCCCCATGGGGTAAATGCATCAAGTCCCAGTTGAGTACTTGTGAAAAGTGGAGAAGGGCAACATGAGGGTCATCATTTGAGTAAGCTACAGGTAGTAAGAGCCTAACTACCCCTCTAGCCTTCTGTGAACTGGGCACAGAGGATAAGTAGTGAGCTAAATATCAGCCAGCAGCTAGGCAAGAAGTCTTATTTTCAAAGGAACACATGGTGATGTTATATCTTCTGCAGTGAAACATAGCAGAAGGAAGACAATACTATCACCACACCTCAGTAGTGCGTGTGTGAAGTTGCATTTCCAATAAATGGCTTGGGATAATTCAGGGTGCATCTGTGCTAAGTGAGGCCAGCAGAAGTAGAGGCATCATGACAGCCATGGGCCCTCAGCCAAGGCTCCCACGAACATTCTGTTCTAACCCATGGGGCTACCCAGGCACTGCTGAATTGCAGAAGGAATCAATTGCACAGCACCCCTCAAAAATATGCTGTCTCTCCTCTCCAGCTCCCATCATTCTATCAGGTTGAACCTTGAGGGTGAGACTGGAGGATTAGAACAGGCTATTAATTAATATGAGTCTCCTGCCACCCCACCTTCAGACCCATCTCAATGAGGAGGAGACCACTCACATAACTGCTCATGTAACGGGTGTCCTTGATGTGTTTGAAGTGAGGAGTGTCACCTGGAAGTCTATATCCAGTGGGCAGGGTGCGCAGGCTGGTTTTGTATAGATTCTGCAGGAATGAGGAAGAGCAGGTTAAATGACATCGGGCATCAAGTAACTGATCTGAGCTTAACAAATCACATATAGCTCATGTTACAGTTTTGACTAGATACTTAATACACTTATGCTCACTGAATTGATTTCAGGAGAGAATTAAATACATTCTAAGAGTCATAAAATGAGTCAGATTACTCTTCACCTATTGTTTTGGAAAAATAGAACAATGAGTGAAATGGTTTATTGAAAGTAGTTCCTGGCCAGGTGTGGTAGCTGACATCTGTAATCTCAACACTTTGGGAGGCCAAGGCAGGAGGATTGCTTAAGGTCAGAAGTTGAGACTAGCCTGGACAACATAGCAAGATCCCACCTCTATAAAAAATTTTAAAATTAGCCAGGCATGGTGGCGTGTACCTGTAGTCCCAGCTACTTAAGAAGCTAAGGTGGGAGGATCACTTGAGCCCAGGAATTTGAGATTGCAGTGAGCTGTGATTGCACCGTTGCACTCCAGCCTGGGAGACAGAGGAGACCCTGTCTCCAAAAAAAAAAAAAAAAAAAAAAAACACTAATTCCTCTGTGCTTCCAAACATATGCCCAGTTGGCTGTATGGCATCTAGCAAGAATTTGGGAAATGCAGAGAAGATAGGTAACCAAGTTTCACCTCTGCCATTACTCCATCCTCAGGTGATGATATGCAAGCCATCACGAAGATATAGCCAGGCACATGTTTGTATTACCCTCTCCTGCCCCTTCCAAACACAGTGTGTTGACATCAGGCCGTGAAGAGGTCAGGATGCATGTGTTCATGGCAGAAAGGGAGGACATGGAGGAGTGTCTGTCTGTGATCTTAAATACTCTGTCTCTTGGAGTTTAGGATTAAGAATTACATTTAAAATATGAAAAACCAAATTATTTTTATTTTATTTTTGAGACAGGGTCTCACTGTGTCACCCAGACTGTAGTGCAGTGGCACCATCACAGTTCACTGCATCCTTGACCTCCCTGGGCTGAGGTAATCTTTTCACCTCAACCTCCCAAGTAGCTGGGACCACAGGTGCATGCCACTATGCCTGGCTAATTTATTTATTTTTGTATTTTTGTTCAGACAGGGTTTCACCATGTTGCTCAGGCTGGTCTTGAACTCCAGGCTCAAGCCATCTGCCTGCCATGACCTCCTAAAGTGCTGGGATTACAGGCATGAGCCACTGTGCCTGGCCAAAATTATTATTATTATTATTATTATTATTATTATTATTTGAAACGGAGTTTTGCTCCTGTTGCCCAAGCTGGAGTGCAGTGGTGCAATCTCAGCTCACTGCAACCTCCGCCCCCTGGGTTCAAAAGATTCTCCTGCCTCAGCCTCCCAAGTAGCTGGGATTACAGGCATGCACTGCCATATCTGGCTAATTTTTTGTATTTTTAGTAGAGATGGGGTTTCACCATGTTGGCCAGGCTGGTCTCGAACTCCTGACCTCAGGTGATCTGCCCGCCTCAGCCTCCCAAATTGCTGGGATTACAGGCATGAACCACCGCACCTGGCCAAAAATTATTTTTAATACACAAGATGGGAAATAACATGAAAAGTTGAGACCAAATCAGCACCATTGGGTAACATAGAATAGGTAGGTTAAATATGCAGGTGGGATCCAGGTTCTTTCTCTTCTGAATTCCAGCAACAATTTCTAGTTCATCTTTTATTGAGGTTAAAGGCCTTGTCTCTGTTATCTTGATTTTCAGCTTTTTGAAAGCAGAGAATGTATATTGGCTTTCTTCTTTGTAACTTGTAAATATTGCTAAAACATGCCCATTATGTTGGTTTGATTGCTCCATAGGGGGATCCTGGCAGCTAGGAGGAAAGATAGATTATGCTCTGTGTTTTTGTTTTTTCACCTCATGTGAATAGAACAGCATTTATACAAGGTCAGGTCAAGAGGAAGCAAGCTCAGCTTGCTTCCACAGAGGCTGATGGAACGGATTTCTGCTGGGCACTCTCAAGTTCTCACTGCTCACCGAACTCTGGAGCTTGTATGCATGAAGGGCCCGGTCCAGATCCACGGTTTTGGTAGTTGGAGCCACTTTGCCTCTGACACTGTGCACATAGTCATAGTGGTAGACAGCCTGGTGCAGAAAGAAGCATTGTTAGAAGCAAAGAGAATGGGAACCCAGGTTCCTCTTTAAAAAAAATAACGGTAGCCTGCTTCCCTTTGCCTGGAGAACTCATCTGACACATTACTGTGGCTTGTCCAACAGGATCAGAGCCAGCGTGTGGACACTCACACTGAGAAACAGAAGAGATGGCCCAGGCACAAGAAGAGGAAGGGTGGGCATTTTACCACTAGAAGTTCCAAAATAATAGGTCTCAATGTTTGCACTCACTGGCGGGATCTGATATTGACTTACCAACCTGTGGAGTTAATAAAGAAAGAGCAGCTTTGTGCCTGCCCTGCCTGCTTTGTGTCAGGCGTCATAGTGGGTGCTTCCTTACGTCCCCATTTTATGCATCAGAATGGGAGGCTCAGATGGATTAAGTGCTTTTCATAAGCCTTATAGATAATGTGTGGTAGAGGTGAGACTGCACTCCACAACTCTAACTCCAGAGCCTGCTTGCTTCTTATTCTACCATAGCTGGTTCTAATTTATTAAATGGCCTAGATAGAAATAAACTTGCTATGACACAGGGCACAAAAAACACGTTGGAAGTGCTAAGGCACAAAGTTACTTCATAGACTCGCATCACCTACAACTCCGCCCCAGCAAACTGCTTGAATGCATCAGGTTTCAGGAAACAATAGCCAGCAGCATCTTCAGTGCTTTCAAACGCACCAACTCTGGTTTCCCAGTTAGAAAAGACTTGGCACTGCCCAGTCTATGGTTTTTGCCACCTCTGCTTGAGTGGTGGCCCTGCTTTATTACTGTCCACTTAACTTCCCCAGTGATCACTTACGTCACTTAGCTGTTTCCCACTTTTGACAGCCTGCACGTAGACTGGTGTATCTGTGACAAGCTTGTAGTCATTCCTTGTTTTCAACATGTGAGCTTTATACTTGATCTGCCGAGAGGAAGAAAACAAGCCCATGTTGGACCATTCCTTATGCTTGAAACTGCTGGTTTTCACAGAGGGTTTGGTTGCTTTTAACTCATGAGATTTATATTCATCAGCACTACTCAACAGACCGAGATGCATTTGAATTTTATAACAGTGTAACCAACACTTATATGGGGCTTCTAGAGTCTTCTAGGACACTTGATAACTACTCTTCTAGGAAAGTTTAAGCTTTCTTACTGAAATCCTCATTACAGTATTTAATTTGCGTGGAAAATCCTCTCTTTACAAATAGAGCTTGTCTATAGCATTGCAAACACTAACAAATCACACTTTCCTAAAATGACAATTAAGTGCTTGTTAATATATCCAAAATAGCCTAAAACATAGAAAGAGAAGATGCTGGTCCCTTCTCCACCAGAGGACGATGGCACACCTGGACTGCAGTTTAATAAGAATGCCATACGCCTTCCTGAGAGATGGTTGCTCTGCTCCTAGCAACTTTCTCCAGCTCAGCCACCCCCCAGAGCTGGCCTGTGACAATGTCCCTATTTTACATAACCTCCTCTTAACTCTAGACTATGGAGAAATGGAAATATACTAAAGAACAAAACAAGGCAAACTCACATCATCACGTAGATCATAAGCATGCTTGGCATGGAGGATTTCAGGAGTGTCCCAGACGTAGCAACCAATGCCTTTCAGCCAGTTGAGGTCATCCTTGTATACAATCTAGAGGGTTTTGATAGAAAGGATCAGAAAAAAAAAATTGACCATAATAACTTTAACACTAAAAACAGAGGTACATTCTAGACTCAGAAGGCTTTGTGGAATGAGGAGCAAAGGCATTATGCAAAGAGGCTCAGGGGAGCCACAGAAACATGTGTACACAGAGCCCTGCTTCCAGAGACAGCTCTGAAGTCAAGTTGGACAAATGGACATATAGGGAAGAGATAGTGGAAAAAGGCTAAGGTAAAGAAATGGGTGAGTTTGCTGCCTTCTGGGTGGGGCCGTGGGGCGGGGCCGTGGAGGGGTACTTCTTAAGTCACAGGCTTACATCGCTGATCTGATCTGTGACTTTCCTGACGTGATCATTGACTTGCAAGTCGGGGTGGCAAATCCATTCGTGGAGGCGCAGGCGGTAATCAATCTCACTGACTTTCTTCTGGGAATCCTTGGCAGTAACCATCTCTACCATGTCGGGCACGATGTGGATTTTCATCTTGTTCTTTTCATAAACTGATCTGTACAGGCGCTGTAAAGTTAAAATCACATGCCAGTTATACAGGAAATTGTGCCAAGGCATCATGGCCATACATGAGAAGTCAGGCTAACCAACTCACAGCGAACAGTTGGGGGCAGGGCAGTGACTGGTATTTTCTGACATTTTCTATAGATTAACACCAAGGGAAATTTTTAAAAAATAAAGCATTATAGCTGAAATAATATGTAGCTTCTTTACATGTGCACAGTCAGTGTCATATGCATTGGTAAATAGAAAATGTTCAGGCTGGGCATGATAACTCACACCTGTAATCCCAGCACTATGGGAGACTGAGGCAGGAGAATTGCTTGAGCCCAGGAGTTTGAGACCAGAGTGGGCAACATAACGAGATTCCAATCGCTACAAAAAAAAACCTTAGCTGGGTGTGGTGGTGCATGCCTGTAGGCCCAGTTACTCAGCAGGCTGAGGTGGGATGATTCCCGGAGCCCAAGAGGTAGAGGCTTGCAGTGAGCTGTGATTGCACCACTGCCCTCCAGCCAGGGCAACAGAGTGAGACCTGTCTTAAAAAGAAAAGAAAAGAAATGTTCCTATTAATAATACATGGCTATTTTACTTGACTTAAATTTGAAGTAAGGTCTTTGGAGTTACCCTCATGTGTTGCATAACAATGTTTCAGTCAAAAGATTATAATGCTGAGTTTTTACTGTACCTTTTCTATGTTTAGATACACAAATACTTGCCACTGTGTTACTGTTGCCTACAGTATTCAGTACAGTAACATGCTGTACAGGTTTGTAGTCTAGGAGCAATAGGCTATCCCATCTAGGTATGTGGAAGTGCACTCTATGATGTTAGCACAACAATGAAATCACATAACGAGCGGCACATTTCTCAGAATGTATCCTAGTCATTAAGGGGCGCATGACCGTACTTACATCGATGTTAAGCTTGCCAACTCGGAGGCACCGTGCTGTGTTCGGATCATCGTCAACACTTCTTGGTAACGTATAAAGAGCTTTGAACTTTTCATATTCTTCCCGATATTTGATCTATAGAGAATAAGTAGAAAGGAAGAAACAGTTTTAGAGAGTAATGGATTTATATTATTAAAACAGCATAAGACTTAATGGGAAAAACCCGACTCTGAGATCCACCCAGCGTTGGGGACAACACTTCTCTGAACTCATTTCCCCACCTGTACAGAGAGATACAGCAGTAGCGCCTGCCATGGGGTTATCGTGTGGCTTAAATCAGACTGTATCAAAAGTACTTTTAAACCACAGAGCGCTATGAAATTTTAGTTGCTGTTTTCAAAATTCCTATAGCAATACTAGTACTTTTACTGCTACTACAAGCAATTCATTTTAAAGATTATGTAATTTAAAAATATTCTCTTGTGGTAATGGCTTTGTTTTTCTTACTAAAAGGAGTGCGAGATTAAAACTGTGCTTAGGAATATCTTTGTTTTTAATAACTGAAAAGTCTGCTGCTAAGAAAACACAATCCTTGGATTTCAGTTTCTACAAGGCTTTCAAAAATACAGTGCAATCAACTTCTGTGGGATAACAATTAGTTCTTAAGCCATGTTGCCCGTTAATTAGTGTTCCATGATTATATAAACCAGGTTAAGACAGAGACTAAGATCCAATCTCATAGCACACAATAATAAAATAACAGTTCTTCCAAAACTCAGCGATTTGCACCTCTGTAACAAAAGAGAGATGGGAGTATATATTTGTGTCAGAATTCCAGCAATGCTCTTCATTGACTGGAGGCCAACCAAAATTTCCACTAGATTTTTCCAAAACAGAAAATCAGCTTCTTACATCTAATCTATTTCTCAGCTTCAAAGATGATGGCATTTAAAGGCACCGTTAAAAAAAAAAAAAACACATACACACACACAAAACTTTTTCCTAAAATAAGGTCAGAATACTTCTTTTAAAGGATTAATTTCTCTATGTTTTACCTTGCTCCAAAACCAATTTGCCAAGAATCTTGCCTCTATAATTTTGTTCATGACTCAAGGAAAAAGCCTCTTTTGAGCTTTTAAAATCTTATCTATAGTACTTTTCTTCCAAAATGAAAAGTTTGCTCCTTTTTGTAATCTTCCAAATAGAGGTGGGTCTGGGTAAAATCAAATATGTTACTGTTTCCTCCAGGTAAAAATTAAATAATTCCATAGACTGTCTAATGAAGTTTATTTCTAAGCTGTGCATCTGTAAGCCCAGTAGAGTAGTGAAATCAATTTACTGAGTCACTAGCATTTAAATGAGTAGAACAGAATGGAAATTATCAGAGTGCACTGTCTCTAGTCTAGCAGTCACTACTCTTCTGTGAGACATTTGTGCCAGAAGAAACTCAGGTAAACTTCAGGGGTGTGTGTCTGTGTATGTGAACTTGAAATAAAAAATAAATTTCCCACTGTGAGTCATGGTCAAAACATGTTTGAGAAATGCTGATTTAAAGTGTTACAGAAAATGTTCCTGATTAAGAGATAAAGTCTCTAATTTTTCTGAAGGAGAACTGGGCTAAGAATTACAATAAAGCTTACAGGGAATTTTACAATAAAAGGTTTTACACAGACTTTAAACCAACAAAGATCAAAAGAGACAAAGAAGGGCATTACATAATGGGAAAGGGATCAATGAAAGAAGAAGAGCTAACTATCCTAAATATATACACACCCAACACAGGAGCACGCATATTCATAAAACAAGTTCTTGGAGACCTACAGAGAGACTTAGAATGCAACACAATAATAGTGGGAGACTTTAACACCTCCTGTCGACACTAGACAGATCAACCAGACAGAAAATTAACAAGGATATCAGGACTTGAACTCAGAATCTCTGGGACACATTTAAAGCAGTGTGTAGAGGGAAATTTATAGCACTAGATGCCCACAAGAGAAAGCAGGAAAGATCTAAAACTGACACCCTAACATCACAATTAAAAGAACTAGAGAAGCAAGAGCAAACAAATTCAAAAGCTAGAAGAAGACAAGAAATAATTAAGATCAGAGCAGAACTGAAGGAGATTGAGACACAAAAAACCCTTCAAAAAAATCAATGAATCCAGGAGCTGTTTTTTTGAAAAGATCAACAAAATAGATAGACTGCTAGCAAGACTAATAAAGAAGAAAAGAAAGAAGAATCAAATAGACACAATAAAAAATGATAAAGGGGATATCACCACCGTTCCCACAGAAATACAAACTACCATCAGAGAATACTATAAACACCTCTATGCAAATAAACTAGAAAATCTAGAAGAAATGGATAAATTCCTGGACACATACACCCTCCCAAGACTAAACCAGGAAGAAGTCGAATCCCTGAATAGGCCAATAACAAGTTCTGAAATTGAGGCAGTAATTAATAGCCTCCCAGCCAAAAAAAGTCCAGGACCAGATGGATTCACACCTGGATTCTACCAGAGGTACAAGGAGGAGCTGGTACCATTCCTTCTGAAACTATTCCAAACAACAGAAAAAGAGAGAATCCTCCCTAACTCATTTTATGAGGCCGGCATCATCCTGATACCAAAGCCGGGCAGAGACACAACCAAAAAAGAGAATTTTAGACCAATATCCCTGATGAACATCGATGTGAAAATACTCAATAAAATATTGGCAAACCAAATCCAGCAGCACATCAAAAAGCTTATCTACCTTGATCAAGTCAGCTTCATCACTGGGATGCAAGCCTGGTTCAACATATGCAAATCAATAAATGTAATCTATCACATAAACAGAACCAAGGACAAAAACCACATGATTATCTCAATAGATACAGAAAAGGCATTTGACAAAATTCAACAGCTCTTCATGCTAAAAACTCTCAATAAACTAGGTATTGATGGAATGTATCTCAAAATAGTAAGAGCTATTTATAACAAACCCACAGCCAATATCATACTGAATGGGCAAAAGCTGGAAGCATTCCCTTTGAAAACTGGCACAAGACAGGGATGCCCTCTCTCACCACTCCTATTCAACATAGTATTGGAAGTTCTGGCCAGGGCAATGAGGCAAGAGAAAGAAATAAACGGTATTCAATTAGGAAAAGAGGAAGTCAAATTGTCTCTGTTTGCAGATGGCCTGATTATATATTTAGAAAACCCAACCGTCTCAGCCCAAAATCTCCTTAAGCTGATAAGCAACTTCAGCAAAGTCTCAGAATACAAAATCAATGTGCAAAAATCACAAGCATTCCTATATACCAGTAAAAAACAGAGAGCCAAATCATGAGTGAACTCCCATTCACAACTGCTACAAAGATAATAAAATACCTAGGAATCCAACTTACAAGGGATCTGAAGGACCTCTTCAAGGAGAACTACAAACCACTGCTCAAGGAACTAAGAGAGGACACGAACAAATGGAAAAACATTCTATGCTCATGGATAGGAAGACTCAATATCGTGAAAATAGCCATACTGCCCAAGGTAATCTATAGATTCAATGCTATCCCCATCAAGCTACCATTGACTTTTTTCACAGAATTGGAAAAAATTAAAGCTGGAGGCATTACGCTATCTGACTTCAAACTATACTACAAGGCTAAAGTAATAAAAACACCATGGTACTTTTACCAAAACAGATATATAGACCAATGGAACAGAACAGAGGCCTCAGAAACAACGCCACATATCTACAATCATCTGATCTTTGACAAATCTGACAAAAACAAGCGATGGGGAGAAGACTCCCTATTTAATGAATGGTGCTGGGAAAACTGGCTAGCCATATGCAGAAAGCTGAAACTGGATCCCTTCCTTACACCTCATACAAAAATTAACTCAAGATGGACTAAAAATGTACACATAAGACCTAAAACCATAAAAACCCCAGAAGAAAACCTAGGCAATACCTTTCAGGACACAGGCATGGGCAAACACTTCATGACTGAAACACCAAAAGCAATGGCAACAAAGGCCATTGGAATCTAATTAAACTAAAGAACTTCTGCACAGCAAAAGAAACTACTATCAGAGTGAAAAGGCAACCTACAGAATGGGAAAAAATTTCTGCAATCTATCCATCTGACAATGGGCTACTATCCAGAATCTACAAAGAACTTAAACAAATTTACAAGAAAAAAACAAACAACCCCATCAAAAAGTAGGCGAAGGATATGAACAGACACTTCTCAAAAGAAGACATTTATGCGGCCAACAAATATATGAAAAAATGCTCATCATCACTGGTCATTAGAGAAATGCAAATCAAAACCACAATGAGATACCATCTCACGCCAGTTAGAATGGTGATCATTACAAAGTCAGGAAACAACAGATGCTGGAGAGGATGTAAAGAAATAGGAAGACTTTTACACTGTTGGTGGGAGTGTAAACTAGTTCAACCATTGTGGAAGACAGTGTGGTGATTCCTCAAGGATCTAGAACTAGAAATACCATTTGACCCAGCAATCCCATTACTGGGTATATACCCAATGGATTATAAATCATTCTACTATAAAGACACATGCACACGTATGTTTATTGCAGCACTCTTCACCATAGCAAAGTCTTGGAACCAACCCAAATGCCCATCAATGATAGACTGGATAAAGAAAATATGGCATATATACACCATGGAATACTATGCAGCCATAAAAAAGATGAGTTCATGTCCTTTGCAGGGACATGGATGAAGTTTTAAACCATCATTCTCAGCAAACTAACACAAGAACAGAAAACCAAACACTGCATGTTCTCACTCGTAAGTGGGGGTTGAACAGTGAGAACACATGGACACAGGGAGGGGAACATCACACACTGGGTCCTCTCAGGGAGTAGGGGGCTAGGGGAGGGATAGCATTAGGAGAAATACCTAATGTAGATGATGGGTTGATGGGTGCAGCAAACCACCATGGCATATGTATACCTATGTAATAAACCTCCACGTTCTGCACGTGTACCCCAGAACTTAAAGTATAATAAACCAAAACAAAACACACACACGCAAAAAGGTTTTACTTAAGAACATTAATGGTTAGAGGTCATAAGATTTAAAGGCATAAAGAGTTAGAGGATGTATGATCTTCTACTATATTTAAACAGCTCATGAGATTTAGGGTTTGTTTGTTTTACAATTATGTTTATATCTAAGAAAAGTTCTACCTAAAAAAGGAGAATTAAACAATTTTTAAATGTTTTCTATTTCATTGCTATAAAATAATTTATATTAACTGGGGATGGTATAATAACCGGTTATCATATTCACTGGTTTATTTTTGCCCTACATCCATGTAATTCTATTGAAAAAGTCTATTTCTGTAAGGTGTATTATGTCTTCAGCCCATCCTTACTTCTGACTCTAGCAGAGATTATCATGTGCAGACAGGCAGTCTGAAAGGTCACATCCTGTCCTCTTTGCAAGTGCTTGTGATTCTCTCCAGGCAGCAGAGAGAGACAGGCAGTGAGCACATAGACTCTAATGACTGAGCATTTGGAATTATTTCCTGGACATGCCCACGGGAGTGCTAGGGGTACTTCTGGACAACGTATGAATCAGCCTGAAAGATTCTTGGAGTGGAGAGCAGGGGAGGGGAGGGAGGGTGGGAAAGCTGTCATGTTTTTGCTTTACTTACATGGCTGGCCAGATGCTTCTGGTTCTTGGCGTGTGTCAGGGACAAGGTGCTGGAAGGCAGGATGTAGCTGGTGGCTTTCACTCTATCCCAGGCCTCCTTGTACAGGTTCTGCAGGAATTAAAGACCTTCTTGTGAATATGGGAAAATGCATCTGGTTAGCTTCTGAGTAGCAGGTTTTCCTTCTGTGTCTGTCCTTCTCACACACTCCCTACTAACTCCCAGGACTCCTCTTTAAGGTGGGGCTTATTTAATTGTACCTACTAGAATTTTATGAGGTAAAGTAAGATTGAAGGTCCAGGAAAAAACCATAGAAAAGCCTTTAGGGAAAGAGTGTCCATCCCATTTATTCTCTTACTGTCCCAGAAGGGGGAAAGGTGGCTCATATATAAGGGGGAAAAAAAACTCAACTCACACTGCTGTAAAGATTCTTCAGGTTTCTGGTTCTGTCATAATCCACTGTTTCTAGAACTGTTGTGTATTTGTCCTTAATCTGATGATAATTTTCTTTATATTTTACCTGTAGACAAGCAACAATAGGTTATTCACCTCTGTTGTTAGAAAATACATAAAGACAAGAAATAGTTTGTCCCTGGAAGAGGAGTACAGGAAGACGCACCTCACTGGCATTAATGCCACTCTGAACAGCAGTCACATAGAGGGGCGTGTCTGTGACCAGATTATAGTTTTGTAGATTTTCTTTACCTGCTGCTGTATATTGTAGCTGTGAAGAAAAACAAAAGTCATCAAAAATGGTAACATACAGGTCTGTCATCAGCTGTAGCTGCTTGTGCCAACTTACATGTGCCTTTATTTCTGGATTTCTGCTTTAATCCTAACAAACAGGCTGTCATTCTAGAGTCCTGCAGACTTTGTATGGCTGCCAGAATGAATAGCTTCTCTTGACTGAGACTGGGGTTGAGATTTTGGCCATTTTGTTGCCTTTTCCATGCCTATTCTCCATCCCTGACAGCAGCCCCTCACTTTTTTTTTTTTTTGGTTTCGAACACTTTTTTTTTTTTATTATTATACTTTAAGTTTTAGGGTACATGTGCACAATGTGCAGGTTAGTTACATATGTATACATGCCCCTCACTTTTAACATTCCATTACAACTGCCCTATCAGAGCTGAACCACGTGCTGAAAAGTTTTCCAGATACTGATCTTTTTCCTCCAAAACTTATCTACCTGTAATCAAAGGATGCTTCTACCTCCTACTCTCTGCAAGTTAACTTGATCAACTAAGGTACAGATGCTTGAGAGTAGTTCACTAAGAAACACCTCCCAGATAAGCTTTTATTATAAATGTGCATTGCCTTAAACCAAAGGAGAGACTCAGACTGGGAAGATCCAGCCCCAGAGCAGGACACTAGAAGAGCTTTGATTGGGAGAGGAGGGGCTTTGGTCAGTTAGAGCCTACACTGTTACAGCAACTTTCTTTGCCTGCCCATCAGCCCACTGACACCACCATGGATTCTGATGACCCATGGAGAACCAGTCCTTCTAGGAAGGTGGCTCACCTGACTCTGAAGGTCGTATGATTTCTTGGCATGGAGGATTTGGGGTGTATCCCAAACGTAGCAACCAATGCCTTTCAACCAATTCAGGTCATCTTTATACACATTCTGCAAGAAAGAGAGAACAATGAAATGTGGAAGGTATTCTGAATTTACAATTGAGCATTTGATAATTTCCTATCAGCTGTTGGCTGTGCTTATTGCTTAGAAGACATAGGGTAGGCCTCTCACCAGCTGGAAGGTCTTTAATTCCCAAGCCTAAAGAAGCTTGAGAGCAATATCAATGTCTGAGTCTATTGTGAAACCAATTAAATATTTAACATATGTGTCCTATGGCTTAGGGTGGATTCTTATACCAAAAAGTGGCTCATGCCACTTTGTTTTGAGAAGCAGCAAGATTTATGAATACAGGGACAACGGGAGCATGGCAGCCAGGGTTGGGGGGTAGCCAAGACACAGTCATGGAAGCTGTAGCTGAGTCAAGCTGCAGAAGGGACATCATACATCACTCAAGATCTCCTGGGCGTTTCGGACGCGTATAACATTGGGTTCTTCCAGAAGAGACGTCCACTGGTGGAAATAGTGTCGATACTCCAGGTCACTGAGGATGTACTGGCACCTTTTAGCCAGCACGTGATTCATCATGTCATTGGGGATATGAACATTTGCTTTGGTATCCTCATAATGTTTTCTGTAGTTCAACTAATATGTTTTAAAGACAAAAATAAGAAAGGGGTTTAAATGTAAATTATTCAGATCAATGTCTTTTAGATCCTTATTTCCCATATAGATCAGTATCTCTAGAATAAACTAAGGTTAATATATACTTTATTATATTCTTTATACTTTATATATATATACTTTATATACTTTAATATATTCTTCTTCTTTTGAAATTTCCCATCTTTTTTTTTTTTTTTTTTTTTGAGATGGTGTCCTACTCTGTTGCCCAGACTGGATTGCAATGGTGTGATCTCCACTCACTGCAACCTCTGCCTCCTGGGTTCAAATAATTCTCATGCCTCAGCATCCAGAGTAACTAGAATTACAGGCATGCACCACCACGCCCAGCTAATTTTTGTATTTTTAGTAGAGATGAGGTTTCACCATGTTGGCCAGGCCAGTCTCGAACTCCTGACCTCTGGTGATCTGCCTGCCTTGGCCTCCAAAGTGCTGGGATTACAGGTGTGAGCCATTTCACCTGGCCTGAAGTTTTCCATCCTTTTATAACACAGGGTAAATAGTGACCTTGATGCTTTTTCCTTTTCTGAACACAAAGCAGTCACAGTGTTAAATAGTCAGGGAGAAAGTGGCAGGGAGGAAGCACACAGCTACCAAGAGTCCACAGGCTGACTTGGAGGGGTGAGGAAAATCTCAGGAAGGACCCTACGCTACTCCATTTCCCAGCTAACCTGAACCAAAGGGCAAGTTATAAACAGGCAGACACGGCAGCACACTTATGGGGCACAAATCCCGTGTTAAAGTGGACATTTACTTACCGCACTCCTCATCTTTTGGAAATCCAGACAGTGAACCACACCAGGGAATTCACCGATCACTTTTCCAGCCAGGTAGTGACCTTTCTGCTTCTCATATGTCTCTTTGTATTTAAGCTGTAAAGTGGGTTAAACATTGAGAATCGCTGGAGTTTCCTAACCAGCCCCTTGATCCCCAGTAAAGACTCTCAAACTTAGGAGAGGAAAAGGTCATACTGACCTCACTGTTCACCAGATCAGCATGCTTGGCTCCAACAATGGGAATGTAGCGCTCATCCAGGGTGTAGCCATAGGCCTTGGTGCCCTCCCACGCCCCTTTATACAGTATCTAGAACAAAGAAATACATGGCAACAAAAGTTTTCTTTCAACTTCTTTCAGATACCACTAAAACAATTGGTCTAATTAAGGTGAAACATGTATGTTCAAGGCAAGGCTGAAATCTTTATCTATAGCCATTAGTGCATCTACCTAGAATAGGGCAGTTATTTGGTTTATTGCAAATTAAACTTACAGACTCGAGGCATTTTATTTTTTATTTTATTTTATTTTATTTTATTTTTATGTTTTTTGAGACAGAATCTTGCTCCATCACCCAGGCTGGAGTGCAGTGCCGTGATCTAAGCTCACTGCAAACTCTACCTCCTGGGTTCAAGAGATTCTCCTGTCTCAGCCTCCAGAGTAGCTGGGATTACACGCACGCACCACTATGCCTGGCTAATTTTTGTATTTTTAGTAGAGATGGGGTTTCACCGTGTTGGCCAAGCTGGTCTAACTCCTGACCTCAGGTGATCTACCAACCTCACCCTCCCAAAGTGCTGGGATTATAGGCGTGAGCCACCATGCCCAGCCAACTCTAGGCATTTTATAAGAGTTGACTATTTTTGCGGTCCTAGTAAAAGTGACAACAAATTTGCACACAGGGAGAGAACTGGCAAATATTCTTTCCCATTGGGTGCACACATGTACACTATTGGTCTCCTTTAAATTAGCTGAATGAAATTTTGGAGGGCAAGTTCTCCTCTTGTTGGCTAGAGATGCTGATGCGTGATTACTAAAGAGGGACCAACCTTACCTCCCTTTTCTCTATTGGTAGGTGCTCAATGCTATGTGCCCCCAGAGCACTTGTTAGATTATTATTCTATCAATTTAAGTCTGTTCCCCTCACTTGCACGATCTCCTGAAGGCTTGTCTCATTGAGCTTTAGCCCCTCATTGCCTCCTAAAGAGCCCGGCACATCACGGGAGCTCAAAAGCACCAGCTGAATAAACGCTATTTGCCTTGAATAACATGGTACTTCTAATACACAAGACTAAGTGCAATGGGAAAATAAATAATAGATTGGCTTATAAGTTCAGCAGTTGACAAAATCAGCCAAGAATATGAATGCAACAAGAGCTTCAAATTAGAAATTGAGTGGTTATTACATAAAAGAGAACTTACAGTACTGTAGAGTTTTCCCATGTCTTTGGAGTGGGAGATATGTGGTGTATCTGGTGAAAACGTATATTTGCCCTTTGCTTTATTAAATGTTTCTTTATATTTTACCTAAGGAGAGAAAACCAAATCTTTTATTACTATAAATGAATATTAAATTTTTATAAGATTACCTAGAAACATAATCAGTCCACGTTTAAAGATTAAAACTAACCAACTGGTTGAATTTTAGCCCATTTTAGCTAAAACAATAGAATAATTTGGATAGGAATATAGATATCTAAAAGTGAATACAATTCACCACCTGCTAGTGACTTTTAAGACATACCCCCCAAAGATGATCTTAGAATTTACCACCTCCCAATTTTTTTACAAGCAATTATCTAAAGTTAAGCTAATCCACCCAATGATAGACAATTTACTCCCCAGTCTGTGCACTTCAGCATGCACAAAGCAAACTTACATCACTTTGATTGACAGAATTAATCTTGGCTAAAACAATCTCTGGAGGATCCACCACACTTCTAAAGTTAGGATAGTTTTCAAGGGCATTTTTCTTATATTTGATCTGTAAAGAAACGGAGACAATTAAGACAGGTCTACCACCACAGGTTATCTACCCCAACATGGCAGGTAGGAGGACAGGCATAGGTTAGAAGGAGAATAGGCTTTGCGTACCTGACTCATCATTTCCTGGTTCTTAGTAACCCTTACATGGTCCACAGAATCCAGTGGGATCCAGCCAATGCCTCGGAGCCACTCCAGGTCAGCTCTGTAGACATTCTGAGAGCAGGAAGAGAGATATAATGGAGGAATAAATGACTGAGACACAGGCTTACAGAGGGCAGGTTACAATTTTTTCAGAAGCTTTTAAAGGATTTCTCTCTAGTAGTTTTCTCATTCATTCAATTGTGATTTCACCTGAGCAATATTTCTTGAGGCTGTTACTGTGCATGAGGCACTATGCTTGGTGTTTTGATGAATAAGTATAAAGAAGGAGTCTAGGAGTTGAGATAAGTCATTTATAAAGCAAGAAGTGCTGTTAGATCGAGTGCTCAAATGCTATTGGAGTTGAGGGGAAGGGGCTGTTATTTTCTGCTATCGTCATAAGAAAAGGCTTACCAAGGAGGTTGTACTTTTAGATGGATTTGATACATTTAGTCACGTAGAAGTATGTGGGGCATTTAGACTAAATGAGGGAAACTACACAAGTAAATATTCACGTATTGGGTAGGGGAGGCATCCCCTGGGTCCCAGCCAAACCTATTCTTGCCCTTACGCCTTCAAGAACCTAGATTCTCCCAGCCAACTCGACATGAAAATAAGAAGAGTTGCTATTCTGATTTAAGTTCCACAACAGCTATTTTGCTGCAGCAACCAGTGAGGTCAGATGTTCAAGTTCAACATCTATGCTGCAGCAGTCTTTGACTTCCAGGTTCCCTTTTGTTAATGATGAGAAGACCCAGGGAGCATTAGCTTCTCTGGGCACCTAAGCAACTAAGTTGATGCATCCAGTTACTGTTCTGCACATGCAGAAGGCTGGTGGCAAGTAGAGATCTTGATTCAGGCTTCAGTGGGAGGTAGGTTATGTCTTATTCTCTATCCTAGCTTTACCAAAGCTCTGCATGAGGCATACTGGGCCCTCATGCAGCTT
The DNA here is from genome assembly GCF_000001405.40 of Homo sapiens. NCBI lineage: Eukaryota > Metazoa > Chordata > Mammalia > Primates > Hominidae > Homo > Homo sapiens. The sequence continues at coordinate 151,566,692 of NC_000002.12, forward strand.
AATCAGTATTTTGTTTCTCTTTTGCTTTGCGAACAACTTCATAAATGCCGTGAGGAATGAGATGCTTGGCAAAGCAGGAATAGGGCATGCTTAGGTCTTTAACTGTGCTATCATCTAATATTGTCAAAACCTCAACTCATTCTCAATTCCCACCCAAGCCAATTATTATTTTCCATCAGCTGATACTTTTCTATGTGAATGTGAGTGAGGAGTTGCTGATGGCCAAAATGGTACAAAAGCAGCAGATTTTTTTTAAAAAAATTTGATTGAAAGTTACTCAGAAATGCAGTCAGTAGGCAAACCAATCAATCCATCACTGCTCCTGATCTTTCTTCATATCCAGCCTCAATTCCCTTTGGGAACAAATTAAATATCGATGGCCTCAAATTTCAAGCACTTGTGGATCTGGGATGTTGCTCATCATTCTCAGAGTGTACCATGCGTTTCTAGATAATGAAGAAACAAAAATCACTTACATCACTCTGTAGGTCATAGGCCTTTCTTGCCTGAATAACATCGTTCTGGTCAGGATGACACATCCATTGGTGCAAGTAATTACGATAATCAATATCACTGACAAGGGTCTGCCCCTGCTTGGCGGCCAAGACTGACACCATATCAGCAGGTATATTGATTTTGGCCTTTGTTTTGTGATAGTCCTCTTTGTATAGTCTCTCATTCTGAATCTGGCCTGCATGCTCAAACCAAACCAGCTTAGGATCATCTCTCATCGTCGGGACACCAACATAATGACCTTTTTGCTTCACATGTTCAGCTTTGTATTTCAGCTGGCGAGAAGAGGAATATAAATTCCATCAGTTTTGACAAGCACACAAGGCAGAGGGGGCTTGATCATCTACTAAGGGATATCAGCAAATTCAGCCCCCCAGCTTTTTGTTTGACACCCCCAACTCTGAGAGCAAATAATAAAAAGCATTGAAATAAATCCATATGAAGAAACACCCATTTAAAAATAGAAAAATATTCTGCTGAGATAGCCCTAAAAATGATAAAAATAAAATTTAAAAAATAAAAATAGAGAAAAAATATATACTTGTTCTCTGATTCTGGCAATATTTTTATTCAAAGGCCTAAAGATTTTAGGGAGGGCAGAGAATATAAGAAAAAGTAAAGAATTTGAACAATTGCTTTTAAAAAAGCCAAGGGGGGTGGTGGGCGGGTGAAGAAACAAGAAAGCTCAAAGCCCATGGAAGAAAGACCGAAAAGTGAGCAGGTACTCCAACCATCACCAAGCCTGGCCAGGTCTGCCACACTGAAACTGAACACCTGGAAGGTGCTATCTCTGCCTTTGGCATAACTGGAATCCCTGGGAGCAAGGTCCCACTTTTGCAAAATGCACTCCCATCAGGATGTATTACCTCACTCTGAACGTCATTGCAGTGATGGGCATGAACAAATGGCACAGCATCTGGAGGCAAAATGTAACCTGTGGCTTTTTGTCTCTCCCAGCCTTCCTTGTAGAGATACTGAAAGACAGAGCCACCATAAAGGGTTAAAATGAGGAGTCAGAAGGGAGGGGTAAGTTGTGTGCATAATTATCCTACAGTTCCATTAAGGCCCTCCACTCGTACACAAACACCAGGCATGTGGGTGAAACCCATACCTGGTCCAGTATCCTAGCAGCCTCCTGGGCAGTGTGCAGCAGGGGGGTTTCTGTGAGGGTGTACTTTGATTTGGTGGCATTCCAGTCTTTCCGGTATTTAATCTAAAAAAAAAAAAATGAGAGGCAAGGGGGCAAGTTACTTGTTAAGAAAGCATCATGTTGTCCAAGCAATTGTTAGCATCCATCATTTCAATGATTAAAATCTGTATTTCAGATGATTGCATTCTGAGTGTAAGTAGATGGAAAAGCTTTGGAAGTGATATCTGCATCACTGTGAGATTTTAAAACAGCCATATACTTACATCATCGAGGATCTCGCCACTTTGTTTCGCTGTCACATAATCAACTCTGTCATCCACAGGCGTAAAGTTGAGAGTTTCTATTTTTGTGCGATATTTTTTCTATGGGAAAGAAAGCATCTTTTAGATAGTTGTAATTCCTAGACATGTGTGAACTGAGAAGATACACTAAATTTAGAGTCCTTCTCTACTAGAAACATACAGTGCCGTATTTGAATAGCGTCTTCTTGGGAATTTGGCTTTCTTTTTAGCATTTTATTTTTTAAACAAATGCATCAGCTTCTTATGCCTCCCACAGATTTTAAAGTAGGAAGTTTGCTTAGCTCTCAAAGTTATATAATGTATCATTATGTGTACTGTAATGCACATTTTTCCAACGAAACAAACTTTTCCCAAGTATATTGCTATTGCTGACAAAAAGATTTTTCCATTTATACAATGCCAAGCATCAGTGAGTGTGCTGGATATTATATTATGGATGTGGTCCCATAATGTGATAGCGACAGTACATTTTGAAAAATATATATGCTCAGTTTAAATCACAGCAATTGAAATGGTTAAGATTGCTGATATTAGATGACTATATTTTAGCTTGTGCATTTTGTCACTTTCTTGGGAAATGTACTGAATGTCAGGGTAAAATCTTGGAATACCTCACTGAAGATGTCCGCGGCATGTTTGGCATGATTGACGGACACGGAGTCATTTGGCATCCACCCAATTCCACGCAACCATTCCAAGTCAGCCTTGTAAACATTCTGTGAAAACAGGGCCAGAATGAGTTCAGCAACCCTGGTCATGTGGTCCTAGTTAGCCTATCCATTGGTCTCATGAAGAAATACAATGTAAATGCTATATAAGCCAAGGAGGACATACTCAAGCAGCCACGCAGGTAATGTAAGAAAATTAATTAGGCGGCCAGGCAGTGTGACAAACGATAGCATATATTTTTATTTAAAGGGGGTTATCCTTGATTCCATTCTGGTTATTGTTACTAAGGGATAATTCAGAGCTGTGTCCTCTGAATTTCCAAGAGAAATGGGAAATCCGACATTTGTACACAAAAATTTTTGGATTTTAAAATCTTGGCAACTTAATTCAAAATTTCTAAACACTGTATCAATTAAAAAAGCATGTCTGTGCCTACATCCTGTCCATGGGCTGCCAATATTTTACTGGATATAAGCCTCTATTGCTATCTAAATTCTATAGAAAGAATATTTTCACAGTTTTCTTTAATCTGATACAATTAAGACCTGTATTCATACTACCATTTATTTCTTGATATAAAGTCCAGGTCCTTCTTGGATTTGGTGATTTTGATACCATACTATAAGGTCTCACTAATATTAAATTCTTGGTGATATGAAGTCGTAAAATGATGACAGAAGGGGTTAGTGTCATAAACTCTCTGGAAGTCATGGCAAACTGAGAAAAGAGTTCAACCCCAAATGCAGCCCACTCACATCGCTCTGCAGTTCGTAGGCCTTCTTGGCCTGAATCACATCGTTCTGGTCGGGCATGCAGGTCCACTGGTGCAGGTAATTGCGGTAATCCATGTCACTGACCAGAGCCTGGGAATTTTTAGAGTGCAGGATGGAAAGCATGTCCACAGGGCTCTGGATCTTGGCCTTCCATTTGGCCCAGTCCAGCCGGTACTCTCGTTCATTCTGGAGCTTGTCAGCTATGAGGGCCCAGCGGATCTTGTTGTCATCCCTGGCTGTGAGGGTGCCCACGTAGTGTCCCTTCTGCTTCTCATGGTCAAGCTTATATTTATACTGGAGATGCAAAAATAAAGCAGATGGGTCACAGCATGTCCTCTTGATGCACCTAGGGCATCGGCTGAAAAAAAAAAACTGAGAAGTTAAAAAAGGCCACTCACGTCACTGGCAATCTCCCTGGAGGCCTTGGCAGCCTGGATGGGGATGGCATCCAGCCGGACATCACAGCCCGCCTTCATTTCATCCCAGCCCTCACGGTAAAGTTTCTGAAAAGGAGAAAAATAAGGTATCATCCTAGATTCAAATTTGCCAATACCTTCAATGGCTCAGGTGGAATTAATACCACAGGGGCACAGTTTTGAAGCCCAAGGACTTGAGAGCAGTTAAAGAAGAGCATAGATGAGAATCATTCTATGCACCATTGTCCTGGAACATGTAATGGTGTCTGGAGTCCAAAGGTCTGGGCTTGACAATCTCCTTTCTTTTGTTTTTATTATTTTTAATGTTTTATATTTTATTTTTATGGGTACATAGTAGGTATATACATATTTATAGGGTGCATGAGATATTTTAATATAGGCATACAATGGGTAATAGTCACATGAGGATAACTGGGTATCCACCACCTCAAGCATTTATCATGTCTGTGTCATAAACATTCCAATTATACTCTTTTTCTTTTTTTTTGAGACGGAGTTTCGCTCTTGTTGCCCAGGCTGGAGGGCAATGGCACCATCTCGGCTCACCCCAAACTCTGCCTCCCAGGCTCAAGCCATTCTCCTTCCTCAGCCTCCCGAGTAGCTGGGATTACAGGCATGCGCCACCAGGCCCAGCTAATTTTGTATTTTTAGTAGAGACAGGGTTTCTCCATGTTGGTCAGGCTGGTCTCAAACTCCTGACCCTCAGGTGATCCACCTGCCTCGGCCTCCCAAAGTGCTCCAATAATATTCTTTCAGTTGTTTTCAAATGTACAATAAATTTTAAATTTGAATGATAGCCTTGAAGTAGTTGCTCATGCTTTATAATCTCGTTCATAAAAAGGGTTTGGCTTTGTTTTCTTGTGTTGGTGTATTGGTAACATTGAGATAACTTTAGACATTAATGGGTTATTGAATTTCTTTAATGCAATAATTCAATTTATTTATCTCTAATTCAATTCAGTTTTGTAACCTTCAGAATTGTAAACTTGTTACATTTGTGGGTTTTTTTCAATATGGCTTTTTTGATCTTATATGATTAATGATCCATATCATTTGGTAATGTTAGATCTTCCGCTGAAGCATGATTGGATGTCACAGCTATTTTTTTGGTTGTAAAGAGAAGTTAACTAAAGTAGTGACTGATTTACAAGTATTTTAAAAATGTATGTAAATATATGTTCATATTTTAATGGATACATTGTGTATTAACAAATAACAGAGAGACTCGGAAATAATAGTAATTTAAACATATAATTCACAAATCATACCTATCAGTAGGGGATCTTCTACAGCACAGAAAGAAGTGGATTTTAATTAGTGACAGTTTTGTAGCTTTTGCATGTCTGAAAAATGAGTGCTCAAATTTTATCCTTGTAAGCATGGACAGGTTTTATATGAATTTTCAATCAAGCTTTTGTATAAATTTTGAGTAGGCCTATTTTGACAACTGACTTGTTTTCTGTACAGAAGAAAAAATATTCTCCATATTAAAATGTACAAGAAGGGCTGGGTGCAGTGGCTTACGCCTATAATCCCAGCACTTTGGGAGGCCGAGGCAGGTGGATCACTTGAAGTCAGGAGTTTGAGACCAGCCTAGCCAACATGGTGAAACCTTGTCTCTATTAAAAATACACAAATTAGCTGGGTGTGGTGGCACACACCTGTAATCCCAGCTACTAGAGATGCTGAGGCAGGAGCATCGCTTGAACCCGGGAGGCAGAAGTTTCAGCAAGCTGAGATCACGCCACTGTACTCCAGCCTGGGTGACAGAGCAAGACTCCCTCTCAAAAAATAAATAAATAAAGTAATTAATTAATTAAACTACAAAATAGTTAATGCAAACGTGTATTATGTTATCTTTTTACTTTTTGTTTTCATTCTATTTTATTATGCACATTTTCACACTATTTCTTATGTAATGCTTTTTATGAGATTGAATATATATATTGAATATTTATATATATTGAATATTTATATATATATATAAAATATATATATAAAAGTATATATATATATACTTTTTTTTTTTTGACAGAGTCTCGCTCTGTCACCCAAGCTGGAGTGAAGTGGCACGATCTCAGCTCACTGCAACCTCTGCCTCCTAGGTTCAAACGATTCTTGTGCCTCAGCCACCCAAGTAGCTGGGATTACAGGTGAGCCACCACTATGCCTGGCTATTTTTTGTATTTTTAGTAGAGATGGGGTTTCATTCATCACGTTGGCCAGGCTGGTCTCGAACTCTGGCCTCAAGTGATCCACCCTCCTCAGCCTCCCAAAGTGCTGGGATTACAGGCATGAGCCACCATGCCCAGCCAAGTATGTATATATTTTTAACTAAAAAAAAAAAAAAAAAGCCCGGGGCCTGAGACCCAATGTTTTCAGCTACTAACTTTGAGAACATGGGAAAATTTCTTAACTTTTAAAAATCTCAATTTACCATCTGATAAAAACAAAATAACAATATCTTACTCAATGTAGTGAGCATGAAGATTACATGAGTCACTTTAACGTGAATTTGCTTTGTTACCCATAAAATCACATACAAATATTCTGCTAAAGTTGTGCTTTCTAAATAACGGCAGCAGTTTTAAATTGTGGGTTTAATCAAGATTACAGTAATGGTGATACACTTGTAAAGAAAATGCTGTATAGTTTGGTTAGCATTCAAATGGGGTGTTTGATTTCTTCCAAAATGGAAGTCATTCTCATTAATATCTTAATAAAGTTAATAATTTTACTTTTAGCATAATTTTGAATATTAGTCTTGTTCATATAATATCAATGGTAAGGTTCTGGTGTTTTCAGCTGAGAAATTTATCATGCAAAAGAGAGCATATGTGACTTTCCAGAATTCTCCTGCCACAGATGCCTATGGATTGAGTGGGAAGAGGCGTCTATACTGCAGTGAAGAACTGACTACCCCTTGATTCAGCCTCTTGACAAGAATGCGCTGCACCATGATATTGATATCTGGTCCAAAAGAGAAAATACATCAGCGCCCTAAAATTATATTTTCTTCTTAAACACTGGAAAACATTAGTCCCCAAGTGGCTCATTATACCAGAACTTATAGAGCTGTTTGGCACATGGTGAGGAATCTTTGCTGGCAGCCTCCTTCTCTCACAAAGACATATTATTCTTTTGAAAGCATGCAAAGTTTCAAGCCTTGGCAAATTGCACTAAGGTAGTATCCTTCTTCTTCTGAGGTCATACTATTCTACACACAAGTAATTTCTGCGATCCATGAAAATGGTATCTTCCTTGAACTTTCTTGAATTGTGTAGCCAGCCACGTAACTGGATTATCTTGTACTCACAAATAGTTTTTTTTTTCCTCAGTTGATTCTCTTTTTTAAGACTTAAAATGACTTCTTCTGCAAATAATGATAATTTGGCCTCTTTCTTTCCAATATTTATCTTCTGTTCTTACTCTTTTTTGTTTGTTTGTTTGTTTTTTAAGACAGAGTCTCGCTCTGTCGCCCACGCTGGAGTACAGTGGCGTGATCTCGGCTTACTGCTAGCTCCGCCTCCTGGGTTTCACGCCATTCTCCTGCCTCAGTCTCCTGAGTAGCTGGGACTACAGGCACCCACCACCACGCCCAGCTAATTTTTTGTATTTTTAGTAGAGACAGGGTTTCACCGTGTTAGGCAGGATGGTCTCGATCTCCTGACCTCGTGATTCGCCTGCCTTGGCCTCCCAAAGTGCTGGGATTACAGGCGTGAGCCATCGCGCCAGGCATGTTCTTACTCTTGAGTAATTATATTAGCATCAATGAGAATCTCACTCACTTAGCCAATACTTCCAGCAAATGTTAAATAATGATGATATTAGGGGCACCCTCATTTTAATCCTGATATGAATGAGAAGTTTGGTCACTGAGGATGAGTTGGCCTTTGATTTGAGATTTATTTTTCAGTCATGTTGAGAAAATATTCATTTATTCTTTCTTAACTAAGATTTTATTTTTAAAAAATAAGAATGGGTATTGGATTTTGTCAGATGCCATGTAAATCTAATAAAATGAGCCTTTTCTTCTTGTTCTATGGCACTATTAGGTCTCTGACTATGGGGCCCTCTTGGCATTCCTGCATGAACCCCAGTTGATTATATCTTATCATTTTAATGTAATGCTGAATTTGATTTATTAATATTTAAGATTCCCCCCATTATTGGTCTACAGTTTAAATTTTATTTATTTATTTATTTATTTATTTGAGACAGGGTCTTGCCCTGTCACCCAGGCTGGACTGCAGTGGCATGATTATGGCTCACTGCAGCCTCTTCCTCCTGGGCTCAAGTGATCCTCCCACCTGAGCCTCCCAAGTAACTTGGGCCACAGGTGCACCTCACTTTGCCCAACTAATTTATTTATTTTTTATTTTCTTGCAGAGATGGGGTCTCCCTATGTTGCCCAGACTAGTCTTGAACTCCTGGGCTCAAGCAATCCTCTGGCCTTGACCTCCCAAAGTACTGGGATTATAGGCATGAGCCACCATGCCCAGCTGGTCTATAGTTTTTAATTTGTGACACTATCTTTGAAAAGTTTTGGTAATTGCAATGGATTTCCTTCTTTTACTAGGCTCCTGGTAATTTATTTATTTATTGAAGTTTTGAAATAATCAAGGGGACCCTGACACTTGAAAGTAGGAAGAAAAGTGTTTAAATGTTCTCCTTAATTTCTTAATTAAGAAACCTCTTAATTTCTTGCTGTATGTTTTTTGGTTTTTTCTCCTTGGGTCAATTTTGGTCACTTATGATTTTCTAGAAAACCCCCCGAGGTCCATGTTTTAAAATTAATTCATATATTTTTACAAAGACTTCTCATAATTATTTTGAGTCTATCTGAGTCTATCGTTAATTCTCTTTTCTTGTTTGTGCATCTCTTCATTCGTCTTTCACCTTCTTTGTCCCCTTATTCAAAAAGGACAACTAAAGAGACTTTTGTTGTGGAGATATTGACTCACCAGTAACTGGCCTTGCCCAGTGAATCACCAGGGATCTCCTCCTTGCCTCACTCCTAGTCAAGGGGTGACCACAAGGAGTCTTCCCCTGTTGCGGGAAGTCAGGGACCGAGTCCATCTTCCCTCCCTTCCATGCTCATAGTATAGCCCTGACTGGGTAACTTTCCAAACAAAAAGAGAGTCTGTTGTAGTACTTACATTGCTCACATTAAGAGCATTTGCTCTAGCGAGATTAATTTCTGGAGTATCTGGCATTATGTGTATTGAAGTTTTATCCTTGTCCCAAACCTCTCTGTACTTTGGCTGTGGAAAGAAACAAAAATAATAAAATTACTTCACAATTTTCATGTTGCTAGTCCCACTATGCAACTTTTAAATTTTCTTTTGGATTTGATCCAAAACCCTTTCATGTTAGGGCAAAGATTTCTGGAATCTTTTCACGTAAGTTACTCAAATTTGATATAAAATCTGTATTATTCCCTTTTATTAGAGTTTTTGCTTAAAATTAATAAGCAAACCAAGACAATACTGTATTACTTAATAAAATTTTTGTTATTAATAAAGTTTTTATTATTCTAAAATAAATGACCAGGTTTATTCTTTCTCATCTATTTATGGCATTAATTCAATTTTAATAGAGAAAAACTAACTCACAATACTAATATTTTCAGCATTTGATTTAGCAAGGACCACTTCAGGTGTGTCAACAATGCTTGTGTACTTAAGGTTCACCACAGGCGTCCGATAGACACTGTCACAAAAGATATTCTGGGCGTTTTTGACTCTCAACACTTCAGGAGACCCTTGGGGCATCCAGCCAATGCCACGCAACCACTCCAAGTCAGCCTTGTAGAGGGCCTGAAAAAGAAAACACAGGTAGAAGCAGGGTTTGTGTTTTGTTGTGTATGTGTGTGGTAAAATAAGGACAGTTTTTATGTTGTGTGTGTATATATTATATATACAACATAAAATATATATAACATAAATACATATATATATATATATATATATATATATATATTTTTTTTTTTTTTTTTTTTTTTTTTTTTTTTTGAGACAGAGTCTCATTCTGTCACCCAGGCTGGAGTGCAATGGCACAATCTCAGCTCACTACAAACTCCCCTTTCCAAGTTCAAGCAATTCTCCTGCCTCAGCCTCCCGAGTAGTTGAGACTACAGGCACGTGCCATGATGCCTGTCTAATTTTTGTATTTTTTTTAGTAGAGACGGAGTTTCACCATGCTAGCCAGGCTGGTCTCAAACCCCTGACCTCAGGTGATCCACCCACCTTGGCCTCCCAAAATGCTGGGATTACAGGCATGAGCCACTACGCCAGGCCTCTTTTATTTTATCTTCCACAAACAATAATTAAAACAGAGCACTAGCCTGACAAACATAATTCCTCAAATGCACAATGGCATTTCATTTTGCTTGGTTTTCTGTGGCAAGGGTCTGTGTGGTAGTGCCCATGTGCATTCTAAAAGGCAAAGTGATGCAGAAGCAGCTCTCCATTTGAGGGACTGCATGGAAGACTTCTGAATAATATTTAGGTTATCATCATACCATTACCAATGCAGACTTTAAAGCAACAATAATGGGCTTTCTAGTAAGTTCTCTACACAGCAGCCAGAATGATCTTTTCAAAATTCAGAATTCAAATCCGATGTCACAACATTCCCCCATCCTATGGCTTCCCATCGGTCATAGGATAAACATCAAAATCCCTGACACAGACTAGAAGGGATGAATGGTCTGGCACCAGTCCCCACCTATTCTTCCAGCCTCGTGTCATCTGTACTTCCATTGGCCCTGTGTGTCCTGATCACACAGCCTGTCTTTCAATTCGTAGTCTCATCAGCCCTCTTTGCACATGTTGGTCACCCTGAAGGAATGCCCCATGTCCTCCTAACCAACCCAACTTCTATTCTTCCTTCATATCTCTGTAAAATCAGTGCCTTCTCAGAAGAACTTTCTCGATCTCTCTTCATAGCACCATGGATCACTCTCAGCCATTCCATTTTTATTCTTTAATGAACATCTAGGTCTCGGTTATCAATGTGAACTCCCTAAAGTCAGGAGCTGTCATGTTTTTTGTTTGCCTTTGAGACGGAGTCTCACTCTGCCACCCAGGCTGGAGTGCAGTGGCAATCTCGGCTCACTGCAACCTCTGCCTCCTAGGTTCAAACGATTCTCCTGCCTCAGCCTCCTGTGTAGCTGGGATTACAGGCACATGCCACCACGCCAGGCTAATTTTTGTGTTTTTAGTAAAGACAGGGTTTCACCATGTTGGTCAGGCTGATCTTGAAATTCTGGACCTTGTGATCCACCCACCTCAGCCTCCCCAAAGTGCTGAGATTACAGGTGTGAGCCACAGCGCCCAGCCTATGTCATGTTTTTTCTTCTTCTTTATTCACCATGGTATCTTTAGTGCTTAGCACAATGCCTGGCACATGGTGTGTTTAATAAGTATTTTTAAAAGGATGATTAAGAATTCGATCACTACTTCCACAATTTTGGTCTCCAGAAACTGTCTTAAATATACCACTTGGCAATGCATTTTAAGTGATGAGCATGCTTTCCTGTAATGAACTCATTCATTATAAAAAAGTACCTCTGGAAGCTTAAGGGAACCAAGGTCAGATAATTTTTAAGTTATCCATTCTATACAGGAAATAAATAACCTTCTGTAATCCATCATTTCCAAAAGTTTGAAGGGCGGAAAATACGAGTAAATCTAAAAATGCCTTAGGTGAGTTAATGAAAGACCACATTGTGAAGAACGTCAAGTAAAAGGAAACAAGTGGTCTGGAGTGTGCTGCTAACTTTTCAAATTAAGTTTGAGGAAGATGGTCCTGCCCTTCTTTGATTCATAGCTGAAGGACCATGGACATTCTTCTGTTTAAGAAACTGCCCCAGCACTTTGGGAGGCCAAGGCAGGTGGATCACCTGAGGTCAGGGGTTTGAGACCAGCCTGGCCAACATGATGAAACCCTGCCTCTACTAAAAAATAAAAAAATCAGCCGACTGTGGTGGCATGTGCTTGTAATCCCAGCTACTTGGGAGGCTGAGGCAGAAGAATCGCTTGAACCCGGGAGGCAGAGGTTGCAGTGAGCTGAGACTCCAGCCAGGGCCACAGGGCAAGGGAAGGAGGGAAGGAGGGAAAGAGACAAGGAGGGAAGGAGGGAAGGAAGGAAGGAAGGAGAGAAGGAGGGAAGGAAGGAAGGAAGGAGGGAAGGAAGGAAGGAAGGAGAGAAGGAAGGAACGAAGGAAGGAATGAAGGAAGGAAGGAAGGAAGGGCGGGCAAGGCTGGGCATGGTGGCTCACTTCTGTAATCCCAGAACTTTGGAAGGCTGAGACGGGTGGATCACCTGCGGTCAGGAGTTCAAAACCAGCCTGGCCAAGATGGCAAAGACCTGTCTCTAATAAAAATACAAAAATCAGCTGGGTGTGGTGCACATGCCTGTAATCCCAGCTACTTGGGAGGCTGATGCAGGAACATCGCTTGAACCTGGGAGGCGGAGGTTGCAGTGGGCTGAGATTGCACCACTGCACTCCAGCCTGGGTGACAGAGCAAGACTCCATCTCAAAAAAAAAAAAAAAAAAAAAAAAAAAGTAAGAAACTGGAAACACTGTACACATTAACAAATCTATAGGAAAATTCTGGTAGCACCTTTAACAATGAAAACTTTCTGAAGAAACCTGGCTGTAGGTAGGCAATTAATAATTCTGATAAAATAATAATAAAGTGGAGTGCCTACGTACAGAGAGTTGTGTTTTCAGAGCATTGGAAGGAGCCATCAGGCAAAGCAATGGGGGACTTGTTTCCTGGGCGACACACTTACGTCGCTCTGTAGGTCGTAGGCTTTCCTGGCTTGGATCACATCATTCTGGTCGGGAAAGCAAGACCAGCGGTGCAGGTAATGGCGATAGTCCACATCACTTGCCAGTGCCTGACCTTCTTTGGCAGCGCTGATGGACACCATGTCCACAGGGATGGAGATCTTGGCTTTGTGGTCGTTGTAGGCCTTTTTGTACAGCCTGTCATTCTGCATCTTCAACACATTTGCTGCCCAAACCAGTTTAGGGTCTTCCTTGGCGCTGCGACAGCCAATGTAATGGCCTTTCTGTTTCTCATAAGCAGTTTTGTACAGATACTGGTAGATGTGAACAGAAAATAGAAGAGTAATTTTTCCAAACCCACTTTTTCTAGAGAGCCTACTCAAACTAACTCCATCTCCCTTAGTTTACCTTTTTTGGGGGGGTCGGGGAATACTGTTTTTATTTAAATTCAAGCCATAAGTTTTGATACATTGGTTTGTCTTCTGTGTCTACATGCATGAAAACATTGAGAGCATCTCTTAGGCAAGAACTGTGTTGCTGGATTATCTCCCAATATAGCCTGGCCACCTTCAGATGTTTTGTCACACACAAGTACCAGTTGTACTTCTTATTACTTTAAATCAAATTAATTCTTTGTTGAAATTTTTTTTATTTTACTTTTCTTTTCTTTTTTTTTTTTTTTTTTTTGAGACAGAGTCTCGCTCTGCTCCCCAGGCTAGAGTGCAGTAGCACGATCTCGGCTCACTTGCAATCTCCACCTCCTGGGTTCAAGTGATTCTCCTGCCTCTGCCTCCCCAGTAGCTGGGATTACAGGCATCCGCCACCATGCCCAGCTAATTTTTGTATTTTTAGTAGAGACAGGGTTTCACCGTGTTGGCCAGGCTGGTCTCGAACTCCTGACCTCAAGTGATCCACCCGCCTTGGCCTCCCAAAATGCTGGGATTACAGGCATGAGCCACCATGCCTTGCCTGAAATAATTTTTAATTATAAACTTATTTTAAAATTTTATTTAAAAATGTATAACCCTATCTACGTGGAAAAAAACAGTGTATTTCTAGCACACATTAAAACAACCATATAACTATTTTAAAAAAATACTTGTGCATGTACTACATAAAATTATTATAGGAAACACCGGTAGTATACACGCCACACTTTGAGTAACAACAGAATTCTCTGTACTATGAAATTAAATCTCTTTAAGTACTTGTAAATTAAGTGACATTGTGAAGATATTGAAAAGAAAATCAAAATCTGTGCTTAAACGCAAGAGTTGCAGAACCAAACATAGATGCAAAAGGATCCTCAGATTGTAAGAGTTGTTCTTGAATTTAGGATTTACAAATATACTAATAACAATGACCCAATTCCATTTAAATATAATTCAAAGGGCATTAAGTTAAACTCCCTCTATTTCTACTAGTTAGTGTTTGTTCCGGTTGGGAAGGAGGAGCTCTTACGTCACTGGCAATATCCCTGGAAGCCTTGGCATGCTGGATCCCAATGGCATCTGCTCGCAGGTCATAACCAGTCATCTTGACATCTTCCCAAGCTTGCTGATAGCGTTTCTGCAAACAGAGAGTGCAATGCCACAGTCAGTCTGAAGAGGGAGCTACTGAGTCAGCATTACTGATGTATTTAAAAATAGATATTTACAGTTACACTGAACATTAATGTCTCCTTAAGATTTATGAAAGAGTCTGGTTTCATATTGAGCTTGAATTCCAGTAGATTTTTAATGACATTTAGTAAAGCTCTCTCCCAATAATTATTTTTTGAAGAAGGAAACTTAGGAGATAATAAATCATGTAAAAATCAGAAAAAAACATATTGCTTGGCTTTTACAAGGAAAAAGCAATGATGGATGGCCCACCAAAACCTGAGAACTAGGTATTACTCTACGTGTATCTATAAGTTTTATGTTGTGTTTTTGGAGAAACCATTCCATTTTTCCTTCCAACAAATATTGAGATGTACATTATACAGACACACGCAGACCCACACAGCTACTTATCATTAACTTAAAGACTAGAAATAAAAGGAATGGGAAGAAAATGCCTTTTGACAAACTCTCTTTGGGGTGTATAATAAAAGGTTTGGTTAGGCAGAGAGCACTGTGAAAAGCAAATGATGTGTGCTGTCTTACATTGCTGATCTGCAGGGCATTGATTTTGGATTGCAGCATCAGGGGAGTGTCAGCTGGCACGTTCACATTAGCCTTCTCTTTCTCCCAGGCATCGCGATACAATGGCTGGGAAAAATGAAAAACGATGGAATGGTCAATTAGTAAATAAGTCAATTACCACATAAATAAAATTATAAAGTCATAAAACATACTTGAATAAATGGATGATGAAAAAAATTTTAAGTGAATTTTATAATAAATTAAAACTAACATAAGTAAATTAAAATTTTTAAGTAAGATTAATAGGTAAATCTAATTTTATATTAAATAATAAGCAAAATGAAAAGTTCTTTTTGGATGTTCTCCGATATAAACGTAGATTATACATAGCATAAGCCACTGCACCTTGCCTCCTTTGCACTTTTATTTAAAAGGTGCCAATAGTGACTTCAATAAGAACACATTTATGTGTGATACAACATAATTTAAAATGAGTCAGAAATATGGTAGTAAAATTATTCTTTTCCATTTACTCACATCTAATTATCAGATGGGTAAGTCCACATTGCAGATAGCTCTGATAATTCCCATTGCTGAGCAGGACCTAGCTGTTTTTGGTCCAAATAACTACCATAATGTCTAACATTGAAGTTGTCCCTAGACTTCTCAACCTATTTCAAGCAATAAAGAAGTGGCAATTTTGTGATTATAGTACTAAGTGGTGGGCCTATATTATGGTCTGGATCTCCAAATGTGATCAAAGTGTGTATCAGGGTGTGTAGAACATGAAGATGCCCACCACATGTGCATTGACCAAACACTTATCAAAGCAAATGAAATCCAGAGGCTGCTAAGAGACTGACTACACAAAGATCCATCTGGATACATGCAAACGTGTTTCAGATCCTGACGCTGACATGAAGAGTCTAAAGTTCACGTTTAAAATTCTTCTGGATTCAGATTTCTTCCATTTGTCTGAAAACATCATCCACCTGGACTTACCTCACTGATCTGTACAGCATTGATCTTTGCCTGGATTACTTCCGGGGTGTCAACAATGCTGGTGAATTTGAGGGCCTCAGGCTTTATACGATACAGCCTTTCATTCAAGAGATTCTGGGCATTCTTCACTCTCATCACTTCCACAGAACCCTCTGGCAACCATCCAATACCCTTCAGCCATTCCAGGTCTGACTTGTACAAGTTCTACATGAAGGAGAGGAACACAGAGTGGGGAAGAGTCAAAGTTGCCCATAAGAGTTTGATGCTTGCAAACCACACATCACCTCTGTTTAAATCAGTTAGGTGGCTAATCTCATAAAACTCAAGGATCAACATTAAATGTTAATATTGGGTGTTATCTCTCTGGCACACATGGGAGAAGTTTAGAGTATCCTGCAGGAATTGGAACAGGGCTCACAAGTGGCACTTGGTGGAACGGCAGCCAGCAATGGCACATAACTTTGTATGCTTGGATTAGTTTCTACACTCACCACTTGAAGTCTGCCTTTTATGTACCACTGGAAGTAACATCAGTAATAACATCAGTTGGATCTTAGGAGGTAAAGAACCTTAGATGTATGCGTAATGAGAAAAAAATACATACCTGTATCTATATCCATCCTGCCCCCCATCTCTCTCTCTTTCTGTGTCAAGTAAACATGAAATCCAACATTTCCTTATGCTTACATCTACTTATGAAATATGTATATGACTATGCAAAGGTAACGGCTCAGAGCAGCTGCAACTGAAATTTTCTACCTAATTACATAGAATAAGAGACTGATTTTCATCTTGGTAAATAAGGTCTTGCTACCATAAGAAGGAGTCCTCTATAAGATAGAAAATGTCTGGGGAAAACTCTGCTACCATGAATTGTACAGAATATGTTAGGTTCTATTAAGATTACCATTTAAATTATGCCTCTGGGGAATGCACTGGATTTAAACACACAAATACACATCTCCCCGGGGTCTGGCGATAATATACGCACATCGCTCTGCAGGTCGTAGGCTTTCTTGGCCTGGATCACATCGTTCTGATCTGGCAGACACGTCCACTGGTGCAGATAATTGCGATAATCAATGTCGCTAACCAGGACCTGGCATTTCTTGGCTTGAACAATTGACATCATGTCCAACGGTGTGTTGTGAATTCCTTTAGACTTCTCATAAGCTTTCTTATATTCTCTGTCACTCTGGATCTTGGCAGCATGTATAGCCCATACTGACTTGGGGTCATCTTGTAGGGTGCGGAAACCCATGTGGTGGCCCAGTTGCTTACGGTAACCTTCTTTGTATTTGTACTAAAGTAGTAAGAAATCATATTAAAAAGACATATGAAAATAATGTATTAAGAGGGGTTTTCTAATTTAAATGGTTTCAGTATGTTTTCTTAGCCTTGGTATAAATTGGCTCAACATTGGCAGTCATTACATATTTCAGTTCACTTTAAAGAAGTTAGATAATACGATTTTGGGTCATTTCAGAGAGGACATGAGTAAATCAGGAGGGAGATGGTATGGTGAACAAGAGTAATGAAAACAATAGCTAACATTTACTAAGTAATTACTCTATGCCGGACACTATTATGACTACTTCTAATGTGTTGGGTAGATCCACATGAAACTACCATGTTTTTCGGTCAAAAATCATTGACTGGTGGCAATTATGATCACAGTTCATCCTCACAATGTCTCTATGAGGTAGATACTATTATTAACATATATTCCAGTTGGGGAAAACAAGGCACAGGTGATAATCTCCATCACCAAGTTTCCCTGACAAGTGCAACATTAGGTCAAATGATCTCCTAAGAGTACTGAAGGAACCTCAGGTAGGGAGAGGTCATACGTGTGTGGTTTTGGAAACAGACAAGAAAGATGCATGTTTCAAGGATGGAAAGCAAGGCTGTGGCTTGAATCAGAAGATAACAACAAAAGTTCTGTGGACAAGAGTTTCCATCTGATGAGTGTCTCAGGACTAGTGTAAGGTGGTTTCTGTTTCTTTCCTATGTTTGGATAACATAGGCAAGTTTGAACAAAGAGAGAGAAAACTGGGAATCAAGCAGATAACGTGGACTAGCTATGGTTATTAGAGGCAAAAATGAAGAATAAGAAGGAGGAAACAACTGGCTACATGATGAAAATCAGAGAAGAACGCAGAGAAAGGGAACAAGGTGGCTTAAAGAGTTGGAGCTGGGGGCAGGGTGCACCTGGTAGCATAATTATTCTATTTTTATTTTTATTTTTTTTTGAAACGCAGTTTCAGTCTTGTTGCCCAGGCTGGAACGCAATGGCATGATCTCGGCTTACTGCAAACCTCCGCCTCCCAGGTTCAAGTGATTCTCCTGCCTCAGACTCCTGAGTAGCTGGGATTACACGTCCCGCCACCACGCCCAGCTAAGTTTTTGTTTGTTTGTTTGTTTGTTTGTATTTTTAGTAGAGATGAGGTTTTACCATGTTGGCCAGGCTGGTCTCGAACTCCTGACCTCAGGTGATCCGCCCACCTCAGCCTCCCAAAGTGCTGGGATTACAGGGGTGAGCCACCATGCCCGACAGGTAGCATAATTATTTTGACCACTAGTAAGTTTTAAAATTAGAATTAAATGAAGTTCCAAAGATTACTAAGAGTATTCTACATAAGCCTCCAGTATAAAATCTTGCATATAAATATGATTTCAGTCTTAAGTCTTATATGAAACTATCATCTGTGACTTATATTTGTGGAGAATGTCAGAAATATTTTAGGGATAAAAATGACATTGTATTGGGTCCTGAATTTTCCCAGGAATTTAATACAGACTCTTCATGATGTTTTGTTTCTACTTTGTAACAGCATCAAAGTAAATTTACACATATACCTCATCTATGCTAACTTTAATGTTTTCCATTCCATTTTAATATTTTCAAATACAGAAAGCTTCTAGCAGAGGATGAGATGCAATTCTATGCACAGATTTTTTAAAAACACAAAATTCTTGAAAAATAGTCTCCCTGCTCGTTTTGTAGAAAAGAAAAACCACAAGAAAAGAGAAGGAAGCGTACCTCACTGGCAATTTCTCTGGAGGCCTTGGCGTGCTTGATTTCAATGGCATCTGCCCTTATGTCATAGCCTTTCTGCTTGGTGTCATTCCAGTCTTTTTGGTAGAGTTTCTATAGAGGGAAAATAAAGGTTTGTTTACAAGAATGGAAAAATAAGCAAATTTACTCAAATTTGTCATAATATAAATCATAAAGAATATGGTAATGTAGTCAATATAAGAAAAAAGCATTCATTTCTGGGTTCTTTTCGTTGTTGGATATTTCCTCTGTGGTGTACAGGATACTTCTGGTTAAAATTTTAAAGCTAAACATCAAACTCTATTAATGTTTGAATATTTGCATCCATCACAATATGGTATGCATTTGAAAATATCCCACTACAAGTACATGGAACCTAAGGATCAATGGGGAAGCCAGAGAATCTTTATCAAGATATCAGGTAAGATCTGATAAGATTTTTCTCCCCCTAATTTTGTCCTTTGACTTTTCAGAAGTTTCTGCTAAAGGGTTGTGACATAGATATCATACATAGCCCGCCATTTGGATGTAATTAAAAATGGTCCTTTGTCTTTCTTATGGCCTTGAAATGTCAAATGAAAAAGTCCTGGATCAATAAGAAAAACCTAAGATGATAACAGAGACTGTTAAGAGTGAAGGAGGACACCAAAAGGATTCAGGTGTCCCAAATCCTGCAGTCTAGGCACCCACCGATGTATCCAAGCACACATTTAAAAGAGAGAAACTCCATTCATATCGCATTGGGACTGGTAGCTAAAGAGAAAATGTCTAGCACCAAAAGCCACAAACATTGCAAGGTAGGTAATTTGTCGCTATAACAATCTCCATGAGCAGACAGATATTGCCCATAAAGGCTTTTACACTTCATGTTCGTGCCACTTACATTGCTGATTTGCAAGGCATTGATGTGGGCCTGCAGCATCTCCGGAGTATCAGAAGGAATGGTGATGTTGCTTTTATCTTTATTCCAGGCTTCCTGATACAGTTTCTGTGGAGAGGAGGGAAATAGGGAATCAATATCTGAAACATTAAGCCTTAGCTAATGTTTGGCTAATAGTTAACTAATGTAAGCCTTAGCTAACTACTCAATCTGGAAAAACGTTTTTACATATGTTTATAATGGTTAACTTTATGTGTCAGCTTGGCTGGGGCATGGTACCCAGATATTTAGTCAAACATTATTTTAGGTGTTTCTGTGAAAGTATTGTTAAAATGAAGTTAACATTTAAATCAGTAGATTCCAAGTAAAGGAGACTACCCTTCATGATGTGGGTGAGCCTTATCTAATTAGTTGAAGACCTTGATAGAAAAGACAAACCTCCCCAGTAAAAAGGAATTCTGCCAGCAGATGGCCTTTGGGTTTGAATTGCAACACATCCCTCAGTCTCTAGCCGGCTGGCCTACCCTGCAGACTTTGGACTTGCCAGCCTGCATGATCTCAGGAGCCAATTTCTTAAAGTCTCTCTCTTCTGTGTGTGTGTACAAACACACACACACAAACACACACACACACACAGCCCCTATTGGTTCTGTTTCTCTAGAGAATCTGGACTAATACAATGTTATGTTATTATGTAGCATGACACTACATGTCTTAGTATTTAATATGAGGTCAACAAGTATTTGTGTTCCTGAGTTGCCAGGGAGTGACATTTTCACTGCAGTGCTTCAAAGTGTGTATGTGTGGTAGAAGAAAGGCATGTTGGTGTTTGTCAGAGTTCTATTTTCAGTGTATCTGCACTAGTGAAGACATTTTTAGAGTTGCTCGTCTCACCAAAATTCTTTGAAGAAGTCCAGTCTACGGGCTCAGTTTGGGTGGTATCTTTGGAAAAGATAGTAGGATGGTTCTTACCTCACTTATTTGCAGAGAATTGGCTTTTGCCAAGACAACTTCTGGAGTGTCGACAATGCTGGTGAATGACAAAGCTTCTGGACGTGTCCTATAGAGTCTTTCATTCACGAGGTCTTGAGCAACCTTCACTCTGTTCATTTCCACTGAGCCTTCTGGCATCCAGCCGATGCCACGCAGCCACTCCAGGTCTGCCTTATACACACTCTATAAAGAAGATGTCAGACAAAAATACCATTTCTGACCAACATGGTGAAACCCCATCTCTACTAAAAATACAAAAATTAGCCGGGCATGGTGGCGCATGCCTGTAATCCCAGCTACTTGGGAGGCTGAGGCAGGAGAATCGCTTGAACCCGGGAGGCAGAGCTTGCAGTGAGCCGAGACTGTGCCATTGCACTCCAGCCTGGGCAACAAGAGCAAACCTCCGTCTCACAAAAAAAAAAAAAAAAAAAAAAAAGGTAAATGTCAACATTTAATGAAAAAATAGGCAAAGATTGTATGAGAGGCAAGGTGCAGGCTTTCAGCACTGAAACTCTGAGTACATGCAACGGCAAAGCAAAAATAAAACATGAAAGTACATCATTGTGACACTGGAAATCCCTTTTGTGATCATAAGTTGAAGTCGTGAGTGCTAACATTTAAAAAAATTTTTTTTAAGGGATGGAGTGCAATTGGAGACTGCACTCCAGCCTGGGCAATGAGAGTGAAACTCCATTTCAAAAAAAAAGAAAAAAAAAAGGAAAAAACATTTCAAGTGTTAGACATACAAATCTTTAGCTGAAAAATAAAGCACATGGGGTTGAAGGGATAGGTGCAGGAGATTGTACTTCCAAAAAAGTAAGACCTGAGATCTCACATGATTCAGGGTTTTTAATATTGATCACAGAAGTCATTTGTAAAAACATAATTATTTATACTAGCCATGAATAATAATATGTATAGTAATAAAGCTGAATTCCATGATATAATTGATATTTCAAAAAATTTTATAGTTGAAAATTTTTAAAGGAAAATTTTGCTGAATTGGATTCCACTTTAATCCTGTGATAATTGACCCAAGGAAATGCTGTTTAGTGTTTTGGATCTAGCATAATAGCAGCAATTATTTTAAAAACATTCAGATGATTTTTATTTGTCTGAAAATGTATTTGTCTGAAAAGTGCTGGGATTACAGGTGTGAGCCACCGCGCCCAGCCCTATGTCATGTTCTTTCTTCTTCTTTATTCACCATTGTATCTTTAGTGCTTAGCACAATGCCTGGCACATGGTGTGTTTAATAAGTATTTTTAAAAGGATGATTAAGAATTCGATCACTAGTTCCACAGTTTTGGTCTCCAGAAACTGTCTTAAATCTACCACTTGGCAATGCATTTTAAGTGATGAGCATGCTTTCCTGTAATGAACTCATTCATTACAAAAAGGTATCTCTGGAAGCTTAAGGGAACCAAGATCAGATAATTTTTAAGTTATCCATTCTATACAGGAAATAAATAACCTTCTGTAATCCATCATTTCTAAAAGTCTGAAGGGCAGAAAATACGAGTAAATCTAAAAATGCCTTAGGTGAGTTAATGAAAGACCACATTGTGAAGAACATCAAGTGGTCTGGAGCGTGCTGCTAACTTTTCAAATTAAGTTTGAGGAAGATGGTCCTGCCCTTCTTTGATTCATAGCTGAAGGACCATGGACATTCTTCTGTTTAAGAAACTGCCCCAGCACTTTGGGAGGCCAAGGCAGGTGGATCACCTGAGGTCAGGGGTTTGAGACCAGCCTGGCCAACATGATGAAACCCTGCCTCTACTAAAAAATAAAAAAATCAGCCGACTGTGGTGGCATGTGCTTGTAATCCCAGCTACTTGGGAGGCTGAGGCAGAAGAATCGCTTGAACCCGGGAGGCAGAGGTTGCAGTGAGCTGAGACTCCAGCCTGGGCCGCAGGGCCAGACTAAGGAAGGAAGGAAGGAACAAAGAAACGAACTGCAAGGCTGGGCGCGGTGGCTCACATCTATAATCCCAGAACTTTGGGAGGCTGAGACAAGTGGATCACCTGAGGCCAGGAGTTCAAGACCAGCCTGGCCAAGATGGCGAAAACCCGCCTCTAATAAAAATACAAAAATTAGCTGGGTGTGGTGCACATGCCTGTAATCCCAGCTACTTGGGAGGCTGATGCAGGAACATCGCTTGAACCTGGGAGGCGGAGGTTGCAGTGGGCTGAGATTGCACCACTGCACTCCAGCCTGGGTGACAGAGCAAGACTCTCCGTCTCAAAAAAAAAAAAAAAAAAAAAGAAAGAAACTGGAAACACTGTACACATTAACAAATCTATAGGAAAATTCTGGTAGCACCTTTAACAATGAAAACTTTCTGAAGAAACCTGGCTGTAGGTAGGCAATTAATAATTCTGATAAAATAATAATAAAGTGGAGTGCCTACGTACAGAGAGTTGTGTTTTCAGAGCATTGGAAGGAGCCATCAGGCAAAGCAATGGGGGACTTGTTTCCTGGGGGACACACTTACGTCGCTCTGTAGGTCGTAGGCTTTCCTGGCTTGGATCACATCATTCTGGTCGGGAAAGCAAGACCAGTGGTGCAGGTAATGGCGATAGTCCACATCACTTGCCAGTGCCTGACCTTCTTTGGCAGCGCTGATGGACACCATGTCCACAGGGATGGAGATCTTGGCTTTGTGGTCGTTGTAGGCCTTTTTGTACAGCCTGTCATTCTGCATCTTCAACACATTTGCTGCCCAAACCAGTTTAGGGTCTTCCTTGGCGCTGCGACAGCCAATGTAATGGCCTTTCTGTTTCTCATAAGCAGTTTTGTACAGATACTGGTAGATGTGAACAGAAAATAGAAGAGTAATTTTTCCAAACCCACTTTTTCTAGAGAGCCTACTCAAACTAACTCCATCTCCCTTAGTTTACCTTTTTTGGGGGGGTCGGGGAATACTGTTTTTATTTAAATTCAAGCCATAAGTTTTGATACATTGGTTTGTCTTCTGTGTCTACATGCATGAAAACATTGAGAGCATCTCTTAGGCAAGAACTGTGTTGCTGGATTATCTCCCAATATAGCCTGGCCACCTTCAGATGTTTTGTCACACACAAGTACCAGTTGTACTTCTTATTACTTTAAATCAAATTAATTCTTTGTTGAAATTTTTTTTATTTTACTTTTCTTTTCTTTTTTTTTTTTTTTTTTTTGAGACAGAGTCTCGCTCTGCTCCCCAGGCTAGAGTGCAGTAGCACGATCTCGGCTCACTTGCAATCTCCACCTCCTGGGTTCAAGTGATTCTCCTGCCTCTGCCTCCCCAGTAGCTGGGATTACAGGCATCCGCCACCATGCCCAGCTAATTTTTGTATTTTTAGTAGAGACAGGGTTTCACCGTGTTGGCCAGGCTGGTCTCGAACTCCTGACCTCAAGTGATCCACCCGCCTTGGCCTCCCAAAATGCTGGGATTACAGGCATGAGCCACCATGCCTTGCCTGAAATAATTTTTAATTATAAACTTATTTTAAAATTTTATTTAAAAATGTATAACCCTATCTACGTGGAAAAAAACAGTGTATTTCTAGCACACATTAAAACAACCATATAACTATTTTAAAAAAATACTTGTGCATGTACTACATAAAATTATTATAGGAAACACCGGTAGTATACACGCCACACTTTGAGTAACAACAGAATTCTCTGTACTATGAAATTAAATCTCTTTAAGTACTTGTAAATTAAGTGACATTGTGAAGATATTGAAAAGAAAATCAAAATCTGTGCTTAAACGCAAGAGTTGCAGAACCAAACATAGATGCAAAAGGATCCTCAGATTGTAAGAGTTGTTCTTGAATTTAGGATTTACAAATATACTAATAACAATGACCCAATTCCATTTAAATATAATTCAAAGGGCATTAAGTTAAACTCCCTCTATTTCTACTAGTTAGTGTTTGTTCCGGTTGGGAAGGAGGAGCTCTTACATCACTGGCAATATCCCTGGAAGCCTTGGCATGCTGGATCCCAATGGCATCTGCTCGCAGGTCATAACCAGTCATCTTGACATCTTCCCAAGCTTGCTGATAGCGTTTCTGCAAACAGAGAGTGCAATGCCACAGTCAGTCTGAAGAGGGAGCTACTGAGTCAGCATTACTGATGTATTTAAAAATAGATATTTACAGTTACACTGAACATTAATGTCTCCTTAAGATTTATGAAAGAGTCTGGTTTCATATTGAGCTTGAATTCCAGTAGATTTTTAATGACATTTAGTAAAGCTCTCTCCCAATAATTATTTTTTGAAGAAGGAAACTTAGGAGATAATAAATCATGTAAAAATCAGAAAAAAACATATTGCTTGGCTTTTACAAGGAAAAAGCAATGATGGATGGCCCACTAAAACCTGAGAACTAGGTATTACTCTACGTGTATCTATAAGTTTTATGTTGTGTTTTTGGAGAAACCATTCCATTTTTCCTTCCAACAAACATTGAGATGTACATTACACAGACACACGCAGACCCACACAGCTACTTATCATTAACTTAAAGACTAGAAATAAAAGGAATGGGAAGAAAATGCCTTTTGACAAACTCTCTTTGGGGTGTATAATAAAAGGTTTGGTTAGGCAGAGAGCACTGTGAAAAGCAAATGATGTGCGCTGTCTTACATTGCTGATCTGCAGAGCATTGATTTTGGATTGCAGCATCAGGGGAGTGTCAGCTGGCACGTTCACATTAGCCTTCTCTTTCTCCCAGGCATTGCGATACAATGGCTGGGAAAAATGAAAAACGATGGAATGGTCAATTAGTAAATAAGTCAATTACCACATAAATAAAATTATAAAGTCATGAAACATATACTTGAATAAATGGATATGAATAAAATTTTAAGTGAATTTTATAATAAATTAAAACTAACATAAGTAAATTAAAATTTTTAAGTAAGATTAATAGGTAAATCTAATTTTATATTAAATAATAAGCAAAATGAAAAGTTCTTTTTGGATGTTCTCCGATATAAACGTAGATTATACATAGCATAAGCCACTGCACCTTGCCTCCTTTGCACTTTTATTTAAAAGGTGCCAATAGTGACTTCAATAAGAACACATTTATGTGTGATACAACATAATTTAAAATGAGTCAGAAATACGGTAGTAAAATTATTCTTTTCCATTTACTCACATCTAATTATCAGATGGGTAAGTCCACATTGCAGATAGCTCTGATAATTCCCATTGCTGAGCAGGACCTAGCTGTTTTTGGTCCAAATAACTACCATAATGTCTAACATTGAAGTTGTCCCTAGACTTCTCAACCTATTTCAAGCAATAAAGAAGTGGCAATTTTGTGATTATAGTACTAAGTGGTGGGCCTATATTATGGTCTGGATCTCCAAATGTGATCAAAGTGTGTATCAGGGTGTGTAGAACATGAAGATGCCCACCACATGTGCATTGACCAAACACTTATCAAAGCAAATGAAATCCAGAGGCTGCTAAGAGACTGACTACACAAAGATCCATCTGGATACATGCAAACGTGTTTCAGATCCTGACGCTGACATGAAGAGTCTAAAGTTCACGTTTAAAATTCTTCTGGATTCAGATTTCTTCCATTTGTCTGAAAACATCATCCACCTGGACTTACCTCACTGATCTGTACAGCATTGATCTTTGCCTGGATTACTTCCGGGGTGTCAACAATGCTGGTGAATTTGAGGGCCTCAGGCTTTATACGATACAGCCTTTCATTCAAGAGATTCTGGGCATTCTTCACTCTCATCACTTCCACAGAACCCTCTGGCAACCATCCAATACCCTTCAGCCATTCCAGGTCTGACTTGTACAAGTTCTACATGAAGGAGAGGAACACAGAGTGGGGAAGAGTCAAAGTTGCCCATAAGAGTTTGATGCTTGCAAACCACACATCACCTCTGTTTAAATCAGTTAGGTGGCTAATCTCATAAAACTCAAGGATCAACATTAAATGTTAATATTGGGTGTTATCTCTCTGGCACACATGGGAGAAGTTTAGAGTATCCTGCAGGAATTGGAACAGGGCTCACAAGTGGCACTTGGTGGAACGGCAGCCAGCAATGGCACATAACTTTGTATGCTTGGATTAGTTTCTACACTCACCACTTGAAGTCTGCCTTTTATGTACCACTGGAAGTAACATCAGTAATAACATCAGTTGGATTTTAGGAGGTAAAGAACCTTAGATGTATGCGTAATGAGAAAAAAATACATACCTGTATCTATATCCATCCTGCCCCCCATCTCTCTCTCTTTCTGTGTCAAGTAAACATGAAATCCAACATTTCCTTATGCTTACATCTACTTATGAAATATGTATATGATTATGCAAAGGTAACGGCTCAGAGCAGCTGCAACTGAAATTTTCTACCTAATTACATAGAATAAGAGACTGATTTTCATCTTGGTAAATAAGGTCTTGCTACCATAAGAAGGAGTCCTCTATAAGATAGAAAATGTCTGGGGAAAACTCTGCTACCATGAATTGTACAGAATATGTTAGGTTCTATTAAGATTACCATTTAAATTATGCCTCTGGGGAATGCACTGGATTTAAACACACAAATACACATCTCCCCGGGGTCTGGCGATAATATACGCACATCGCTCTGCAGGTCGTAGGCTTTCTTGGCCTGGATCACATCGTTCTGATCTGGCAGACACGTCCACTGGTGCAGATAATTGCGATAATCAATGTCGCTAACCAGGACCTGGCATTTCTTGGCTTGAACAATTGACATCATGTCCAACGGTGTGTTGTGAATTCCTTTAGACTTCTCATAAGCTTTCTTATATTCTCTGTCACTCTGGATCTTGGCAGCATGTATAGCCCATACTGACTTGGGGTCATCTTGTAGGGTGCGGAAACCCATGTGGTGGCCCAGTTGCTTACGGTAACCTTCTTTGTATTTGTACTAAAGTAGTAAGAAATCATATTAAAAAGACATATGAAAATAATGTATTAAGAGGGGTTTTCTAATTTAAATGGCTTCAGTATGTTTTCTTAGCCTTGGTATAAATTGGCTCAACATTGGCAGTCATTACATATTTCAGTTCACTTTAAAGGAATTAGATAATACGATTTTAGGTCATTTCAGAGAGGACATGAGTAAATCAGGAGGGAGATGGTATGGTGAACAAGAGTAATGAAAACAATAGCTAACATTTACTAAGTAATTACTCTATGCCGGACACTATTATGACTACTTCTAATGTGTTGGGTAGATCCACATGAAACTACCATGTTTTTCGGTCAAAAATCATTGACTGGTGGCAATTATGATCACAGTTCATCCTCACAATGTCTCTATGAGGTAGATACTATTATTAACATATATTCCAGTTGGGGAAAACAAGGCACAGGTGATAATCTCCATCACCAAGTTTCCCTGACAAGTGCAACATTAGGTCAAATGATCTCCTAAGAGTACTGAAGGAACCTCAGGTAGGGAGAGGTCATACGTGTGTGGTTTTGGAAACAGACAAGAAAGATGCATGTTTCAAGGATGGAAAGCAAGGCTGTGGCTTGAATCAGAAGATAACAACAAAAGTTCTGTGGACAAGAGTTTCCATCTGATGAGTGTCTCAGGACTAGTGTAAGGTGGTTTCTGTTTCTTTCCTATGTTTGGATAACATAGGCAAGTTTGAACAAAGAGAGAGAAAACTGGGAATCAAGCAGATAACGTGGACTAGCTATGGTTATTAGAGGCAAAAATGAAGAATAAGAAGGAGGAAACAACTGGCTACATGATGAAAATCAGAGAAGAACGCAGAGAAAGGGAACAAGGTGGCTTAAAGAGTTGGAGCTGGGGGCAGGGTGCACCTGGTAGCATAATTATTCTATTTTTATTTTTATTTTTTTTTGAAACGCAGTTTCAGTCTTGTTGCCCAGGCTGGAACGCAATGGCATGATCTCGGCTTACTGCAAACCTCCGCCTCCCAGGTTCAAGTGATTCTCCTGCCTCAGACTCCTGAGTAGCTGGGATTACAGGCTCCCGCCACCACGCCCAGCTAAGTTTTTGTTTGTTTGTTTGTTTGTTTGTATTTTTAGTAGAGATGAGGTTTTACCATGTTGGCCAGGCTGGTCTCGAACTCCTGACCTCAGGTGATCCGCCCACCTCAGCCTCCCAAAGTGCTGGGATTACAGGGGTGAGCCACCATGCCCGACAGGTAGCATAATTATTTTGACCACTAGTAAGTTTTAAAATTAGAATTAAATGAAGTTCCAAAGATTACTAAGAGTATTCTACATAAGCCTCCAGTATAAAATCTTGCATATAAATATGATTTCAGTCTTAAGTCTTATATGAAACTATCATCTGTGACTTATATTTGTGGAGAATGTCAGAAATATTTTAGGGATAAAAATGACATTGTATTGGGTCCTGAATTTTCCCAGGAATTTAATACAGACTCTTCATGATGTTTTGTTTCTACTTTGTAACAGCATCAAAGTAAATTTACACATATACCTCATCTATGCTAACTTTAATGTTTTCCATTCCATTTTAATATTTTCAAATACAGAAAGCTTCTAGCAGAGGATGAGATGCAATTCTATGCACAGATTTTTTAAAAACACAAAATTCTTGAAAAATAGTCTCCCTGCTCGTTTTGTAGAAAAGAAAAACCACAAGAAAAGAGAAGGAAGCGTACCTCACTGGCAATTTCTCTGGAGGCCTTGGCGTGCTTGATTTCAATGGCATCTGCCCTTATGTCATAGCCTTTCTGCTTGGTGTCATTCCAGTCTTTTTGGTAGAGTTTCTATAGAGGGAAAATAAAGGTTTGTTTACAAGAATGGAAAAATAAGCAAATTTACTCAAATTTGTCATAATATAAATCATAAAGAATATGGTAATGTAGTCAATATAAGAAAAAAGCATTCATTTCTGGGTTCTTTTCGTTGTTGGATATTTCCTCTGTGGTGTACAGGATACTTCTGGTTAAAATTTTAAAGCTAAACATCAAACTCTATTAATGTTTGAATATTTGCATCCATCACAATATGGTATGCATTTGAAAATATCCCACTACAAGTACATGGAACCTAAGGATCAATGGGGAAGCCAGAGAATCTTTATCAAGATATCAGGTAAGATCTGATAAGATTTTTCTCCCCCTAATTTTGTCCTTTGACTTTTCAGAAGTTTCTGCTAAAGGGTTGTGACATAGATATCATACATAGCCCGCCATTTGGATGTAATTAAAAATGGTCCTTTGTCTTTCTTATGGCCTTGAAATGTCAAATGAAAAAGTCCTGGATCAATAAGAAAAACCTAAGATGATAACAGAGACTGTTAAGAGTGAAGGAGGACACCAAAAGGATTCAGGTGTCCCAAATCCTGCAGTCTAGGCACCCACCGATGTATCCAAGCACACATTTAAAAGAGAGAAACTCCATTCATATCGCATTGGGACTGGTAGCTAAAGAGAAAATGTCTAGCACCAAAAGCCACAAACATTGCAAGGTAGGTAATTTGTCGCTATAACAATCTCCATGAGCAGACAGATATTGCCCATAAAGGCTTTTACACTTCATGTTCGTGCCACTTACATTGCTGATTTGCAAGGCATTGATGTGGGCCTGCAGCATCTCCGGAGTATCAGAAGGAATGGTGATGTTGCTTTTATCTTTATTCCAGGCTTCCTGATACAGTTTCTGTGGAGAGGAGGGAAATAGGGAATCAATATCTGAAACATTAAGCCTTAGCTAATGTTTGGCTAATAGTTAACTAATGTAAGCCTTAGCTAACTACTCAATCTGGAAAAACGTTTTTACATATGTTTATAATGGTTAACTTTATGTGTCAGCTTGGCTGGGGCATGGTACCCAGATATTTAGTCAAACATTATTTTAGGTGTTTCTGTGAAAGTATTGTTAAAATGAAGTTAACATTTAAATCAGTAGATTCCAAGTAAAGGAGACTACCCTTCATGATGTGGGTGAGCCTTATCTAATTAGTTGAAGACCTTGATAGAAAAGACAAACCTCCCCAGTAAAAAGGAATTCTGCCAGCAGATGGCCTTTGGGTTTGAATTGCAACACATCCCTCAGTCTCTAGCCGGCTGGCCTACCCTGCAGACTTTGGACTTGCCAGCCTGCATGATCTCAGGAGCCAATTTCTTAAAGTCTCTCTCTTCTGTGTGTGTGTACAAACACACACACACAAACACACACACACACACAGCCCCTATTGGTTCTGTTTCTCTAGAGAATCTGGACTAATACAATGTTATGTTATTATGTAGCATGACACTACATGTCTTAGTATTTAATATGAGGTCAACAAGTATTTGTGTTCCTGAGTTGCCAGGGAGTGACATTTTCACTGCAGTGCTTCAAAGTGTGTATGTGTGGTAGAAGAAAGGCATGTTGGTGTTTGTCAGAGTTCTATTTTCAGTGTATCTGCACTAGTGAAGACATTTTTAGAGTTGCTCGTCTCACCAAAATTCTTTGAAGAAGTCCAGTCTACGGGCTCAGTTTGGGTGGTATCTTTGGAAAAGATAGTAGGATGGTTCTTACCTCACTTATTTGCAGAGAATTGGCTTTTGCCAAGACAACTTCTGGAGTGTCGACAATGCTGGTGAATGACAAAGCTTCTGGACGTGTCCTATAGAGTCTTTCATTCACGAGGTCTTGAGCAACCTTCACTCTGTTCATTTCCACTGAGCCTTCTGGCATCCAGCCGATGCCACGCAGCCACTCCAGGTCTGCCTTATACACACTCTATAAAGAAGATGTCAGACAAAAATACCATTTCTGACCAACATGGTGAAACCCCATCTCTACTAAAAATACAAAAATTAGCCGGGCATGGTGGCGCATGCCTGTAATCCCAGCTACTTGGGAGGCTGAGGCAGGAGAATCGCTTGAACCCGGGAGGCAGAGCTTGCAGTGAGCCGAGACTGTGCCATTGCACTCCAGCCTGGGCAACAAGAGCAAACCTCCGTCTCACAAAAAAAAAAAAAAAAAAAAAAAAGGTAAATGTCAACATTTAATGAAAAAATAGGCAAAGATTGTATGAGAGGCAAGGTGCAGGCTTTCAGCACTGAAACTCTGAGTACATGCAACGGCAAAGCAAAAATAAAACATGAAAGTACATCATTGTGACACTGGAAATCCCTTTTGTGATCATAAGTTGAAGTCGTGAGTGCTAACATTTAAAAAAATTTTTTTTAAGGGATGGAGTGCAATTGGAGACTGCACTCCAGCCTGGGCAATGAGAGTGAAACTCCATTTCAAAAAAAAAGAAAAAAAAAAGGAAAAAACATTTCAAGTGTTAGACATACAAATCTTTAGCTGAAAAATAAAGCACATGGGGTTGAAGGGATAGGTGCAGGAGATTGTACTTCCAAAAAAGTAAGACCTGAGATCTCACATGATTCAGGGTTTTTAATATTGATCACAGAAGTCATTTGTAAAAACATAATTATTTATACTAGCCATGAATAATAATATGTATAGTAATAAAGCTGAATTCCATGATATAATTGATATTTCAAAAAATTTTATAGTTGAAAATTTTTAAAGGAAAATTTTGCTGAATTGGATTCCACTTTAATCCTGTGATAATTGACCCAAGGAAATGCTGTTTAGTGTTTTGGATCTAGCATAATAGCAGCAATTATTTTAAAAACATTCAGATGATTTTTATTTGTCTGAAAATGTATTTGTCTGAAAAGTGCTGGGATTACAGGTGTGAGCCACCGCGCCCAGCCCTATGTCATGTTCTTTCTTCTTCTTTATTCACCATTGTATCTTTAGTGCTTAGCACAATGCCTGGCACATGGTGTGTTTAATAAGTATTTTTAAAAGGATGATTAAGAATTCGATCACTAGTTCCACAGTTTTGGTCTCCAGAAACTGTCTTAAATCTACCACTTGGCAATGCATTTTAAGTGATGAGCATGCTTTCCTGTAATGAACTCATTCATTACAAAAAGGTATCTCTGGAAGCTTAAGGGAACCAAGATCAGATAATTTTTAAGTTATCCATTCTATACAGGAAATAAATAACCTTCTGTAATCCATCATTTCTAAAAGTCTGAAGGGCAGAAAATACGAGTAAATCTAAAAATGCCTTAGGTGAGTTAATGAAAGACCACATTGTGAAGAACATCAAGTGGTCTGGAGCGTGCTGCTAACTTTTCAAATTAAGTTTGAGGAAGATGGTCCTGCCCTTCTTTGATTCATAGCTGAAGGACCATGGACATTCTTCTGTTTAAGAAACTGCCCCAGCACTTTGGGAGGCCAAGGCAGGTGGATCACCTGAGGTCAGGGGTTTGAGACCAGCCTGGCCAACATGATGAAACCCTGCCTCTACTAAAAAATAAAAAAATCAGCCGACTGTGGTGGCATGTGCTTGTAATCCCAGCTACTTGGGAGGCTGAGGCAGAAGAATCGCTTGAACCCGGGAGGCAGAGGTTGCAGTGAGCTGAGACTCCAGCCTGGGCCGCAGGGCCAGACTAAGGAAGGAAGGAAGGAACAAAGAAACGAACTGCAAGGCTGGGCGCGGTGGCTCACATCTATAATCCCAGAACTTTGGGAGGCTGAGACAAGTGGATCACCTGAGGCCAGGAGTTCAAGACCAGCCTGGCCAAGATGGCGAAAACCCGCCTCTAATAAAAATACAAAAATTAGCTGGGTGTGGTGCACATGCCTGTAATCCCAGCTACTTGGGAGGCTGATGCAGGAACATCGCTTGAACCTGGGAGGCGGAGGTTGCAGTGGGCTGAGATTGCACCACTGCACTCCAGCCTGGGTGACAGAGCAAGACTCTCCGTCTCAAAAAAAAAAAAAAAAAAAAAGAAAGAAACTGGAAACACTGTACACATTAACAAATCTATAGGAAAATTCTGGTAGCACCTTTAACAATGAAAACTTTCTGAAGAAACCTGGCTGTAGGTAGGCAATTAATAATTCTGATAAAATAATAATAAAGTGGAGTGCCTACGTACAGAGAGTTGTGTTTTCAGAGCATTGGAAGGAGCCATCAGGCAAAGCAATGGGGGACTTGTTTCCTGGGGGACACACTTACGTCGCTCTGTAGGTCGTAGGCTTTCCTGGCTTGGATCACATCATTCTGGTCGGGAAAGCAAGACCAGTGGTGCAGGTAATGGCGATAGTCCACATCACTTGCCAGTGCCTGACCTTCTTTGGCAGCGCTGATGGACACCATGTCCACAGGGATGGAGATCTTGGCTTTGTGGTCGTTGTAGGCCTTTTTGTACAGCCTGTCATTCTGCATCTTCAACACATTTGCTGCCCAAACCAGTTTAGGGTCTTCCTTGGCGCTGCGACAGCCAATGTAATGGCCTTTCTGTTTCTCATAAGCAGTTTTGTACAGATACTGGTAGATGTGAACAGAAAATAGAAGAGTAATTTTTCCAAACCCACTTTTTCTAGAGAGCCTACTCAAACTAACTCCATCTCCCTTAGTTTACCTTTTTTGGGGGGGTCGGGGAATACTGTTTTTATTTAAATTCAAGCCATAAGTTTTGATACATTGGTTTGTCTTCTGTGTCTACATGCATGAAAACATTGAGAGCATCTCTTAGGCAAGAACTGTGTTGCTGGATTATCTCCCAATATAGCCTGGCCACCTTCAGATGTTTTGTCACACACAAGTACCAGTTGTACTTCTTATTACTTTAAATCAAATTAATTCTTTGTTGAAATTTTTTTTATTTTACTTTTCTTTTCTTTTTTTTTTTTTTTTTTTGAGACAGAGTCTCGCTCTGCTCCCCAGGCTAGAGTGCAGTAGCACGATCTCGGCTCACTTGCAATCTCCACCTCCTGGGTTCAAGTGATTCTCCTGCCTCTGCCTCCCCAGTAGCTGGGATTACAGGCATCCGCCACCATGCCCAGCTAATTTTTGTATTTTTAGTAGAGACAGGGTTTCACCGTGTTGGCCAGGCTGGTCTCGAACTCCTGACCTCAAGTGATCCACCCGCCTTGGCCTCCCAAAATGCTGGGATTTACAGGCATGAGCCACCATGCCTTGCCTGAAATAATTTTTAATTATAAACTTATTTTAAAATTTTATTTAAAAATGTGTAACCCTATCTACGTGGAAAAAAACAGTATATTTCTAGCACACATTAAAACAACCATATAACTATTTTAAAAAAATACTTGTGCATGTACTACATAAAATTATTATAGGAAACACCGGTAGTATACACGCCACACTTTGAGTAACAACAGAATTCTCTGTACTATGAAATTAAATCTCTTTAAGTACTTGTAAATTAAGTGACATTGTGAAGATATTGAAAAGAAAATCAAAATCTGTGCTTAAACGCAAGAGTTGCAGAACCAAACATAGATGCAAAAGGATCCTCAGATTGTAAGAGTTGTTCTTGAATTTAGGATTTACAAATATACTAATAACAATGACCCAATTCCATTTAAATATAATTCAAAGGGCATTAAGTTAAACTCCCTCTATTTCTACTAGTTAGTGTTTGTTCCGGTTGGGAAGGAGGAGCTCTTACGTCACTGGCAATATCCCTGGAAGCCTTGGCATGCTGGATCCCAATGGCATCTGCTCGCAGGTCATAACCAGTCATCTTGACATCTTCCCAAGCTTGCTGATAGCGTTTCTGCAAACAGAGAGTGCAATGCCACAGTCAGTCTGAAGAGGGAGCTACTGAGTCAGCATTACTGATGTATTTAAAAATAGATATTTACAGTTACACTGAACATTAATGTCTCCTTAAGATTTATGAAAGAGTCTGGTTTCATATTGAGCTTGAATTCCAGTAGATTTTTAATGACATTTAGTAAAGCTCTCTCCCAATAATTATTTTTTGAAGAAGGAAACTTAGGAGATAATAAATCATGTAAAAATCAGAAAAAAACATATTGCTTGGCTTTTACAAGGAAAAAGCAATGATGGATGGCCCACCAAAACCTGAGAACTAGGTATTACTCTACGTGTATCTATAAGTTTTATGTTGTGTTTTTGGAGAAACCATTCCATTTTTCCTTCCAACAAATATTGAGATGTACATTATACAGACACACGCAGACCCACACAGCTACTTATCATTAACTTAAAGACTAGAAATAAAAGGAATGGGAAGAAAATGCCTTTTGACAAACTCTCTTTGGGGTGTATAATAAAAGGTTTGGTTAGGCAGAGAGCACTGTGAAAAGCAAATGATGTGTGCTGTCTTACATTGCTGATCTGCAGGGCATTGATTTTGGATTGCAGCATCAGGGGAGTGTCAGCTGGCACGTTCACATTAGCCTTCTCTTTCTCCCAGGCATCGCGATACAATGGCTGGGAAAAATGAAAAACGATGGAATGGTCAATTAGTAAATAAGTCAATTACCACATAAATAAAATTATAAAGTCATGAAACATATACTTGAATAAATGGATATGAATAAAATTTTAAGTGAATTTTATAATAAATTAAAACTAACATAAGTAAATTAAAATTTTTAAGTAAGATTAATAGGTAAATCTAATTTTATATTAAATAATAAGCAAAATGAAAAGTTCTTTTTGGATGTTCTCCGATATAAACGTAGATTATACATAGCATAAGCCACTGCACCTTGCCTCCTTTGCACTTTTATTTAAAAGGTGCCAATAGTGACTTCAATAAGAACACATTTATGTGTGATACAACATAATTTAAAATGAGTCAGAAATACGGTAGTAAAATTATTCTTTTCCATTTACTCACATCTAATTATCAGATGGGTAAGTCCACATTGCAGATAGCTCTGATAATTCCCATTGCTGAGCAGGACCTAGCTGTTTTTGGTCCAAATAACTACCATAATGTCTAACATTGAAGTTGTCCCTAGACTTCTCAACCTATTTCAAGCAATAAAGAAGTGGCAATTTTGTGATTATAGTACTAAGTGGTGGGCCTATATTATGGTCTGGATCTCCAAATGTGATCAAAGTGTGTATCAGGGTGTGTAGAACATGAAGATGCCCACCACATGTGCATTGACCAAACACTTATCAAAGCAAATGAAATCCAGAGGCTGCTAAGAGACTGACTACACAAAGATCCATCTGGATACATGCAAACGTGTTTCAGATCCTGACGCTGACATGAAGAGTCTAAAGTTCACGTTTAAAATTCTTCTGGATTCAGATTTCTTCCATTTGTCTGAAAACATCATCCACCTGGACTTACCTCACTGATCTGTACAGCATTGATCTTTGCCTGGATTACTTCCGGGGTGTCAACAATGCTGGTGAATTTGAGGGCCTCAGGCTTTATACGATACAGCCTTTCATTCAAGAGATTCTGGGCATTCTTCACTCTCATCACTTCCACAGAACCCTCTGGCAGCCATCCAATACCCTTCAGCCATTCCAGGTCTGACTTGTACAAGTTCTACATGAAGGAGAGGAACACAGAGTGGGGAAGAGTCAAAGTTGCCCATAAGAGTTTGATGCTTGCAAACCACACATCACCTCTGTTTAAATCAGTTAGGTGGCTAATCTCATAAAACTCAAGGATCAACATTAAATGTTAATATTGGGTGTTATCTCTCTGGCACACATGGGAGAAGTTTAGAGTATCCTGCAGGAATTGGAACAGGGCTCACAAGTGGCACTTGGTGGAACGGCAGCCAGCAATGGCACATAACTTTGTATGCTTGGATTAGTTTCTACACTCACCACTTGAAGTCTGCCTTTTATGTACCACTGGAAGTAACATCAGTAATAACATCAGTTGGATCTTAGGAGGTAAAGAACCTTAGATGTATGCGTAATGAGAAAAAAATACATACCTGTATCGATATCCACCCTGCCCCCCATCTCTCTCTCTTTCTGTGTCAAGTAAACATGAAATCCAACATTTCCTTATGCTTACATCTACTTATGAAATATGTATATGATTATGCAAAGGTAACGGCTCAGAGCAGCTGCAACTGAAATTTTCTACCTAATTACATAGAATAAGAGACTGATTTTCATCTTGGTAAATAAGGTCTTGCTACCATAAGAAGGAGTCCTCTATAAGATAGAAAATGTCTGGGGAAAACTCTGCTACCATGAATTGTACAGAATATGTTAGGTTCTATTAAGATTACCATTTAAATTATGCCTCTGGGGAATGCACTGGATTTAAACACACAAATACACATCTCCCCGGGGTCTGGCGATAATATACGCACATCGCTCTGCAGGTCGTAGGCTTTCTTGGCCTGGATCACATCGTTCTGATCTGGCAGACACGTCCACTGGTGCAGATAATTGCGATAATCAATGTCGCTAACCAGGACCTGGCATTTC
This sequence comes from Homo sapiens, assembly GCF_000001405.40. NCBI lineage: Eukaryota > Metazoa > Chordata > Mammalia > Primates > Hominidae > Homo > Homo sapiens. The sequence continues at coordinate 151,604,678 of NC_000002.12, forward strand.
TTGGCTTGAACAATTGACATCATGTCCAACGGTGTGTTGTGAATTCCTTTAGACTTCTCATAAGCTTTCTTATATTCTCTGTCACTCTGGATCTTGGCAGCATGTATAGCCCATACTGACTTGGGGTCATCTTGTAGGGTGCGGAAACCCATGTGGTGGCCCAGTTGCTTACGGTAACCTTCTTTGTATTTGTACTAAAGTAGTAAGAAATCATATTAAAAAGACATATGAAAATAATGTATTAAGAGGGGTTTTCTAATTTAAATGGTTTCAGTATGTTTTCTTAGCCTTGGTATAAATTGGCTCAACATTGGCAGTCATTACATATTTCAGTTCACTTTAAAGAAATTAGATAATACGATTTTAGGTCATTTCAGAGAGGACATGAGTAAATCAGGAGGGAGATGGTATGGTGAACAAGAGTAATGAAAACAATAGCTAACATTTACTAAGTAATTACTCTATGCCGGACACTATTATGACTACTTCTAATGTGTTGGGTAGATCCACATGAAACTACCATGTTTTTCGGTCAAAAATCATTGACTGGTGGCAATTATGATCACAGTTCATCCTCACAATGTCTCTATGAGGTAGATACTATTATTAACATATATTCCAGATGGGGAAAACAAGGCACAGGTGATAATCTCCATCACCAAGCTTCCCTGACAAGTGCAACATTAGGTCAAATGATCTCCTAAGAGTACTGAAGGAACCTCAGGTAGGGAGAGGTCATACGTGTGTGGTTTTGGAAACAGATAAGAAAGATGCATGTTTCAAGGATGGAAAGCAAGGTTGTGGCTTGAATCAGAAGATAACAACAAAAGTTCTGTGGACAAGAGTTTCCATCTGATGAGTGTCTCAGGACTAGTGTAAGGTGGTTTCTGTTTCTTTCCTATGTTTGGACAACATAGGCAAGTTTGAACAAAGAGAGAGAAAACTGGGAATCAAGCAGATAACGTGGACTAGCTATGGTTATTAGAGGCAAAAATGAAGAATAAGAAGGAGGAAACAACTGGCTACATGATGAAAATCAGAGAAGAACACAGAGAAAGGAACAAGGTGGCTTAAAGAGTTGGAGCTGGGGGCAGGGTGCACCTGGTAGCATAATTATTCTATTTTTATTTTTATTTTTTTTGAAACGCAGTTTCAGTCTTGTTGCCCAGGCTGGAACGCAATGGCATGATCTCGGCTTACTGCAAACCTCCGCCTCCCAGGTTCAAGTGATTCTCCTGCCTCAGACTCCTGAGTAGCTGGGATTACAGGCTCCCGCCACCACGCCCAGCTAAGTTTTTGTTTGTTTGTTTGTTTGTATTTTTAGTAGAGATGAGGTTTTACCATGTTGGCCAGGCTGGTCTCGAACTCCTGACCTCAGGTGATCCGCCCACCTCAGCCTCCCAAAGTGCTGGGATTACAGGGGTGAGCCACCATGCCCGACAGGTAGCATAATTATTTTGACCACTAGTAAGTTTTAAAATTAGAATTAAATGAAGTTCCAAAGATTACTAAGAGTATTCTACATAAGCCTCCAGTATAAAATCTTGCATATAAATATGATTTCAGTCTTAAGTCTTATATGAAACTATCATCTGTGACTTATATTTGTGGAGAATGTCAGAAATATTTTAGGGATAAAAATGACATTGTATTGGGTCCTGAATTTTCCCAGGAATTTAATACAGACTCTTCATGATGTTTTGTTTCTACTTTGTAACAGCATCAAAGTAAATTTACACATATACCTCATCTATGCTAACTTTAATGTTTTCCATTCCATTTTAATATTTTCAAATACAGAAAGCTTCTAGCACAGGATGAGATGAATTCTATGCACAGATTTTTTAAAAACACAAAATTCTTGAAAAATAGTCTCCCTGCTCGTTTTGTAGAAAAGAAAAACCACAAGAAAAGAGAAGGAAGCGTACCTCACTGGCAATTTCTCTGGAGGCCTTGGCGTGCTTGATTTCAATGGCATCTGCCCTTATGTCATAGCCTTTCTGCTTGGCGTCATTCCAGTCTTTTTGGTAGAGTTTCTATAGAGGGAAAATAAAGGTTTGTTTACAAGAATGGAAAAATAAGCAAATTTACTCAAATTTGTCATAATATAAATCATAAAGAATATGGTAATGTAGTCAATATAAGAAAAAAGCATTCATTTCTGGGTTCTTTTCGTTGTTGGATATTTCCTCTGTGGTGTACAGGATACTTCTGGTTAAAATTTTAAAGCTAAACATCAAACTCTATTAATGTTTGAATATTTGCATCCATCACAATATGGTATGCATTTGAAAATATCCCACTACAAGTACATGGAACCTAAGGATCAATGGGGAAGCCAGAGAATCTTTATCAAGATATCAGGTAAGATCTGATAAGATTTTTCTCCCCCTAATTTTGTCCTTTGACTTTTCAGAAGTTTCTGCTAAAGAGTTGTGACATAGATATCATACCTAGCCCGCCATCTGGATGTAAATAGAAATGGTCTTTTGTCTTTCTTATGGCCTTGAAATGTCAAATGAAAAAGTCCTGGATCAATTAAAAAAACCTAAGATGATAACAGAGACTGTTAAGAGTGAAGGAGGACACCAAAAGGATTCAGGTGTCCCATATCCTGCAGTCTAGGCACCCACCGATGTATCCAAGCACTCATTTAAAAGAGAGAAACTCCATTCATATCGCATTGGGACTGGTAGCTAAAGAGAAAATGTCTAGCACCAAAAGCCACAAACATTGCAAGGTAGGTAATTTGTCACTATAACACTCTCCATGAGCAGACAGATATTGCCCATAAAGGCTTTTACACTTCATGTTCGTGCCACTTACATTGCTGATTTGCAAGGCATTGATGTGGGCCTGCAGCATCTCCGGAGTATCAGAAGGAATGGTGATGTTGCTTTTATCTTTATTCCAGGCTTCCTGATACAGTTTCTGTGGAGAGGAGGGAAATAGGGAATCAATATCTGAAACATTAAGCCTTAGCTAATGTTTGGCTAATAGTTAACTAATGTAAGCCTTAGCTAACTACTCAATCTGGAAAAACGTTTTTACATATGTTTATAATGGTTAACTTTATGTGTCAGCTTGGCTGGGGCATGGTACCCAGATATTTAGTCAAACATTATTTTAGGTGTTTCTGTGAAAGTATTGTTAAAATGAAGTTAACATTTAAATCAGTAGATTCCAAGTAAAGGAGACTACCCTTCATGATGTGGGTGAGCCTTATCTAATTAGTTGAAGACCTTGATAGAAAAGACAAACCTCCCCAGTAAAAAGGAATTCTGCCAGCAGATGGCCTTTGGGTTTGAATTGCAACACATCCCTCAGTCTCTAGCCGGCTGGCCTACCCTGCAGACTTTGGACTTGCCAGCCTGCATGATCTCAGGAGCCAATTTCTTAAAGTCTCTCTCTTCTGTGTGTGTGTACAAACACACACACACAAACACACACACACACACAGCCCCTATTGGTTCTGTTTCTCTAGAGAATCTGGACTAATACAATGTTATGTTATTATGTAGCATGACACTACATGTCTTAGTATTTAATATGAGGTCAACAAGTATTTGTGTTCCTGAGTTGCCAGGGAGTGACATTTTCACTGCAGTGCTTCAAAGTGTGTATGTGTGGTAGAAGAAAGGCATGTTGGTGTTTGTCAGAGTTCTATTTTCAGTGTATCTGCACTAGTGAAGACATTTTTAGAGTTGCTCGTCTCACCAAAATTCTTTGAAGAAGTCCAGTCTACGGGCTCAGTTTGGGTGGTATCTTTGGAAAAGATAGTAGGATGGTTCTTACCTCACTTATTTGCAGAGAATTGGCTTTTGCCAAGACAACTTCTGGAGTGTCGACAATGCTGGTGAATGACAAAGCTTCTGGACGTGTCCTATAGAGTCTTTCATTCACGAGGTCTTGAGCAACCTTCACTCTGTTCATTTCCACTGAGCCTTCTGGCATCCAGCCGATGCCACGCAGCCACTCCAGGTCTGCCTTATACACACTCTATAAAGAAGATGTCAGACAAAAATACCATTTCTGACCAACATGGTGAAACCCCATCTCTACTAAAAATACAAAAATTAGCCGGGCATGGTGGCGCATGCCTGTAATCCCAGCTACTTGGGAGGCTGAGGCAGGAGAATCGCTTGAACCCGGGAGGCAGAGCTTGCAGTGAGCCGAGACTGTGCCATTGCACTCCAGCCTGGGCAACAAGAGCAAACCTCCGTCTCACAAAAAAAAAAAAAAAAAAAAAAAAAAAAGTTAAATGTCAACATTTAATGAAAAAATTGGCAAAGATTGTATGAGAAGCAAGGTGCAGGCCTTCAGCACTGAAACTCTGAGTACATGCAACGGCAAAGCAAAAATAAAACATGAAAGTACATCATTGTGACACTGGAAATCCCTTTTGTGATCATAAGTTGAAGTCGTGAGTGCTAACATTTAAAAAAATTTTTTTAAGGGATGGAGTGCAATTGGAGATTGCACTCCAGCCTGGGCAACGAGAGTGAAACTCCATTTCAAAATAAAAGAAAAAAAAAAGGAAAAACATTTCAAGTGTTAGACATACAAATCCTTAGCTGAAAAATAAAGCACATGGGGTTGACGGGATAAGTGCACGAGATTGTACTTCCAAAAAAGCAAGACCTGAGATCTCACATGATTGAGGGTTTTTAATATTGATCACAGAAGTCACTTGTAAAAACATAATTATTTATACTAGCCATGAATAATAATATATATAGTAATAAAGCTGAATTCCATAATATAATTATTTGATATTTCAAAAAATTTTATAGTTGAAAATTTTTAAAGGAAAATTTTGCTGAATTAGATTCCATTTTAATCCTGTGGCAATTGACCCAAGGAAATGCTGTTTAGTGTTTTGGATCTAGCATAATAGCAACAATTATTTTAAAAACATTCAGATGATTTATATTTGTCTGAAATATGTTTTCATTGCCAGAAGTTACTACTAAAGATGGATTTTATATTAAACAATGTGAATGGTACCCCCAGCCCCACCCCCAGGTTTGTGCAGTGCACAGCCCAGGGGACTGTCCTCAGAGGCACTGACTGGGCAATGAACAAATCTACATCTTCCCCTTCCCCCTTTCCCAAAATTCATGTTACGTACATCACTCTGCAGGTCATAGGCCTTTTTTGCTTGGATAATGTCGTTTTGATCCGGCATGCATGTCCATTCATGCAGGTAATTGCGATAATCAATGTCAGTGACCAAAGTCTGACATTTCTTGGCCAGCAAGATGCTTAACATGTCCACTGGGCTAGAGAACTTGGTTTTCCACTTTTGGAATTCCTTCTTGTACTCCCTTTCACTTTGAATTTTTCCTGCATGTATGGCACACATAATCTTGGGATCATCTTCAATGCTCTGGGCTCCAATGTGGTGGCCTTTCTGTTTCTCATAGGCTTCCTTGTATTTGTACTAAAATGCCAGAAATACAGGTGGAGACATCCAGTTTTAAAACCATGCTCATGTGCTGACAATTACAGACAACATGAAATGGACAAGATTTTATATTACAAACATTTTGGCATCTCTGAACTATTATATTTAAAAGCAATGTTTTATACTGTTTTAAAAATAATTGTAATGTAATCATATATCTTCATTGGTGAAAGCATTCCCTGCAGCAACTCTAACTATAATGCCAAAATGTATTTTTATTCTCTGTAACAACAAAGGGAATGGTCTTGAGAGGTAGGAAGTAGGACTGGAAGGTACATGTGGAAATCACTATAGAGTGTGTGGTTCACCAGCCACCCTCTGGGTTGTTCAGCACAGTGGAGACCACAGAGAGTTAGATGGAAGGTACTCACGTCACTGGCGATGTCCCTGGAGGCCTTGGCACTTTTGATGGAAATAGCATCTGCTCTCAGATCATAGTCCTTCATCTTTGATTCATCCCATCCCTTGGTGTAAAGTTTCTAGGGAAGGGATAATAGACGACAGAAAATAAGAGTGTTTGAGGAAGGTAATAGGCCAATTCCAGAAAGGAAATTGTTACGGTGGAAAAAGCATTTTAATTAATCTTAGGTTTAAGCAACAATCAGGAAATCTCTTACTTGGCTGATATTGGCAGAATTACTCTTGGCCAGCAGGATATCTGGGGTGTCTGGCATCACGTGGATGGAGGTTTTGTCAGCATCCCAAGCTTCTGTGTATAAATGCTACAGGGCAGGGCGGCATGGGGCATGGGGAGAGGGAGGGAGTATAAGACCTTCTGTTAAAGCCAATAACATCATTACAGTTGTTAGCAAATTTAACTCACATTTAACTATAAAATAGCTCCTTCTAATGCTTTTGGGAGGTGAGGGAAGCAAAAGAGTCATGGGGAAAGTAAAACATAGCAATATTTAAATAGCTGTACAATGGTTTCATAATTAATATGAAGCAATATAATGGTTGCTATTAGTAATTCTTTTCATCCACTGAATCACAAGCTTATTCAGATATCCAAAGATGGATCTCAGTTATGGAACTATGAGACAGTAGAAATCCCTAGACTTCAGAGTCAATCCCAAGTGCAAACCCAACTCTACTATTTCCAAGCTGTGTGATCTTGAGAAAGGTACATAACTCCTCACATTCCTCATTTCTGAGAGGGGGATAATCATTCTTTTTTATTATTTTTTGAAGATGATCCATAACATATATAAAATGCCCAAGTCATAGCAGATACTCAACGATTTTTTGGTGATTCCTATTGCTGTTATCATTGTGGTTGCTGTTGATGGATATAGTATAAAAGAGTTTCTAGAGTTGTATACCCCAGACTCTGGAGTTTGCTATCTGAAGCCACTTTCATATTTGTACTGAGCACTCAATTGTACTAGCCTAATGATTGGAAGGCTTCCAGGCAGGTGTGGGAGAATTCAAGTTCAAATCAGTCTAAAATATGCATATTAAGGGCTGACTCATTGGATAAAAATAGATTGATAAAATTTTGGATGAAACAAATGATCATCTATCTTGTGTAATAAAACTGAAAGCAGAGATTGCAGCTAGCTTTCAAAAGTGGATTTCCATAACCTAATGTGGAGGAGCAACCTGAGCAACCAATTTGAATGTGTACCAGCATTGCTATGAAACACTATGTGTATCCCAGCCCTCAGAATGAAGTGTAAATGGCTTATATTCCTTACCAGATGGCTAAAGACACGTAAGTGGCCTGAATCTGCTCTGCCTAGGAGAATGTGTGAGGAAGGGTAATGCAATTGTGATGTCTCCAGGTCACTGCTCAGAAGGGTGAGTGCATCACTCCAGGGAAATCATTCCAGGCTCTGTTCCCACATGCACACAGAGAATTAGGGGGCAGGGTGTTGAGAAGAGCACACCTTGAATTCAAGCAGATGCTCTGTTAAAGGCCTGCATGAGAATCAGGCCTATGACACCTCCTTTCTCAGGGAATCCTTAGGGAATTTCCTACTTTATGAGCCAAATCTGTGGAAGGTATGATTCTGGCAACAGAAAACAGCTGGAGACTCACCTTGCTCATTGTCAGGGCATTATTCTTTGCTAGGACAATTTCCGGAGTGTCGGTAATGCATGTGAATTTGAGCTGGTCTGCAGGCTGGCGATACTTCCTGTCACTCAGGATTTCTCCAGCTCTCTTCACTTTCTCGACCTCTACAGAGCCAATGGGAACCCATCCTATGCCTCTCAGCCACTCAAGATCAGATTTGTAAATAGCCTGAAAATGAAATAATGTCAAATATTTATAGATGTCACCTAGACGGCCTGGTGCCTGATCCTGATTTAACATACACAGATAATGTGTTAGTCTGAATCTTATTTGTGTAAATTTCTGGGAAGACCCACAGGATTGCTTTACTTTGGTTTAGAATGGCTAGTTAAATGCCTGGCTCCTGAAGGTAGCCAATATTTACTGTTTTAAAGACTCATAAAAATCTCTTTAATGCTATTCATTTTCAGTGATAAAAACCACCTTAAGGAAATTACTGCCTGCCTCCTGAAACAGTGTTTATTCTCTGATTTGATGGTCCCTACCTCCTCTTATGGAAACTGTACTGGGTGAGAATACAGTTGGCTCCTATGTTGTTAGGCAGTGGCCTTCATAGCTCTTCTTGGTATATAGAGAAGAAATGAGCATTACTGGTTGATCACGTTGCATTAATGTGTTTTTTTGGGGATAAAAACGACGTCTTTTTCGTATGCTTCTATGTACATGCTTCCAAGTCACAGAGTACATCTCTCTTTACTCATATTTATTTTATCCTCCATCCTCTTTCTTGTCTTAGAATTCAAGTAAACAAATACATTTTTTCTTTCTTTCATTTTCTTCTTTGAATATAAACAACTGGTTGAAGGAAAATTTTTCTTGTAAGGAAGGGTAACAATTCTTTTTGTTTTTATGGCTTTCAGGGAATCTCTCTTTTTTTAACTGTCACTGCTTTTATCATTCTTCCAAAAGTGCTTGATTTAACCAGAGCTTGATTAAAACAAGGAGCTATGATATCAATGAGGTAATATTTGAGTCTCCAAAGGACTCTACTGGCCAACAACAAAAGTGCCTAACGTATTTCTAGGGAACAATTGTTTTCAAGTTTCTTAGAAAATTTGTCTTCATATGTATAATTCATTTTTAAACTTCCATTCAAAAGTTACAATAGATACTTCCTATAAGTTAAATAGACACAAAATTATAATGCAATTGATTCATTTAGAAAATTAGCTTGTTTAGAACAGGAATTCTTAACCTGGCATCAGTGAACTTGGATAGAAAAAATATGTAACATCTTCATTTTCATTAACCTCTAACTGAAATATAGCATTTTATCCATTGTAAGTATAAGCAATATATTACAGCAGTATTGACACTACACCTGACTTTGTCAGCTATAGAAATCTCAAATCTTTTTATGTCCTATTATAGTTTGATATAGTTTGGCTCTGCATCTTCATCCAGATCTCATGTTGAATTGTAATCCTCAATGTTGGAGGAGGGGCCTGGTGGGAGGTGATTGGACTTCCCCCTTGCTGTTCTTGTGATAGTGAGTGAATTCTCATGAGATCCAGGTGCTTAAAAGTGTGTAGCACTTCCCCCTTTGCTCTCTCTCTCCTGCTCCACCATGTGAAGATGTGCCTGCTTCCCCTTCACCTTCCACCATGATTGTAAGTTTCCTGAGGCCTTCCCAGCCATGCTCTGGTACAGCCCATGGAAATGTAAGTCAATTAAACCTCTTTTCTTCATAAATTACCCAGTCTCAGGTAGTTCTTTATAGCACTGTGAGAACAGACTAGTACAGAGTTGTTGCTGATGTCTTAAAGTATTTATGCTCATCACTTCTTTGAAATTAGTTATTACAGTCACCACTAGAATTTTTTACTTAATGTGTTAATGAAAAGCACATTACAGGTTTGGTTTAATACTTTGATAATGATATTTCAATATGATTGGTTTCTTCTGAAACTAAATACATACTTTATTTTGTGCATTTCAGAACATTATCCTAAAGAGGTGTCTGTAGGTTTCACCAGACTGTGGAAAGATTCCATGGCACAAAAGAGTTAGAATGCTTTTCTAAACCATTACTGAAGAATATTAGAGCCACTCACATCACTCTGCAGGTCATAGGCCTTCCGAGCCTGAATGACGTCATTCTGATCAGGCAGGCAGGTCCATTCATGCAGGGGATGCTTGTAGTCTATGTCGCTTACAAGGATCTGACACTTCTTGGCCAGCACCACCCCCAGCATGTCCACTGGGCTGCTGAACTTGGTCTTCCACTTCTCAAACTCCTTCTTGTACTCCCTGTCACTCTGGATCTTGGCCACATGGATGGACCACATCATCTTCGGGTCATCCTTAATGTTCCGGGCCCCAATATGGTGGCCAAGCTGTTTGCGGTAGCCTTCCTTGTACTTGTACTAAAAAAATAGAGATATGAGTATAATGACAAGAACATCTTATATAATCATGTTTCATAGGTTCACATTCACATTGTTTCTTTTTCTTTTCCCCAACACTATCATGAAGGAGAAAAGTGAGTATCATCAACCCTATTTTTAAAAGTCAAAACCTGAACCTAGCAGGGGTTGAGTGATTTGCGCAGTCACACCACAAGCAGGTGGCAGCATGAGCCTAGAATGAAGAGCTTCTCATTCCTAATATTTTTCCTCCTTATTATACCACACTGCTCAGTTTACATTTGATTCCTTAACAAGTAGAGGTAAATATATTGTACAATCTGATGGAGCATAACAATCTGATGGAAAATAACAGTTATTTTCCCAAAACTGTTTGACATTAAGAATATTTTAGAATAGTTCCCTTATTAGAACTTATAATAGACTTCTCAGTCAAGGATATGTGTTACATTTAGATAGAGTTTATGTGTCACCAGGAAATGGCTCTCTTATCAGCCTGTCAACATCACTGAACTTTCACTATGAGTCAGTTTATCTACCTTGAAGATTCCAGAATAACGCATTATGGTCCATTCTACCATGGTGTGGGCTTCTCCAGCTTAACAGCAAGAAAAGTTTTGATAATACGGTGTGTGTCCTTAACCTTGGCAAAATAAACTTCTAAATTGATTGAGATCTGTTTCAGATACTTTTTAGTTTACAGAAGAAATGAAACATATGTCTAAGGCATGAGGCCCTTCCAGAAGAGGGAAAGTCTGGATTTGAGTCCTAAGGAGGCTTGTTACAGAATGAGGACACTGGCCACCCTTAGGAGGTGTTTCGCATGTGAAGAAAAGGAGTAGAGAAGAGGCAAGCGGGTACTGAGAAAAAGCTCTGCTTACTTTGCCACTTGTTCTTGTGTCCGGTGAGGGACATCTCACCAATTAGGAGTTACAAAGGACAAAACAAATCTCTAAGACATATCCATCTAGTTTTCTTTTAATGCAAGAATAAATAGAAGTAGTAAGGAAGAGTTTACATGTATATTGGCTGTTTCTCACATATTATTTAAAGGGAATAAATTAATCCCTTTAATTTCACAAACATCTAGGTCAACTGCTGCTCAATTATTTATTTATTTTTTTTGAAGACGGAGTGTTCAATTTCTGAAGCTCAAAAATATGAACCCATTTTTGGTGTCCGTAAAACACTTTTTAAAAAATAGTATGTCTCTAGTTTTGATTGATTGATGGGTATAATGGGTCTAGAATTTTGTGCTTTTCTTTTTTTCCATTTACAATTTTGTATAGGGGAAAATCACTAAAGGGAATTGAGACTTATAGGGGTAACTAAATTTCTAGCAAGAAAAACTCTAAAAGCTTCTATTTGTCAACATCTTTGAATAAGAAATGGCTTTTCCAAAACATCCACTTACATCACTAGCAATATCTCTTGAAGCCTTGGCTGCTTGGATTGGAATGGCATCCAGACGCAAGTCATAGCCTTCCTTCTTGGACTCTTCCAAAGCAAGTTTATAGAGTTTCTGTAGAAAAGAAAGTCATTACTCATTTACTCCTTCCATAAAAAGTGAAGCTGTTCATTATTAGTTTTTCTTTGTCCTCATTTAAACTTCAGAAATAATTCACAAAGTCAATCATTAGGGTGGGTTTATAGATAGCTTTGCCTCATGGGTGCTTAGGATTTTTAAGGCACATGTTCCAAACATTGGGATTTTACTGACTTGTAAATTTCAACAAAAAAATGTGGGGAAAAAATCAACATTTGGTTGGCAAAATTTTATTTGCCAAACAAGCAGATGTAAAAAAAAAAATTATTTACTGGCCGGGCGTGGTGGCTCACGCCTGTAATCCCAGCACTTTGGGAGGCTGAGATGGGTGGATCACCTGAGGTCATGAGTTTGAGAAGAGACCAGCCTGGCCAACATGGTGAAATCCCGTCTCCACTAAAAATACAATAATTAACTGGGCATGGTAGCATGCACCTGCAATCCCAGTTACTCGGGAGGCTGAGGCAGGAGAATTGCTTGAACCCAGGAGGCGGAGGTTGCAGTGAACCAAAATTGTGCCACTGCACTCCAGCCTGGGTGACAGAGTGAAACTATGTCTCAAACGTAACAAAACAAAACAAAACAGTATTTATTATTGTCATCATAATATAAAAGACACAGCATCTTAACACAAAAGAAGAATAAAAAACAAGGACAATATTTTAAAATGTACTCTATTCTGTTTTATGAAAAACTCAATGCATTGTGCTTATTTTTTCTTATTTTGCTGTGGACTATTATCTCGGACAATGATTCATATATGGACCTGGGATTTCAGGATCATTGCCCTTTTGAAAATGTTGGTTCTGGCAGAAATGCCTGGAAAAATGTTAACATCAAATGATTATCAGAGCATACTGGAGCAGCAAAATAATATGCGGCTTACTAACTCATCAGATTCCAACCCAGTCCTTGCCTACTTGCTAGCTGCTGAATAAAATAATGACTTGATACCCACAGTGACCTGTAGGGGAAGGTTTTAAAAGTATAATTCCTATGGAAATATTTATTCATAATCATTCAATTCCTGATAACCTGTTAATAAAATGGTAGCCTACTTTGTGGACCCACCACAAAGCTCAAAATTGAATCAAGTGAGAACTATCTCTTCTACTGAAAATGGTAGTTTGTAGTATGTGTAGTAAATTAGTCAAAACCTTTTCCTAAGGAAACAGCTACAGTGGTTCATTTTTGCCTTTCTGTTCATTACAAGATCAACAGTTTACTTACATCACTGTAGTTTATTCGGTTGAGTTTGGCTAACATGATTTCTGGTGTATCAGGCATGACATGAATAGTTTTCTTGTCATTGTCCCAGGCTTCAGTATATAAGCGCTACAAAAAAAAAAAAAAAAGAGAGAGAGAGAGAGAAAAATTATTTTGGTGTTCACAGATATTATTGTTTTGATTATGTGCCAGTCATCTCTCTTGTATACAAGGTAGAAATAAAATTATTAAAGCTGCATAAATTCCTTACCTTTGTTTCTTATTAAAATTCTTTCAATAATCTGTTAAAGGACTTATCGGTTATGAAAAGTATAATTGGATTGAAGTATTTAAAATAATTTATAGGAAAGAGTTATAGCACACAGTATTTTTTTTTTTTTGACAACCTACTAATCCAATCAGAAGCACACAGTACTTTAGGCTGGGCACGGTGGCTTACACCTGTAATCCCAGCACTTTGGGAGGCCGAGATGGGTGGATCACCTGAGCTCAGGAGTTTGAGACCAGCCTTCAACATGGTGAAACCCTGTCTCTACTGAAAATACAAAAATTTGCTGGGTGTGGTGGCAGGCTCCTGTAATCCCAGCTACTTGGGAGGCTGAGGCAAGAGAATTGCTTGAACCCAGGAGGTGGAGGTTGCAGTGAGCCAAGATCGTGCCATTGCACTCCAGCCTGGGCGACGAGAACAAAACTTAGTCTCAAAAAACAAAACAAACAAACAAAAGCACACAGTACTTTTAACAATGGTTTAATATTTTGAAGTATCACTAAGTAACTATGGTATTATAGTGGAAAAATCATTTAAGAAGGTATCATAATGCTTATTATTATCTTTAAAATGCAATAATATATCAGAATTTTTAAATTGTTCTGTGGTAACTTTCGGTATCTAACAGTGAGGATTGAAGACTCACCTTATTCATGTTTAAAGCATTGTTTTTTGCCAGCACCTGCTCCGGAGTGTCCGTTATACTGGTAAATTTCAGCGTTTCTGGACGCTGACGGTAGATAGTATCACTAAGTAATTCTCCAGCTCTCTTGGCCCTAACAACTTCCAAGGAATCAATCGGAACCCAGCCAATGCCTTTCATCCATTCAAGGTCTGACTTATACAAATTCTGCAGATCAACAGATAAGAAACAGATTTATTAATTAGTGTTTCAGATTCATAGTTACAAAATGGGTTATCCTAGAGAAACACAAAAATACCGATGAATAGTTAAGGTTCCTAGCATAGTCATTCACTCACTCACGCACATTATTGAATCCTAAGTGTATTTTTTTTTCTGAGCGTTTTTTTGGTACAGAGGAGTACAGCAAGAATGATAAAAGATCTTCTTTTAAAGTAAAAGACATGGTCCTGCCTATGACAGTATTACAAGATTTTTACAGAGAAGCATGCTTTTTTAGCCTTGGAAAATGTAGTCTAATAGCTCCAAATAAAACCACACACTGAGACTGATGGTGCGTGAGTACTGCAGTCAAAAAATTCTCACTTTTATTTCCATCTTCAAAAATCACAAAACTTCAAGTGTATAAAGGAAATGTGATGTTACAGAGATATGTTTGGTATTTCCTTAATTATTCATTTTATTTTACTCTCAATAGGACATGCTGAATGTTGATAAGTATTAGACGACTGGTTTCGAAAAACGTAAGAATGATAGAATTTTCCCATCAGTAAGTATAAAATGTAAATTAAAGTAATTTAGCATAATATGCTTTCCCTCTATCTCCCTACTGCCCTCTGCCAACAAACACACACATTTTTTTACTTCCTTAGCCAAAAGTTTGCAGTGATATATTTTTAAGGGCTAAGTTTCATCTGATTCAAACAAAGGAAGCCTGAATCCCTAGGAAGATTTATACCTGTTTAGAACTGATAATATTTACTTTGTTTCCTCTCCTACAGAGAACTTTTGGAGAAGAAAACAAATTGTAGTACCTCCAATGGGAAACTCCTTTCAGACATTTAATTGTAAATTGTTTGAAATATACAAACAAATTGCAGTTCATTGGCACTAGTCAGAACTCACAGACACGTTTCAGATCCGCTTTTAACATGCAGAGCTAACATCAAGGAAACTTACGTCACTCTGGAGGTCATAGGCTTTCCGTGCATGAATGATGTCATTCTGGTCGGGCAGGCAGATCCATTCATGCAGAGGATGTTTATAGTCCACATCGCTGACCAAGGTCTGACACTTCTTGGCCAAAACGATACCAAGCATGTCCACTGGGCTGCTGTACCTTGTCTTGTATTTCTCAAAATCTTTCTTGTACTCACGGTCACTCTGCACTTTGGCAATGTGGAGGGACCACATTATCTTGGGGTCATCGTGTACTGCTCGGGCGCCAATGTGGTGACCCAACTGTTTACGATATGCTTCTTTGTATTTGTACTGAAAGAGAGAATCCAGTAAATAAGAAGGAAGCACAAAGGGCTATTCCCTGTTGTTCTTTCTGTGGTGGTGCTTTCTATGAAATCTTTAAGGCAACAGAGGAGTTTCACTGGTCATGCTGCTGTAACGCCACATATTGGACTGTTGTGCTCATTGGCACATGTCCACAGAATAACCCCACAATGGTTCCTTTATATATGCTAGAGAATCATATGTTGGCAAAAAATGATAAAAAGTGAATACTGAAATGAAGAGTCCAATTACAGTAATAAACCATGATGGTGTCTCAGAAATCCATCATGTGAGTGAGCCTATTTAAGAACACACCTGGGGCGTATGTTTACATGGATCATTAAAATTTTCTAGCATAGTCTGAGAAGTAATTTCCTCTTCACAATTGATTTGGGAGAAATAGTTTTAAAATGGACAATTTCTGTTATTTAATAGGTAGAGAGTTTAAGTTTTACAAGATGAAAATTCTGGAAATCTGTTGTACAATAATATGAATATACTGAACCCCACCAAACAGTATACTTGAAAATGGTTAAGATGGTAAATTTTATTATATATATATGTATGTGTGTGTATATATATATATATATATATATATATATATATATATATATATATTTAACCAGAATTTAAACATTTAAAAACCTATAAAAATGAACAATTTTACTACTCTTGGATTAATTTTTAAGATGTCCAGGGATCTGATGTTTTCATTTTTAGGGTAAAGAAATATTGGTTCTGTGCACCACATAGAAAGAAGACTTTGTCTTTCCATGTTCATTTTCAAGTGATGGGGCAAACTCAGTTAAGCCTGCTTCTTTTCTGGCATCTTTGCCTTGAGTGTGTTCCAAGGAAGTTCCTGAGGTTTTGTGAGTAGCTCAGCATACACACATCTAGCTTTAATCGAGGCACTCACTCCTATTGAGCAAAGATCAAAAATAAGGAGTCAAATGAGCCACATTCCAGTCTAGGCTATGCCTCTGTGATGCTTGTGATCTTGGGCAAGTTATCTGTATCTCAACCCTCAGTATATTTGCCTATGCACTGAAGGGAGTTAAGGTGGATGATGACCAAAGAGACATCCAGCTGTATTCTGTGTGGCTGGCATGATGGTAAGAAATGTTAGGACTTGATCAGCTCTTACATCACTGGCAATATCCCGAGAGGCCTTGGCAGCCACAATGGGAATGGCATCACTTCTCAAGTCATAGCCTTCTTTCTTGGCTTCTTCCATGGCCTGACGATAGAGGCTCTGAGGAAAGAAGGAGTAGCTTTTAAATATAGAATTCACATTCACTCGAAAAGTATATTTTCTGCCAAAGGAAGACCACTTTTGGATGCAAAACTACATGAGTATGTTCAGCCTTAAATCAGAAAAAGAACTCTTTCTTTTACTTTCTGTTTATCCTTGGATATTTATTTAAATGAAAATTTCACATTCAGCAAGTTTTAACATCACAACCTCTCTTTGCACAAATCTTTTACACGTTATACATTAAATGAACACCTCTTAATGTGTTTAGATTGTTCACCATTTGCCCTTTTCATGAAACAATCAAGAAATGTTGATTTATTTAACTCCAAATTTGAATTGGGAACATTTTTACTAGCAGAGAACAGTATCATATAATAACATATAATAATACTACCACTAGGAGGATGTGTCCATAATCAAATTTAGTGCTGAACTAAAGATGTGTCATTCTTTCTGAATCTCTCTGTTAATGTTGATTTGCTCCCTATTATTTCATCAACTGCTGCAAGTTGTTCGAGGACATGAGGGTAGCAGGTACCAAAGATTTAGGAGTCAAAACTGCAAAACTTTTTTGACTTCTTCTGTGAATTGAGAAAGCACCACCACTGTTCAATTTCTGTGGCAGGACAGACATGCACAGAAGACAAAACACAAATGTTCCATGGAAGTGTCATTTGAGAACCACGCATTAAACAAATCATATATACCAATGGCTTTTAGCCCTTTTTGTGAACCAGTGATAAAAATTTTGACTGATTCTGTATCCTCTTAACGAAAAATTTTAAGTAATTGCCAACATCGGTATTCAATAAATCAAAACAAGATAAATATACAGTTTGATAATAATTTTTAAACATAAAAAGTAAAAATTTATTGGATCTCTTAATGAGACTTGTAGGAGCTCATGGTGGTTTGATTACAAAGTTTTGATGGGCAATAATGAATTAAGTTGTCTGGTAGAGTTTTGTGGGGTCTTTTTTATTGTTGTTTTTTGTTTTTTGAGACAGTCTCACTCTGTCGCCCAGGCTGGAGTGCAGTGGCACAATCTCGGCTCACTGCCTCCCAGGTTCAAGCGATTCTCGTGCCTCAGCCACCCGAGTAGCTGGGATTACAGGTGTGTGCCACCATGCCCAGCTAATTTTTGTATTCTTTAGTAGAGATGGGTGTTGCTGATCTCAAACTCTTGAACTCAAGTGATCCCTCCTGCCTCAGCCTCCCAAATTGCTGGGATTTCAGGCATGAGCCACTGCACCCAGCCATGTTTGGTAAAGTTTCGTTTTAATACTTTCAGACATGCATCATAGTAACTACTAGGATGAATATGACTATTTCTTTTTCTTTATTTAAAAAATGAAATCTTTATATTATCACACTTAGTCAAATATTTTAATGTATGTTTTAATATTTTAAAATGTATACTTTCCACCTTTTGCAAAACTTCAAACTTACAGAAAAGTTGCAAGAATGCTACAATGAATACCAACTATCCAATTTATTAACATTTTTGCCATATTTGCTTTCTCTAGCTCTCTCTTTATGTGTTTGTGTATTTCTTCATTTTACTTATTATTATTATTTTCAATTGTTGAACTGATTAAGAGAAAATTGTACACATTATGGCCTTCATCCTTGAATACTTTACCATGTATCTCCTAAGAATAAAGATATTTTTATATAATGACAGTATATGTATCAGACTCAGGAAATTTAATATTGATACAGTATTATTGTCTAGTATTATTCTCTTTTACTATCAAATATACGGTGAATATTCAAATTTCATCAAATGTCCCAATAATTTCCTTTATAGCAATGTTGCTTTTCTATCCAGAATTCAGTTCAAGAGAATGAGTAGCATTTAGTTCTCTAGTTTATTTCTTCACCTTTAAACCATGCCTTTTTTGTTTTAACATGAGAGAAGAGTGATTATGAAAGAAGTGGGATGCCACTCAAGCTGTAGGGGCATTCTTGGGCAGATAATTTAGAAGAGTGTATGTATGGAAGTTGAAGCTATGTTAACTGATTTACTTAAAACGATCCATGCCAGTTTACCCCTTGGAAAGCCTTTGTGTAACCTCAAGGATGGTAGGTAGCTGAGGTTTGAAAGCAGCTCATCTATATCCAAATACAGCCTTTAGATCAATCTATGATTGAACAATTTAATCTTTAATTTCACTTTCCCCCTTTCCTCTTTTAAGAGGTTTATTGAGTTAGATAAAGCAGACACAGTACCAGTAGATAGTTCTGGAAAAGAATTTAGAAATAATGCATGGCTTTAAGGGAAAAACTACAAAGATTTACAGTTCTATAAAGCTTTATCATCCCTCTACTTTATACTGTTCAGTGTACTTTTCATTGCTGAGCCTGTGTAAAGACAAAATCTTAAACATAAGGAAAATCCCTAAAAAGTGTGATACAAATAATTAAACTTCATTTTTATACCCCATTCTCAAATTAGATTGAATTAAGGATACCGGACTAGTATCTGGATTTTAAATATGCTACAGATGCATTTAATATTTTTTAATATTTTTAATGACTTAAGACTCTTACAGGGTCACTATTATGTTTATAAAGTGGATTATTAAGATGTGTCAGTTTATAGTCTTTTCAAGATGAGATTTTATAAGAAAAAGCTAAAGTAAAAATAAGAATCAATTTAATATCTTTGAGATAAATTCCAGAGGGAATCTGTTTTTCTTCAAAATTTCTAGGAATGTTTCTTTTGAAACTGGAAGGTCAAATACTTTATTTATTACATTTTTTCTTTAGGAATAAATGTTCATATTTTAAAAATGGTATAAGTGGGAAAAAATGTGCTTCAATCATCTCATGGCTTCAGGCCAAAAAAATAGAGTTCTTTAATTCTTTCAGCATTTAAAAAAGATGCAGTGCTTCAAAGGAGAGAACACTTTTAGCTATCATCAGGGATGTATTTTAAAGCTTGTTACTTAAGAAAACTAAAATAAGTAAATGAGAATTTAAGAGGAAAAAAACAGATGTGTTTGTTTTGTTTTACATTTATGCAATGAAGGAACCACGGGCAATGGGTTGAGAAGAAATTCTAGTGGGCCATTCTGAAATGTGATCTTAGATTCCTCAGAGAATCAACATCATTATGCAATTTTATTTTTATTTATTTGTATGTATTCATGGGGGATGAGTGCAATTTTGCTACATTAATATATTGCACTGTGGTGAAGTCAAAGCCTTCAATGCATGATCATGCAATTTTAAAGAAAGTAAATCCAGCTGAAAATTTTAGAATTAAAAAATAGCCCAATATCCTTGCAGCAGTCTGAAAAAAAAATCTACTTCAGTTCCCCTAATGTAAACAAATGAGAGAGGATTAAGAGCTTCATTATAATCTGGAATAGAAACTAACTTCATCTGCCTTGGATAAAATAAACCTCCTGGGAGAAGATAATCCAACTGAGAAGCTCTGTGGCCAAGAGAAAATGGCCCATTCAAAAGTGACTGAAGCCAAGGCCAATCAAATATCTATAATCAGGCTTGTCCTTTGGTCTGTTTTATAATGCTGGAGAAAGTGAAATCATACCCTCTCCATTTTTTAAGGCTACATTATTATAGGCAAAAGTAATTATTATGGGTAAAGTAATAAATTTGGTCATCTTAAAAATTAGTACTTAAATTTTTCAGTGCTCTCAAACTGAAGACAACTCTGCCTTCCTTTTTCTCTAAAAAAAAATGAAGACACATAGACATGTTTAAAAAATTAGTATCCTTCTTGAATCAACCATATACATTTTTGACTTTGGCAAGAACAATTGAGCAAGACGCTATTTATGCAGCAGTATTTCTGGACTGCAAAGATATGCAATGACAAGTTTAGCAAGGCTGAAGATAGTTCATAAAAGAATGTATTTTATTGTTCTCAGGCAATTTGAAATGGGTGAATTTAAGAATTCTCATTTCAGTTCTTGTAAATAAAGCTCAAGTTATTTTGAGCACATTAAATACATCTAATTTTCATGGTGACTTGAGCATAAAGGAGAGACATTAAAGTTTATTAAACAAATACTTTGCACCAGGCTTCACACTGGGCATGTTAAATATTTTACCTCATTTAGTCATTCTTTAAAAATTCTTTAAGGTAAGCATTTTAATCCTATTTTACAGATGAGGTAATTGAAGAAAATAAACTTGCCGCACAAATTTTGAAGCAAGTACTAATTTGATGAATAGCAAGAATTATTTTTAATGAAAATTATGTTTTAGTCATTAATAGTTGACTTGAGATATTTTTTCCCTCCTGAAATGAAGATATTTTTGTGTCTGTCTGTCTATCTGTCTGTCTAATCTATCTACCTTTCTATCTGCCTATTTTTTAATACAATAATATGTATATTCAAGGTAGGGTAAATGGCATAAAAAGCCAACTAAGCTAACTGGCTTACATGAGGATTAATTTCATAATTCTCACATTCCTACATCGGCAACAATCAATGTGGCCAGACCAAAGAAATAAAACAAATGATCTTACCTCACTATAATTTATTTTATTTTGTCTTGCCAACATGATTTCAGGTGTATCAGGCATAATATGGACTTGGGTCTTGTCTTTGTCCCAGGCTTCTGTGTATAAGCGCTGTGAAGGATAAAAAGGTTAATGAATTAGAAAAACAGTTTGTTGTAAACAGGAGTTTTCAATTAAGACACCATGACAAAGTTGAGAGCCAGCTTTCTTGCTGTCTGTTCCATGTATGTTAATATTCTTTTCAACCTCTTTGATTTTACAAGACATTTATTGTAACAAAATATAAATGTATACTAAGATATGAAAAGAAAAATATATATATACATATAATCAAACACACACACACATATACACACCCACGTGTGTGTGTTTGGTAACCAGGTCACTCTCACCCCAATTAAATAAAAAGCAAGTATTTCTCAAGCATATATTCACATCCATATCTGTAGTATGACTATATTAACAAATCCTTCCCATGATTTTATTTGTTTGATGCTGTTTGTTGTTAGTTTATTAGCTGCAAATGTACCTGTATGTGCTATCTCTAGATTTCTTTTTGATAAATGTTATGAAGATTTGCATCTTTCTTTTTTTTTTTTTTTATGAGACAGAGTTTCACTCTCTTGCCCAGGCTGGAATGTAGTGGTACAGTCACAGCTCACTGCAGCCTCAACCTCTCCAGGCTCAGGTGATCCTCCCACCTCAGCCTCCCAAGTACCTAAGACTAGAGGTGCGTGTCACCACACCCGGCTAACTTTTGTATTTTTTGTAGAGACAGGGTTTCAACATGCTGCCCAGGCTAATCTCAAACTGCTGAGCTCAAGTGATCTGCCCACCTCAGCCTCCCAAAAGTGTTGAGATTACAGGTGTGAGACACCATGCCCGGCTTGCATCTTTCTTGTTTGCTCTGTGCTTACCTAAATAAGTACTCAGCAAGAAAGAAACCATACCAAATCATATATAACTAACTCTTATAGACTTCAAACAATTTGAACCCATAATAGCTGTCCCATTCTTTTTTTTTTTTGAGACGGAATCTTGCTCTGTCGCCCAGGCTGGAGTGCAGTGGCGCGATCTCAGCTCACTACGAGCTCCGCCTCTCAGGTTCACACCATTCTCCTGCCTCAGCCTCTTGAGTAGCTGGGACTACAGGCGTCTGCCACCATGCCCGGCTAATTTTTTGTATTTTTAGTAGAGACAGGGTTTCACCGTGGTCTCGATCTCCTGACCTCATGATCCGCCTGCCTTGGCCTCCCAAAGAGCTGTGCCATTCTTAACTCTGGCTATTTCACAAGAGATGTCAAAGCAGAAATGCTCCCATATATTGTTATCTAACAGAATAGAGAATTCAACTGAATCACTATACATTGGATAGCAATTTAATTGGATTTAAAAAAGAGACTAACTTAATTAACAATAGGTATCTTGAATGACATATAGCCCTGTCTTATTTTCCTACAAATTGGGGGCTCACCTTGTTCATATTGAGAGCATTGTTCTTGGCCAGCACCTGCTCTAGAGAGTCAGTCACACTGGTAAATTTCAGCTTGTCCGGAGGCTGGCGGTAGATGTTATCACTCAGTATTTCAGCAGCTCTCTTGCACTTGACCACATCCATAGACCCAATGGGGACCCAGCCAATGCCTCTCAGCCACTGGAGATCAGATTTGTAAATGTTCTGGAGAGATTAAACACAAAAGCGAGTATTACTGAAGTTGTTTTAACATGATTTCAAAAATAAAAAAATAACACTAGAAAGCTTGGATAGTCAAATTTCATGTATACGTTCTTCAATATATGAAGGCCAAATTGAATACAGTCTCAGGTATTACTTTCTTTCTCTCCAAAAAAAGTAAGGGGAAGAGTTGCCTAAAAAATGAGCAGAGAGAAGAAATGTCATCCCTTCTGAAGGTTCTACCTAATGCTAGACCACTGTCTCAGTATTTCTATGAATTACTATTATGAGCACAGTTACCATGGATCTTAATTACTCACATCGCTCTGGAGGTCATAGGCCTGCCGAGCATGGATGACATCATTCTGGTCGGGCAGGCACGTCCACTCGTGCAGGTAGTTCTTGTAGTCCACATCGCTGACTAAGGTCTGGCACTTCTTGGCTAACACCACTCCCAGCATGTCCACTGGGCTGCTGAACTTGGTCTTCCACTTCTCAAAGTCCTTCTTATACTCCCTGTCACTCTGGATCTTGGCCACATGCATGGACCACATCATCTTGGGGTCATCTTCAATGTTCCGGGCTCCAATGTGGTGGCCGAGCTGCTTGCGGTAACCATCTTTGTATTTGTACTGAAATAAAGGTGGTCATTTCAAAAATAAAAATGAATAGAAAGGCTTAGAAGCCTCATTAATTTAAAACTTTATTATTTTAAAATTGCTAATTCTTGCAGAGTAATGAAAGAATCTGCATATCAGTTTATCTCCTCATCCTAAATTCTTATTAGACTCTACAGCACTAATCTAATGGGCAGTAGTCTAATGCGAAGTCTCATAAATAGTCTAACAGCAACAGTCTAATGGGAATAGTCCAGTGGGAAGACAGGCCAAACTACATGGTCCTATGGCTTGTAGACGTTAAGTTTCTGAAAATAAAGGAAGCAACACTTTCCGGAAGATCTTTCGGTACTGTGTACTGCCATTTCTTCATCTTGGGCCCATGAAATCACTAACCCAGAAATTTTACATATGATTTTGAGACTGCTATTCCTGAGTCCACAGATACCATTTTATCCCTCCATCCAACACACCCACACTCCTTCCCAAATCCAGCTCTGCTGGGGCACTTGACTCCCTGAAGTGGTCTGGATTATATTCCCATACTACAAGCCCTGCTCTGTTGGAGATCAAATTTGACTGAGGTTTGTTTGGGATTCCTCAAGTGAAAAATGGAATATGTATCTACAAAAAAGCATTTTGTTGTTGGTGGTGGTAAGGGCAAACTGGATATTTTCTCCCTATTTCAGACAACACACCACACCAATCCCAACAAATATTTACAGAAGTCCGAATTTTCAGCTGGGCATAGTGGCTTATGCCTGTAATCCCAGCACTTTGGGAAGCCGAGGGAGGCGGATCGCCTGAGGTCAGGAGTTTGAGACCAGCCTAGCCAACATGGTGCAACGCTGTCTCTACTAAAAATACAAAAAATACTAAATACTAAAAAAAAATTAGCCAAGTGTGGTGGCTGGTGCCTGTAATCCCAGTTACTTGGGAGGCTGAGGCAGGAGAATCACTTGAACCCGGGAGGCGGAGGTTGCAGAGAGCCAAGATCATACCATTGCACTCTAGCCTGGGCAACAAGAGTGAGACTCTGAGACTCTGTCTCAAACAAACAAACAAACAAACAAAAACAAAAGAAAAGAAGAAGAAGAAGAAGAAGAAGAAGTCTGAATTTTCCACCAAAGAACCCACCTCTTTCAGAGATGGCAGGAGGAGAAATTAGGTTCACCATTTTCTTGTTTTCCTCGTCTTTGTCTTTCTGTTTTCATTTTAAAAGAACTCAAAAGGAAGGATTTAAGATAATTTTCCAAAAAAAAATGAGTTGGCAAAAACACAGAGCAGATTTGGGGAAAGGTGGATTTTCCTAGACTTGGTTCTATCAGCTCTTCTTCTGATATTGAACCAATACATGTAACTAAGTTATTTTTTAACACCTCTTTTGCCATTTTCTATTTTCTGTGAGGCTCTATGCTCAAAATATGGAGATGAATTTCTCATAATTGTAGATATGAAAAATTATAGAATCACATCCAATTTTATACTGCATTGAAGTATACTGGTTTAGGTTACCCCCTTCCTACCTGGGACATAGATACTGAAGTCTTCCGAAGCTTAAAACATGAGTTTTTTCAAATGAAAAACTTTGAATTTGAATTTGATTTAGAAAAACAAGCCAATAAATGTGCTTAAACTGGCCCCCAAATGTTATAATAGTAATAATCCTGCCTCCCCACTTCATCCATCCATGTAAATATCTAGGGTGTTGCTACTCACATCACTGATAACGTCCCTGGAGGCCTTGGCAGCCACGATGGGGATGGCGTCACTTCGCAAGTCGTAGCCTTTCTTTTTTGCTTCTTCATTGGCAAGTTTGTATAGAGTCTATGAAAAGAAAGGCAAAGAGTTAAAGCAAAAGGTTTGACATCAACAATTCAGAGATTATTAAGTGACTTATATCCTAAAATTTAAAAAAGGATAGGAACTGGAGACAATTCAAGTTTCTGGCAATAGTGGAAAGCAAATAAATTATATTCTACCAAAAATACTATATAGCGTTAGAAATAAATGGGATATATCAATGAACATTAATATATAGTGATATATTAACCTATTATATATCATTATAGATTAATATGCTATACATAGATCAATATGATGTACATATCAGCATAGATCAATACAATCTAGTAATACAGATTGATGAGCAAAGCAGCAATCCAAACATACCACTAAGTGAAAAAAAATGGTAGAACAATGTTTAATATCTATCTATACGTATAAAAATATATTTTTATTCATTTTTATTACCTACAATTTGTATGACAATCATATTTTATAATGTTTAAAAGACAAATAAGAAAAATTAAAATATAACAAAATATAGTTAACAACCATAATCACAACTTTCTAAATTTTGGTTGTATCATATTAATAAACCACGTGTCTATAAAATTGCATTTTACTTTTAAAAAAGTCAGTAATCAATGTTGTTGATAGAGAACACTTCTTCCTTATGCCTAAGGTTTTCTTTCTATAGACAAAGCTCAGTTATTTTAACTGAGGCCTTTTCTGCCCCTTTACTCTCTCTGCCCTGGAAAGGTGCAGTGATTTACTGATGTATCTAATTGGTAGGGATGGAATTAGTGGGCATGAATATTTTGGCAGAAATAATGGGCCAGTATTTTATCTGACAATCCTCTGAAGTGTCTAAAATACTACTCAGTCCCACTGACTCACTGGAAATCACCACGAACAGAAAAGACATTGTGACTTCAGTTTGCCAGTGGAATCCCATAAAATGTAATATTTAACCCAGAGATGAAAGGTTGGATGAGTGGAGTGTTAAATGAAAGAGCCACATGCACCATGACAGCTGAGGCCCAAGAATCTCCACAAAACTAAGTATAGACACCACCACCACAATATAGCACCACAGATTTTTGCTCCTACCTCACTGTAGTTGATTTTGTTCTGCCTTGCCAACATAATCTCTGGTGTATCAGGCATTATGTGAATTTGAGTCTTGTCTTTGTCCCAGGCCTCTGTGTATAAACGCTATAAAAGAAGATAAGATGCTGATTAAAAATCATTTGAAATAGAAATGACAAAAAGTTCATTTAAAACTGTTATTACTGACCTAATTAGGAAAAATAAGCCAGACTTGAATATAAAGTATTCTACTGGAAGTGTGAGTCTTATTACTAGTTATCAAGATTGAAACTTGGAATAATCAAAATTATTTAGAGGATTTCAAGCATGTAATTTAAAAGGTAAAAATGCGACCCCACGCCTTCATAGATAATTTAGACTCCATTAGTCATTAAAGTATAATAACATCTTCTGGCATCTTGGAGAAGCTTAAGGCAGCTAGGACTCACCTTATTCATGTTGAGAGCATTGTTCTTGGCCAGCACCTGCTCTAGAGAATCAGTCACACTGGTAAATTTCAGCTTGTCCGGAGGCTGGCGGTAGATGTTATCACTCAGTATTTCGGTAGCTCTCTTGCACTTGACCACATCCATAGACCCAATGGGGACCCAGCCAATGCCTCTCAGCCACTGGAGATCTGACTTGTAAATATTCTGAGCAGAGGAAAAAAGTCAAAAACTCTTCATCAAGACCACAATATTTAGGGTAAATATGCAAATAGAATCAGTAATAAAGTGCAATTCTGTTTTCTATTCGTAGAAAACAAGCGCGTTGTATAAGGCAAACTAAAAGAATTATGCTCAAAAATGACCCAGAAATATCTCCTAGCCATAATAAAAAGTTATCAAACATTTCAGGTTATTAGGAGAGGAGTGATCCCAAGTAATATCTTCTGTCAGTTGGTTCAGTGAACATTATCATAATTATAACATCCCTATGCAGGGAAGAATACCAACCCAGAGAGACAGAAACCACACCCGTGCCCAACATCAGGCCCTTAGTGAATCAATTTTAGGCCGAGGCAAATGGAACACTCTGAAGCCATTAAAAGCTTCACTGTTGAAGAATATTTATGACATGTAGAAATGTCATTAATACAATATGAAATTTTAAAGTAGCACATAAAACAATGTGGGTAGATAAATTACATGAATAAGAGTGGGTTTTTCTAGTGGTTGGATTGTTTTGGATTCTTATTCCCTGCGATGTATTCTTCTATACATTTCAAAATATCTGTAATGCCTTTAAAAACACAGTTAAAATATAACAGTGCTGTAGAACCCCTGAAGCCCTGAGATCTTCAACAGCTGTAACTCTGTCCAAGATTCAGGGCAATAAAATTTAATTATTTATTAAATGGACAATTTCATTGTGCAGGGCCCCAGTCTCTTCCTCACCAAGTCCTCAGGATGGAAGCACAGACACCTATATAAAATCATATTGCCATATTTTTCTCACTTTATTAAAAAATTTTTTTTTGCTGAAGGTTTTTATATACCCATTAGATATTCATAACTGCTTCACAATCATAGTTTTGAATCTTTGTTTGGCTCATTGGAAAGATTTCACCTGTCACAGAAACTAAGTAGAAAATAAAAAAACTTGTATTTTGTAGTCTAGACAAAAAAAAAAAAACTATTAGAATTAGCCTGTGCTGACTAGTTATTGCCCCACAAATAACAATAGCAAGAATGAAAACAGGACAGGTGTTGGGGTCCACGCCTGTAATTCCAGCACTTTGGGATGCTGAGGGGGGCAGATCACCTGAGGTCAGGAGTTGGAGACCAGCCTGGCCAATATGGCGAAACCCCATCTCCACTAAAAATACAAAAAATTAGTGGGGCAGGGAGGCAGCAGCCTGTAATTCCAGCTGCAGGGAGGCTGAAGCATGAGAATCACTTGAACCCGGGAGGCGAAGGTTGCAGTAATCCGAGATCGCGCCACTGCACTCCAGCCTGGGCGACAGAGGGAGACTCTGTCTCAGAAAAAAAAAAAAAAAAAAAGAATGAAAACAATAACAGTTTATACCTCCAGAATGCTTTTTAACTTTCAAATACTTCCCACATTATGAAGGTCATATCGCAGGGTGAGGAAGGTAATCCAGAGAAGGTGCCCAACAAATAGACAGATGGTAAGCAATCTGTCAATATTGTCGTTGTATGGGTGACATCAACCCTTTTAAACTATCTTTTCTGTGCAGGCAAAGCCTTTCTTTTTGGAAAGAATTGCAAAACACAGGGTTCTGTATGTCAGAAGCTACAGAACAGACGTGGGAGTTTTCTCAGGTAGGCTGTAAGTTTTTAGGAACAACCAATTAATGTATAATTATTACAAATTAGTTTTAGTTTCCAAAACTTGCTAGTGCTTTAATTCCTTCAAAGTTTATAAAATACCTAGTGCAGGAAATGTGCCTCTCATATCCAGATTTGAGATAGTGTATCTGCTTCCAATAGGTAGTAGGCTCTGTCATTACCATGTGGCTCCTCCATAGACAGCCAGGCTAAGAGGAAGTGTCTGTGAAACAGTCCAGTAGTGTACAGACACAGAGACTTCTTTTATTTCATAAGCATAATATTTAGTGTTGCAGTAGGCATTAGAATTCAATAATTCTTTGGTTTGCAAAGAAGCCAAAAACAAATTCCACAGTAATTTCTTTTTAAAGTAAAAACGTTTCTTCCTTCCTTAAAAAAAGAATAAATGTCTCCCTCTAGTGGACCCTGAATTCTAATGTTACTTAATTCCCATTTTGTTTTTATAAGACCAAGTCCACTTTGTTAATTTTACTTTCTTATGAAGTCTATTAGTGTATTCATAATAAAGCAATAAAATTGTATTCTGATTTAAATCTTATTCATGGACCAATCAATCTTAACTTGAGTAATGGATTGTATATAAAGGATAATTTTCACATAGTTTAAATTATTTCTATGCACAGCTCCATTTATAGATGCTGTACTCACGTCACTCTGGAGGTCATAGGCCTGCCGAGCATGGATGACATCGCTCTGGTCAGGCAGGCATGTCCACTCGTGCAGGTAGTTCTTATAGTCCACGTCACTGACTAAGGTCTGGCACTTCTTGGCCAGCACCACCCCCAGCATGTCCACTGGGCTGCTGAACTTGGTCTTCCACTTCTCAAAGTCCTTTTTGTACTCCCTGTCACTCTGGATCTTGGCTACGTGCATGGACCACATCATCTTGGGGTCATCTTCAATGTTCCGGGCTCCAATATGGTGGCCAAGTTGCTTGCAGTAACCATCTTTATATTTGTACTAAAATGAAAATGCACAAATCAGGTTTTTATTGTAACCCCTTAGAGGCCACAAGTCTGTGCAAAATCAACTTGCTTACATCATACTTCAACTGACTTTTGTTAACAAGTACTAACTCAAGCCAGTATCCTGGCTTTCATCCTGGAAGCCCTTACAGAGGTAGAAAAATAGATGGAATTCATGTAATTGTAGTATATACCCCAAATCACCTACAGCCTGGTACTAAGGGATACCTCTGAAAACAAGAAGTGCATATGTGGGGAAAAGGTCACCTGTGGAAGTCAGGGAGAGAACATTTGAACCAGGGAACCTGTAGAATTGGATTCTATACACTAAAAGCATGTCAGGAAGAGGGTGCACTTGGTAGAATGGTGTCTTTGATAAACAGTAAAATGAGGCTGGGCACGGTGGCTCATGCCTGTAATCCCAGCACTTTGGGAGGCTAAGGCAGGTGGATCATGAGGTCAGGAGATCAAGACCATCCTGGCTAATATGGTGAAACCTCGTCTCTACTAAAAATAAAAAAATAAGCCGGGCGTGGTGGCGGGCGCCTGTAGTCCCAGCTACTTGGGAGGCTGAGGCAGGAGAATGGCATGAACCCAGGAGGCAGAGCTTGCAGTGACCCAAAATTACGCCACTGCACTCCAGCCTGGGTGACAGCAAGACTCCATCTCAAAAAAATAAAATAAAATAAAATAAAAACAGTAAAATGAGTGACTGATTCCTGTAAGGATCACCTGTAGTAGCAACCGAGGAGAATTTATTATTATTATTATTATTTTACTAGATTCATGCATTCAATGGCAGTGGCAAGCTTTTGGCATCATTTTGAAAACTGATTGTACTTGTAAAACTGACATAGCAACCCAACTGGTTAGATTATGCTCTTAATAAGGTCATGGGTTCTAGCCTCACATGTATCAACAATGTTTTTATTATTCATGTCCAATGACTTCATTCTGGAATCTAAGCCAGTTATCCAAAATACATGCTTCTAGTCTCAAAGACAACTGACCGAGAAAGTGTAGGTGAGTCAGCAAGAGACAATATGGTACAGTGGAAAGGAATGAGATTGTTCAGAGTCCCAACTCCCCCACTCACTAGGAGTTTGATTTGAGGCAAGTTGCTTAAACAATCCTCAAAATGGGGATAATGATAATATCTACATCCTAGGGCAATTATGAAGAGTAAGTGAGACAATGCATATAAAGCTCTTAGCAAAGAGTTCTCAATACTTCTTGGTTATTATTATGTCATTATTTATTATTATTGGCATAAGTCCATTTGCTGGGAGGGTCCAACATACATAAAGTTGAGTCACTAACATAAGATTCCAATATAAAGGACAGCAAGTGGGCCTTGATTTTTAGAGCCGTCATTTGTTCCTCAAGAATCCCTGAGGCACCAGAAAAGGATGACAGTTTTGCTCTGGGAGACGTGCTAAATGGCTAGGAGCTATTGCTAAGAGTGTGACCTCACGCTTGTAAAACCAGCACTTTGGGAGCCTGAGGCAAGTGGATCACCTGAGGTCAAGAATTTGGGACCAGCCTGGCCAACATGGTGAAAACCCATCTCTACTAAAAATACAAAAAATTATGGGCGTGGTGGTGAGTGCCTGTAATCCCAGCTACTCGGGAGGCTGAGGCAGGAGAATCGCTTGACCCCAGGGGGCAGAGGTTGCAGTGAGCTGAGATCAGGCCATTGCACTCCAGCCTGGGCAACAAGAGCAAAACTCTGTCTCCAAAAAAAAAAAAAAAAAAAGAGTGTAACCTTAGGTCAGCAGTCACCTCTGGTACTGATCAACTGCCTTCTTTTCATAAGGGCAAATTTCAATAGCAAGCACCGCATGTGTTTTAAAATACTATCTATTCAAATGTTACATAAAGCCAGGCCCTGAATCTCACTGGCAGAACCTAAGTTTATGAGTTATATCTTCTATAAGCTTTTCTATAAGCCGGTGATAATTCTTACATAAGCATCTCCAAGCCTGCAGCTTCACTCTAACAGGGTCCACATGAATGAATCTTTCTCTATTTTTGGTTGACCAGTTTTCACAGAAGACGCTGTGTCCTGTAGGTTACAGATCCCTCTTATAAACATCAAGATTTTCATTTCCCTTAAAACTGAGGTTTTGAAAAATCCTACACAAATATATCAGGATATATTTTCAAAGGTCCAGGAAAAGTTCTTTTCTAAGATTTAGTTCAGTGAAAATGCCACATTAGATTGATCACATACTCAGAATGGAATTGACAACTCACGTCACTGATGATGTCCCTGGAGGCCTTGGCCGCCACGATGGGGATGGCGTCGCTTCGCAAGTCATAGCCTTTCTTCTTTGCTTCTTCATTAGCAAGTTTGTACAGACTCTAAATTTGGGGGAAAAAAAATCAGATGCTGACATTTATATCTAAAAACTGACAGAGGACTAAGACAATTCACTAAGTTCTCCACAGACAGTGCCTATAATAATCTTTCTTTTGAGAGTTCTAAGCCTTCTGCATGTTTGTTGAAGTGAAGACTCAAAAATGAGGCTAGGTGTGGTGGCTCACACCTGTAATCCCAGCACTTTGGGAGGCAGAGGCGGGTGGATCACCTGAGGTCAGGAGTTCGAGACCAGCATGGCCAACATGGTGAAACCCCATCTCTACTAAATATAAAAAAAATTAGCTGGGTGTGGTGGTGCATGCCTGCAATCCCAGTTACTTGGGAGACTGAGGCAGGAGAATTACTTGAACCTGGGAGGCGGAAGTTGCAGTGAGCTGAGATTGTGCCAATGCACTCCAGCCTGGGCAACAAGAGTGAAACTCCATCTCAAAAAACAAAACAAAACAAAAAAAAAAGATACCCATAAAGCCCAATGCACCTTTATTTTTTACTTTAAAAATTATGTTGAATTAAGTATATATACATATTACAGGTTGTTTTAAAAAATTTTAGTTAAAACAATAAATCCAGTTTAAAAATTACAGGAAAAATTAAGCTGAAACTCATAGTTCTAGCATGGTAAAATGTGGGTGGGAGGGAAAGGCTTAACTGTTGATCATGGCAATCAATTCAACTCACATTTATTCTGCCCTGACCCTGTGTCTCTGACTGTGCGGGGTACTTGGGAATCAAAGATGAGGTTGAGACCCCTCTCAACCTAAAGGTTCCTGGGAGAACTGATGGAGAGACTGATAACCTGTGGAAGCAACTGCTGAAAAGTCAAACCACACTAATAATGAAGAGCTCCAGGAAGGAGTCATTTATTCTGAACTGAGAATCAGGGAAGTTCTTGAAGATGGGGTGACCTTTGAGTTAGACTTTGAGCAGAGTTTCAGTAGACTAAGGTGGCATCAAGTGCAGAGGAAATCACGTGAATCAAGGCACCACTGTGGAGGGGAAGCGGAGGGGTGTTGAAGGAAGTGGGTGAGGCCCCAGGGAGGAGTTCACAGGAGAGGGCTGAGAATAGCCCAGAGTTGGACTGTGAACGCCTCATTCTAAGAAGTTGGTGTTTAATTCTACAGAAAATAGGAAAGCAGCCAAAAAGTTCTCTTCTTTTTAACATCAGAGGGGAGCGCCCATGGCAGCGTCCCAGTCTGGGTGGGTGGAATAGGGGGTTGCGGGCAAAATGGGGAAGGGCACCTGGGCCTCCTGGGACTGGCAGCCGAGTAGCCGCACTAACACATCTCTGAGCTTTTTCAGCAAAGACAGAGTTGAGAAATCCAGAAATGCTGACTAGCTAGACACAGGGGGAGCCCTTTGTTTCCTGAAATTCTTGCACATGTAATGCATGGTTTCCTGTAACAGGACCTATATTATAGGTTTGGCTAATAATTCAGTCCTTTCTGACAGGGGAGTAAGACTTGATGTTTTTAGTTTTTGGTGACAATTAAAAGCTAGCTATACAAGCACTAAAATTACAGTCTCACTTCCAAAATAATTACTTAAGATGGTGGCAATTCCATCTAAATTCTCTAAATTATGCTCTGTGTGTTGATTTATGCTGCCAAATAAACAATATTTTCCTTGCTGGTGGCACAAAGCCAGGTGAAATAACTAACACATCAGCTGACAGAATCTTAGATTCACAAAAATCTCCACAGGCTTATACCCACAGGCTCAGTCTAAGAAGAAGAAATTACAGAGATAAATGCCAATCTTTGAACAGAGATAAATTACCAAACGCATAAATGCAGGATGGAAGAAACCTAACTTTAGTCCACATAAGATGTCTTAGAGTTTAAGTTGGTCTCAAGTTCTGTGTGCACCAGCAGTGACAGCTGCCAATGTATCCTGGGAGCACAGGATGCAGAATAGAGGTCATATGTCCAGAAGAGGAAATACGATAGTTAAGTGTATTCTACATCAGTCATTCCCCACTCATAGTATTTTGCTCAGTTCTGAGAGTCACATTTTACTAGTGATGTCATGTGAGGAATGCCCCGCAGCTTGGGATATTGGATTTGAAGGTGAACCTGGGGTGAAGGTGGCAGGGGAGGCACCCTGGTGCTGCTCTCCATCTCTGGGGGTTGGCACAGATTTGTTCTGTGCAGCTTCAGAGGACTATGTGAGTTTACAGAGAGAAATGTTGTGACTCAATACATCAGAAGCTTTCTCATAAATTTTCCAGAACGAATGGACTGATTTATGAGATCAGCTCCTTGTCACTGGGAACCCTTAAGCAAAGGCAGGTCAAAAACCTATTTGTGGGGAGGGGTACCTTTGCACTAGGGTGGAGGCTTGACTCTCTGCCTAAGCCTCTATGATTCTGGAATGATGGCACGTGGCCCTGTGCACACTGAAAGTGAAAGGAAATGGGCTTGCTAATATTTACACTGACAGATATTTCTCTCTCTCTGTGTGTGTGTGTGTGTGTGTGTGTGTGTGTGGGTTACCTGGTAGTACTGTGGATTTTAGTTCTTGCCTTTAATCTTATATACTAAAAATCTTAAATTTGGATCCTAAACCACACTTAGGAACAATATATGGAAAATATATTTACTACAGTTATGCTTTAGCATAAAGGGGAGATACATGTATAGGTCAATTGCTAATATCCTAACTTCAAAAAAATAATAAAAGAAAATGGTCTACATAATCTCATGGTTACAGCTTAAATAATTAGTTCATGTCATTTGTATTTCCTAAATGATAATTCATATTGCATAAAGTTTGACATTTATGATGGTGATTGAGAAATGCAAGAGTTGTTATTCACATGAAACATGAAAAAGATTCTTTCTAAAGCTGTCATTTGGTATCATGTCATCATAGAGTAGATCAACTGAAATAAGCAGCAGTGTGCAAATGTCAAAGAATCTGCTCTCACCTCACTGTAGTTGATTTTGTTCATTCTTGCCAACATAATTTCTGGTGTGTCTGGCATTATGTGGATCTGAGTCTTGTCTTTGTCCCAGGCTTCTGTGTATAAACGCTATCAAAAAAAATACACAAATTCATCAGGAAAAAAGTTCTGTGTATAGTTAATAGGAATTTTAGGGCCACAAAAACTTTATAAAAAAAAAGAAAAGGTTATGTGTTTTATACACATTATGTGTTTTATGCACATCTTCGGGTAATAAGTTCATAAAGGAATGTGTATTTATAAATGCCTTCTAATAATCTGAAATGTATGTTAACAAAAGGAAAATGAGAATAAGCATATTTTATGCAGACTATTTTTTGATAAAATATGCTACTTTATCAAAATCATGAAACAATGACTAAATATCAAAATATACATGATATATATCAGTTATTAATAGATAGATGAGAAGCCAATAGATACATAGACAGATAGATAGATGCCTTTTATTACTCAATGTTCTTTCTTTCCTCATTAATGTTTCTTTTTTGTTGATTCAGCTTTAGGAGCCCCACTTCGATTCTTAATTTTGAAGTCTCACCTTGTTCATAGTGATGGCATTATTTTTGGCCAACACTTGTTCCAGAGAGTCAGTCACACTGGTAAATTTGAATCTGTCTGGAGGCTGGCGATAGATTTTATCACTCAAAATTTCAGTTGCCCTTTTGCATTTTTCCACATCCAAAGAGCCAATGGACACCCAGCCAATGCCTCTCATCCACTGGAGATCAGACTTGTACATATTCTGTTGACACAAATAGCCAATAAATATTTATCTCTGTATCAGCAATGCATTTTCATCTGAAGGATAAGAGATCAAGTAAAAGCACTCTCAAAATTTAGTTTGGTGGACGGGCCAGGTATCACACAATATTCCTCTTTGGTCTGAAGGGTTAAAGGATTAAAATTCCTGTCGATAAAGGCAATGCTATTTGCCTCCTCCAGGGGCTGGTGAGCTTGTGCCATATATTGCCATTTTCTCCAAGGGGTGTTAAATAATTTCCCACCTCTGCACGTTATTATGACTCTCAGTACTCACATCGCTCTGGAGGTCATAGGCCTGCCGAGCATGGATGACGTCGCTCTGGTCGGGCAGGCATGTCCACTGGTGCAGGTAGTTCTTGTAGTCCACATCGCTGACTAAGGTCTGGCACTTCTTGGCCAGCACCACCCCCAGCATGTCCACTGGGCTGCTGAACTTGGTCTTCCACTTCTCAAAGTCCTTCTTGTACTCCCTGTCACTCTGGATCTTGGCCACGTGCATGGACCACATCATCTTGGGGTCATCACGTATAGCTCGGGCACCAATGTGGTGGCCGAGCTGCTTACGATAGCCTTCTTTGTACTTGAACTAAAAGAAGAAAAAGACAGATAGTCATCTGTTTTAACTTTTAGTAAAAAGCAATCACTAAGCCTAACTTGCTCTATTTATTAAAAAAAAAATTTTCCCTGAATATGTAAATTATATGATAGATGTAGAAACAATTTAGAAAATAAATATAGCACATATCATCACATATGAAATATATATCTTATATAAAATATATACCATATAGATAGGCATTACTTTAATACATTCTTTAATGTGAAAGTCATTCTGTTAGAATTTAGAATTTGTTTTTAAAATATTTAATTTTTAGATGTATAAATTTCAGGAGATTATGCTGCAATGACAATGACAATAAAAATGAAATTCTCCTGCATGGGTTTTATATGCTCAATGATCCAAAATTTCATTGAGTATCTACTATGTGTCAGGCACAATTCTAGATAAGTACCGCAGATTCAATAAAAATTATCTTTGCCTGCAAAGAATGTCTGTATATTTATACACACAGAAAAAAAAGAAAAATTAAGATGTAATTCTGCCACTAAAATAATTTGTTATGATTCGTGTGTGAGAATATAATTAGAAGTCATATTGTATATGGGTTTGTGCCTGCTCTTTTCAGTTATTATATAAGCATTTCTATGTGTCATTAAATAGTCTTTGCACACATGACTGTTTTTTTTGTTTTGTTTTGTTTTGTATTTTAGAAAGCATCTCTCTCTGTTGCCCAGGTTGGAGTGCAGTGGTACAATCATGTCTCACTGCAACCTCCAACTCTTGGGCTGAAGTGATCCTCCCACCTCAGCTTCTGAGTAGCTAGCACTACAGGCATGCGCCATCACACCTGGCTAATTTTTAAGTTTTTTGTAGAGATAGTGCCTTGCTATGTTGACCAGGCTGGTCTCAAACTCCTGCCCTTAAGTGATCCTCCCGCCTTGACCTCCCAAAGCACTGGGATTACAGGTGTGAGCCATGGTGCCTGACCTATACACATGATTTTTAATGACAGGTAGGTATTTCATTATATGGTATTTAACCCTTCTGTGATTGTCATTTATTCTTAAATTATGATTACTTCCCATATTTTGGAAATAAAGAAAAAAATCTAGAGTTTTTTTTATTCATAGACAAAAGAAATGGAAAGATAAAAATTTTTAGAAATGTGAGCAAATCCTTTATTTATTATACTTTAAGTTCTAGGGTACATGTGCACAACGTGCAGGTTTGTTACATATGTATATATGTGCCATGTTGGTGTGCTGCACCCATTAACTGATCATTTACGTTAGGTATATCTCCTAATGCTATCCCTCCTCCCTCCCCCCATCCTATGACAGGCCCCAGTGTGTGATGTTCCCCACCCTGTGTCCATGTGTTCTCATTGTTCAATTCCCACCTATGAGTGAGAACATGCAGTGTTTGATTTTCTGTCCTTGTGACAGTGAGCAAATCCATCTTTTAAAGAAAGCAAATATTTGTAACCCACCACCTGATATAGAAACAAACATGTTCCACAGGAATCGTTGAACTTTGAGTAATGTGTCCTATAATTCAGCCCTTGTAGATTCATTGGTTCATACAGCATAGGTTGGGTTTTGAAGGAACCCTACAATAAGCTCAATTGTATATGAGAGATACATCATTGGAAAAGCCAAAAAAATTATCTGAACTATAGTCAAGTATCTAATACTTTTGTTCAGCAGGAAACGGACATGTTTTGAAATGCATGTTGCTATGGACTCAACAATAACTTGAATTTGGCCTTTCTGTTGATAACTCTATTACCATTATTTTAAACCATTCATCGAAACAATAAACTGTTAGCAACAGCTTTAACCTCATGGCTTACTTGTGCCACTATAAATCCAGGAGAGAGAAATAAATCTTTGAGCCAAAGCTAAGGCAAATAACTTTCCAAGTATACTTACTTCACTTGCAATATCTCTGGAGGCCTTGGCTGCCTTGATAGGAATGGCATCTACCCGCATGTCATAACCTTTCCTCTTGGCTTCTTCTAGGCCAAGCTTATACAATTTCTAAAATAGACATTAATAGTAAGTTGGATTTATAAAGTGCATTGTAAGGAAAATGTATCACGCACTATGAATATATTACTTACCTCACTGTAATTTACTTTGTTTTGTTTAGCTAATAAAACTTCAGGGGTATCTGGCATAATGTGGACAGTGGTTTTATCTTTATCCCAAGCTTCTGTATAGAGGCGCTAAGAGAAACAGAAAAACATGACTGGTATAGGCCAGTAATAAATAGACACATGCAGACAGTCTGATTTTTAATGAGAATCAAGAATTTCAGCTCAGTGAATCGGTATTTGTGACATTTTCAGGTCTAAATGTCTTGTGTCAATAAGAAGCACAATACTTTAAAACCACATTAGTACCAAGCAAAGGAATCAAAAACAAGTTTTCTTTTATACAAACAGACTTCAGTGTTTCCATAAACAAAAAAAATTAATAACCTCCTCAAACAAACATAGGACTTACATGATTCATGGTAATAGCATTGTTTTTTGCCAAAACCATTGGTATGGAATCCATAAGGCTGGAAAACTTAAATTGATCTGGGTGCTGACGGTAAACATGGTCACTCAAAATCTGGGTGGCTCGTTTATTTTTCTCATCCTCGAGAGAACCACTAGTCATCCAGCCAATGCCTTTTAGCCACTGAAGGTCTGACTTGTACAAATTCTGAAAGTGCAAGTGACAAATTTGTCATAATTAAATCATTTATCACAATTTGTCATAATTTGTCATAATTAAATCATTTGCCCCTAAATAAAAGTTCATATTATACTCTATATTTTTAATACTTGAATTATTAGAAAATTCTAAATTTTTGGTATGAATTATAAATCAACAAAATATTCAGATTAAAAGCATATTTTGAAAAACATTTTAAACAGAAGCACATAGGAAAGGACTCAATCCTTTGATTGTCTAGCTCGACAATCTAGAGGCTTCCACCAAAGCAATGGGGCTTTGCTGGCTCTTTCTTTGTGGAATAATGGTGCCTCCAGATGTCTGGGTGACTAGATGCGCTTGGGCATTAGTCCAGGGTAATTGTGTAAACTCAACTCTGCTCACTATGGGACTCTGATACTTTAAAAAGCAGACATAATGTTTTGTTGGCCAAAGGAAAATCTTAGACTCACATCGCTCTGGAGGTCATAGGCCTGCCGAGCATGGATGACATCGCTCTGGTCGGGCAGGCATGTCCACTGGTGCAGGTAGTTCTTGTAGTCCACGTCGCTGACTAAGGTCTGGCACTTCTTGGCCAACACCACCCCCAGCATGTCCACTGGGCTGCTGAACTTGGTCTTCCACTTCTCAAAGTCCTTCTTGTACTCCCTGTCACTCTGGATCTTGGCCACATGCATGGACCACATCATCTTGGGGTCATCTTCAATGTTCCGGGCACCAATGTGGTGGCCGAGCTGCTTGCGAAAGCCTTCCTTGTACTT
Organism: Homo sapiens; assembly: GCF_000001405.40. Classification (NCBI taxonomy): domain Eukaryota; kingdom Metazoa; phylum Chordata; class Mammalia; order Primates; family Hominidae; genus Homo; species Homo sapiens. The sequence continues at coordinate 151,644,127 of NC_000002.12, forward strand.
GTACTAGAGAAAAAAAATGTGTCTCATTCCTTTCAAAATTTACTTCTGTTGCCATCTTTGTGGCAAATTACAAAGCGCATTAACTCTAAATATTTTACTAAGCCTAGAGAGCCAAAGACTTCAGTCTTTTGATAAGAAAGATTAAAGGCTAAATTCAGCTATGAAATTCCATACATAATAAATGCATCCTTGATCTTATCCTCATCCCACACTGCATGGGATCATTTTATTCCACTGTAATTTGTTACCCCTTAGATTTTGTTCAATTTAAAATTAAATTGAGACTGCTTTGAAGTGATAAATTGCAATCAAATCAATATCAACAGAGGATAAAATCTTACTTCACTGGCAATTTCCCGGGAGGCTTTTGCTGCTTTGATTGGTATGGCATCAACAGGAAGATCGTAACCTTTTCTCTTCAGCTCCTCATAACCCATTCGGTAGAGTTTCTGTTAAGAAATGAAGATCATTTTGGGAAATACTGTTCCCCATAGACAAATATAGCATAATGATCAAATGTGCTAAATATTTTGAGTCCATGAGAATAGCATCTGTGCCCTAAAATACTCAAATGTAATTAGAAATTATGCCCATTGATTGCTAATGATCCTGTTTTAAACTTTAAAGCTCTTCAATTACCTAAATCAGCAAAATTGTCAGCTCTTCCCAAATACAGTCATGCATTGGTTAATGACAAAGATACATTCCGAGAAATGTATTGTTAGGTGATTTTGTCCTTGTGGGAACATCACAGAGTGTACTTATGCAATCCTAGATGGTACGGCCTAGTACACACCTAGGCTATATGGTATAGCCTATTCCTCCTAGGCTACAAACCTGTAGAGCATGTTAGTGTAGGCCACTGTAACACAATGGGAAGTATTAATATTTGTCTATCTAAATATAGCTAAACATGGAAAAGATACCGCAAAAATACAGTATGATTATGTTACGGGACCACCGTCCTGTATGTGTGCCTTTGTTGGCCAAACTGTTGTTATACAGTGCATGTCTATACTTGCAAGAATCAGGCAGAAGTAAAACAATAGAGAAATGAAATGGATTATTATTGAGGTGCTGTTTTTCAATTCACATGGACTGTTTCATTAGAAGTTTTTGTTAGAAAAGAGCATCTAATTCTTCTAATGGGGAAAAATCATGCCTAAGGGGTTATCTCTTCTATGTAGCTGATGCATTGTGAAATAGTCTGTCTCCCAAAATGGGACCATCCAAAATAGGATCCACATCTATAGGTAAGATACTGAGTCCACCATAATTTCTAAAACTTATGTTTTGAAGAAGGTTTAAATAATGAATTTTAAAAGCTTAAGTGAAAGAATTTGTTTTTTCAGATCTGTAACATAATTTAAAAATTGAGAATATGATTTAAATGTACTTTTATCCAGAAACCAGATTATTTAAAGTGCCTATTGATCTTGGACTTGTGTTTATCTGTCAGTCCTTCGTGGAACTACTTTAATACATTCTTTAATGTTAAAGTCATTCTATTAGAATTTAGAATTTGTTTTTAAAATATTTAATTTTCAGATGTATACATTTCAGGAGATTATGCTGCAATGATAATGACAATAAAAATGAGATTCTCCTGCGTGGGTTTTGTATGCTCACTGATCCAAAATTTCATTGAGTGTCTACTATGTGTCAGGCACGATTCTAGATAAGCACTGTAGATTCAATAAGAATTGCCTCTGCCTGCAAAGAGTGCCTGTCCACACTGGGAAGAGCAATATAAGCCACCTTATGATGATATGTATAACAACGGACTGCAAGGAACAGAGAATACAGACTCCCCATTCTGCCTGACATAGTGAGTACTAACATTTCGATATTCAATCTAAAAGCCACTAAATAAGGAATCTAAGTCATATGTAGTTAATTAATTAAAATAATTCAGGGATTCAGAGAACTTCTAGACAATTTCACTGATTTAGAAACAATTAAAATGAGCTTTCTGAAAACACATGCTGAATTTGAAAACTTACATCACTTGTGTTGATTAAGTTTGCTTTAGCCAGAACAATGTCAGGTGTATCAGGCATGATGTGGATCTGAGTCTTGTCTTTGTCCCAAGCTTCTCTATAAAGTCTCTAAAATAAGAAATAATAATTTTTCAGTGGTGTTGTTAGATTAGTGAATGATACAGTTGGCTTCAAACAGAATTGCTGAATTTATCTGAATTAAACATTATACAGAATTGATATAATAAGCAGACAACATAAGCAGAAAATAGATGCAATATTTCTTGACTTATCTGGGACATAACTGCCTTTCAACACAGAGATTATGGGTCACATTTTCAAAGTTACAGATAATCCTGCCTACAAGAAATCAATCTAGGTAATTACATGCCTTGCCAATATTATCAAATGAAACAGGCTTCTCCATCTTCTGGGTTGTGTCCCTCAGTGTTTAATTTAGAGGCAGCCCTTGCCTTTTCAAAAGATGTCTTATTCAAAGCATGCCTAGAAATCAGGAAGTTTTATTTCCTATGTGGCTTATTGTTATCACTATCATTATTTTGACACAGAGTCTTACACTGCTGCCCAGGCTGGAGTGCAATGGCGCAATCATGGCTCACTGCAACCTCTGCCTCCTGAGTTCAAGTGATTCTGGTGCCTCAGCCACCTGAGTAGCTAGGATTACAGGCATGTGCCACCATACCCGGCTAATTTTTGTATTTTTAGTAGAAACAGGGTTTCGCTACGTTGTGCAGGCTGGCCTTGAACTCCCCACCTCAGCCTCCCAAAGTGCTGGGATTACAGGTGTGAGCCACTGTGTCCAGCTTCTATGTGACTTAGTATTTATAGTTATGCCTCATAATCATTGTGAAGGATTAGGATTCCCAAAAGGATTTTTTGGGGGGGAATTTATCAAGATATCTTGGATGTCCCAGAGCCATCCTTATGTCTCTTCAACAGAAGACAAGGGGATCCAAACAAAAGTTTCACAGACTTACTAAAACTAATAATTTTTTTTTTTTGAGATGGAGTTTCACTCTTGTTGCCCATGCTGGAGTGCAATGGTGCAGTCTTAGCTCACTGTAATCTCCACCTCCCAGGTTCAAGCAATTCTCCTGCCTCAGCTTCCCAAGTAGCTGGGATTACAGGCACCCACCACATGCCCAGCTAATTTTTGTATTTTTAGTAGAGATGGGGTTTCACCATGTTGGCCAGGCTGGTCTCGAACTCCTGATCGCAGGTGATCCACCTGCCTCGGCCTCCCAAAGTGCTGGGATTACAGGTGTGAGCCATCGTGCCCGGCTAAAACTAGGAAAATTTGATTAAAAACAGAATATTTACACAGGGCAGAATATCTCCCTGCCAGATTACTTATCAATTACAAAGGATAAAATGGTTACTCAACAGTACAGCAACCTGGCACCATCACTTTAACCAAGTGTTTAAGTTATTAGTAATAGAACAAATTGATATCCTGTGCCTCCTGATATGAGGTACTGAGGAGGACACAATGTGTGATCTCCTGCTGAAAAGATAATCTGAGTCTATCACAGGAACCCACCAGAAAACCCAAATGGAGGGAGATTCTACAAAATAACTGACCTATGTTCTTTACGAATGTCAAAAACTTGGAAGGCAAAGAAACAGTGAGGAACTAGTCCAGAGTAAAGGAGACTAAAGACATAGCAAGTAATGCAACCTGTGGTCTTGGATTAAATCCTGAGCCAGAGAAAATATTTTCTTTTCTTATAAAGGATATTAGTGATAAAATTGAATAAATTCTGTAGACTAGCAGACCAGTGGAAATTAATTCTGTGATTTTAATCATCACAATGTGATTATGTGAGTATGTTCTTATTCTTGGGAAATACAGACGGAATATTTAGGCATCATGAAGCAATTTAATTTCTCATATAGATATATAGATATAGATCTGAGAGAAAGAAAGGGAGAAAAAGAGACAAAAAGAGAAAGCAAATGTGGTAAAATTTTAACATTTGGGGAATCTGGGTATATGTATGCACACACACATACACACATATGTGAATTACATGTACTATTTTTTCAACTTTTCTGAGTGCCTGAAATTATTTCAATAAAAAATTTTTTTGTCTCATTGATTCCTTAAACTTGTCCATTTCCCTTTGAGGTATGCAGCATGAGATGTGTGTGTCTGGCACTTTTCTTTTTCCTGCACATGTTTGTTATGGTGCATATAACCCAGAGAAGCCAATTAAGACCCTCAGCACCCAAACAAAGCAAGGCTTGTTAATTTCCATATGTGTGTATCCCAGTTCTGCACTACCCTTTTGGATTTAGTAACACCAGAGTTTCTCTTTAAAAAATTTTTTTATTTCCATATATTCATGGGGGCACAAGAGCAATTGCATTGTGGTGAAGTCAGGGCCTTCAGTGCATCCATCACTGGAGCAACACACATTGTACCCACCAAGCAAACAGCAGAGTTTCTCTACCTGCTAACCACTGATATTGTGTATGGATGATTCTTTGTTGTGGGGGCTGCCCCGTGCATTGTGGGGTGCTTAGCAGCATCCCTGGCTTCTACCCACTAGATGCCAGTAGCATGCCACTCCCCAGTTGTAAAAACCAAAAATATTTCTAGATGTTGCTAAATGTTCCTGTGGGACAAAATTGCTTCTGGTTGAAAGTCACTAAGTTAGATTATTTCTTCAATGGCATGTGCCACTTTCACCCCATGGAATGCAGAGAAAATGCTATTATTATTTACACTGGGATAGGTGTATCAGTTGATTCAGAAGGAGAGACTGCAAGCTCAAGGACCCCAGCTGGCCCGGGTTTTGTGTGGCAGTCCTGAGGCCTGAGAGCTCCATGTTTCAGCATTCCCCAAACTAGAGCACACTGCTGGGGAGTCCTGTCCCAGAACGTGTATATCGATAAACTTAATGATCTAGGGGTTCTCATTTGGTCACCTTATTAAGTTCAGATCTTTTTATCTCCTGTTTCATGGAAAGAAAAGAAACTTGGATTCCAACAAGGGGGAAACATTTTGTACAAATTTGTTGTTTTCTCATTTTGTTGGATTCTGTCATCATAAAAATAGTAAAAGAATAAGTAAATGCTTAAACATTCATAATGAAGCTGACAGGTCAGCATTTACTATACATTCTGGAAATCAGCATTATAAAAAGTCTGTGAGGGGTTAGTTAGGAAAAGAGGAACTACAGTTTATCAATGCTCATTCTAAGCTGATTATGGGCTTATATATTATATAAAACTTCTGATATATGATATATGTAAAGTGTATAGCATATTACATATAGTATATATATTCAGATCCTCCTAAGACCTACAGTACATATATTTAGATCCTCCTAATAACAGACGGTTATTATATATCTGTTTAAATCTTCTTACCAATTACAGATTTCAGGGCACATACTTCAGTATTCTGTAATGTTCAAAGTTAGGCTTTTAGCTGAGCAGTGTTGAGTAATCTTTCCCTTCTTTGCATATAATTACTCCACCCTGCTATATTTTATGTATTTTTTCAATGAATATTTATTGAGTACCTATTATGTGCTAGATACTGGTGTCAGAGCTGGTGAAGAAAATAAGTTGAAGATGGAATAGATACTTATTTACAGTGACAGAATTATCCATTTATCCTGATTCAGCTAAACTAAAAGCATTATAATCATTTGTCAGGAAATACACTCTTTATAACACATCCATTGTGCCTGTGTAAGGTACTCAGAATCTTTCCCCCTCATATACTCTACCCCAACAAAAAACATCTGGGTGTTTCATGCAGTCAAGTTTCAAAGAAAAACAGTTTGTTCGATCATTTTCCCATTATATTTTGGTTAAATAATAAATAAGCTTTGGGTGACAAAAACTGACACTGACCCATTTTTACATGATTCAGTGTAGGATAGTTGCTAATTCAAATAAAATGATCCAATATAAAATTTTATGTGGTGATGTATGAGGCAATGCTTTGTGGTTCTACTCATTTATTAAGCAAGTGCTATTGAGCAAACACTAGGTAGCAGGCACTATAATCTATTTATTTCCAGAGTGCTACTCACATCACTCCTATTTTTGGCATTTGTCTTTGCCAGAACTATATCCATGGCATCAGGAATGCTGGTGAACTTGTTTCTGTCTGGAGGCTGACGATATTTCTTCTCACTGATGATTTCCGAAGCCCGCTTGTTCTTTTCTGCCTCTAAAGAACCCAAGGGACTCCATCCTATGCCTCTCAGCCACTCAAGGTCAGATTTATATAGATTCTGTGAAAAGACAGAGCAAGCCATCAAAATCCCATTCTCACCTGGACCCTTGATTCAAGTGATTCTATGCATTACAAACAGATGCATTTTAGATTTTCAATAATAATTCCTAATTTCTGCTTCTCTTTGACTAAATAGCTACTCATATAAAATATGAATTAATATATAAACTATTGGATTTAATAGAAACTGACCTCACTTTGCAGTTCATAAACTTTCTTAGCTTGCACAACATCGTTCTGATCAGGCAGACATGTCCACTGATGCAGGTAGTTCTTGTAGTCCACGTCACTAACCAACTCCTGACACTTCTTGGCCAGTACCACTCCCAACATGTCCACTGGGCTGGAGAACTTAGTTTTCCACTTCTCAAAGTCCTTCTTGTATTCTCTTTCACTCTGCATTTTGGCTACATTCATGGACAACACAAGTTTTGGGTCATCTTGCAGACTCCGGAATCCAACATGGTGGCCAAGTTGCTTTCGGTAGCCTTGTTTGTATTTATACTGAAATCAGAGAAAACACAGCTCTTTTAGTACACAAAGGCCAAGTTAAGCTCAACTTGCTTTTTTTTCTTTTCTTTCTTTCTTTTTTTTGAGACAGGGGTCTATGTTTCCCAGGCTGGTCTTGAACTCCCAGGCCTACTTTTCTAGCTTCAGCCTCCCTAGTAGCTGGGATTTACAGGTACATGCCACCTCATCCAGCTTCAGTTTGCCTTGTTTTCATGTTTGTTTTCCAAAACTGAAATGAGAGAAGTGTTGTCTATGCTAACTTAGTATGGAATGTTTACTTACTTAAACTAAGCCTTGTTTACATGGAAGCTTCTGAAGAAATCTAATGTAATTGAGTATCAAGAGAGGTTATGATAAGAAATTAATTCTAACTAGATGCAGAAATATATGTTTGGTTGTGCTAGATATTGTGTATTCTGACTTTGGGGTTGTATTTAATACAGCTCTTGTGATATTCTTATGGAAATGATAATCCTTACGGGCTAAATGGCAGAAAAATCAGGAAGATACATGACTAAGTAAATACGCCTAATAATGCAGACTAATCCATTAAATAGCAGGATCTTTTTGTGGTTTGCCATGTGGTTACGTCATATAACCTTGTCCTGTTTGGGATCTATATCTTGCATGTGCAGATGGCTAAAAATAACTAAATATGTTAGATTAGGAAGAAAATTCCACAGGAGCTCAACATACTGCCAAATGGGTCAAAATGATTACATAAATTTAAGACAGTAAAAGTAAAATTTGGTATTTAGATTCAATTAAGAAAAATCACATTAGTACTAGATGACAATAACAACAGTGATAATAATGAGTATACTAACAGCATTTACTTGATGTTAGGTGCTGAACACATGTTATACGTTACATGATACCCAGCTTCATTATTACATATATAAAATATTCAGGAGTTTAAGTGGACTTTAACTTCAACATAAGCAATCTGACAAAATTGCTTTTTAAAAAGCAGTGCCATAGATTTTGTATGGGGCACAAATAAGCTTTCTGACCTGACCTTCCGTATCAAGAAAACAACACTAAATTTTGAGGGATTCTATTTTGACAAGAGTTTTGAAAAAATAGCACAAATTACAAATAGAATGATCAGAAGATTGAAGAATTTATAAAACTGAAAACAAAGGAGGGCAAATATGAAAATGTTTGAAGACCTATCAAGTGGAAGTGGAAATAGGCTGCTTTGTGGTGTTGTAGAACAGAGATCTAGAGCTTATTGGTAAAATATTTAGGCAAAAATAAGAAGGTATATAATGGCAATTAGAAATGATCTAACAAAGAAATGACCTGCCCTGAAGGACTCCAAAATTCCTTTAAAGAATTTTTTTATTTTTGAGATACCGTCTGGCTCTGTTGCCCAGGCTGGAGTGCAGTGGTGCGATCATGGCTCACTAAAGCCTCAGCCTTCCAAGCTCAAGTGATCCTCCCACCTCAGCCTCCCAAGTAGCTGAGACTCCAGGCACACACCACCATGCCCAGCTAATTTTTTATTTTTTGTAAAGAAAGAGTCTCACTACGTTGCCCAGGCTGGTCTTGAACTCCTGGCTTCAAATCATCTTCCTGCCTTGGCCTCCCAAAGTGCTGAGATTATGGGACGGGGCCACTGCACCCAGCCTCCAAAATTCTTATATTTTTAAGTATCTACAGAATTTTGGAGATGGAGAGAAGGTAGGATGCTGAGTGGGAGATTAGATTAAATGTCCTTTATGTTATCTTCCGACTCTAAATTCTATGATTCTAATTCATTAAATACTTATAAAATTGTTTTAATTTTCTGAAAATTTATAAATACAAGGACATTTGAAATTGAGGGAAATACATCTCTATAATAGTGGGAAAGTTCACTTATAGTTCATTTGAGAGTAAGATTTCAAAAGGTTCGAATTAATGGGTTCACACAAAAAGAAATGAGGTACTATCAAATGTTGTTAGGAAATTATTGATGTTATTTCTTCAATTCCTAAACTATCTTTAGCACATAGCACTAAATGGAAATGAGTTTACACATCATTATTGCTTTAGGCTTATCACCTCATTGATTTATTTTAATAAGGGATTGACCTGCAAGCTGGAGAGTGGGTAATAATATATCATCATATTAATTTTCCAACATTTCTGGAGTGCCAGAAATTAAGTGAATTAAATAAAATCTTCCCCTATATTCTTAGAATTTATTGTCAGATTCCATTTTTAGGCATTCCTTTCCTGCACTCTGTACTTCAACCTGCCTATTAACCAAATCCCTGTTTTCTTTCAAAGATTTTGATTAAGAGGTCCTACTTCCCTATGAAATCCTGGTAATTTATTCACTATAACCAAGACCTTCTGAATTTTTGTGGTTAAGTTTTGGGATTAACAAAATGATATGCTAGCAATATGCAGAATATCTAAGTAAAATACTTGTAAAAAATTAACCAATAGAGACAATACCTAAATAGAGACAATACCTAGTTTTTCACCAGATTTGCTACCGTTTCTAATCATAACTGGAATCTACCTTTGGGAGAGTGAATCTATGAACTTTAGATTGGATTTTCAGAAAGAAGAGTTAAGTAAGCCCTTGGGAACTTAAACCTAAATTTCTGGACCTTCTTGGATTTTTTATGTCCCAAGGTAATTTATTACAATTATATAAGTGCAAAATGGGCTAAACTGAAATAACTGACAGCCTATTTTAAAATATGTGCATATAAAATCTATCAGCATCAGTTTGTTGAGGTTGATTTATCATCTGGCACTTTGAATTTGTCTAAAATAGACAAGTAGAAAGCAGTAAAATTATTATATTTTCAGGCAAAGTAGGGAAAACTTGCAATCTCGGGTCCTTTGTAACATCTCCAAGTAGAGCATCTTACTCTAATGGATCTTAGAGGTCGTCTGGCCCGACCTCTATTCAGGAAGCCCTTTTGACATATGAACAGTGAAAGAGAAGAGTGAACTCCGGATAAATGAAGAGGGTAGGAGAAAATGAAGGAAGCATTATATTTTGAAAGGTAAAGACTATCCATAAAAATAGTTACCGACATTAAGTCACCTGATTCAGATAAAAATATAGCCTTATAGAACTCAAACTAGTACTCACATCACTAGCAATGTCTCTTGAAGCTTTAGCTAGCTGTACAGAAATTGCATCAACTGGGAGATCATAGCCTTTCTTCAAAGCTTCTTCCCATCCAAGTTTATAGAGTTTCTGAAAATTAAAGATATTCTTCAGCATTATTCTGTCTATATAAAGAATATCAATAGATTATTAGGGAAAAGTTTACCTACAGAGTGAATATCAGATCGAACATCATCTACCCTATCTTTAAAGATATGGATAAAAATAAAACAAGCTGTTTAAAGGAGGGGAAAAAGCACTGACTCAGCATCATATGACCTGGCTTTAATCTTTTTTGGCTGTGAGAATCCTGGTGGTATATTTTATCATAGCTTCTGCTGTTCAGAAACAATATGGTCATATCAGGCATATCACGTATCTTTCTCACTGCTGTTTAATACCGCCTGGGCTTACTATTTTGAAGATAGATATTAAGATAATTGCTAATAAAAAGAAAAACAGGTCACAACATTTTAATTAGCTAAGTGATAAAAGCAATAAATGATGAAATGCCTTTTATAAATTGCAATAATTTAGTTGCAATCTTTCTGAGTTGACTTTACTGATTGAATGGATGTATGTGTGTTAAAACTGGGTAATAACAAAAATAGCTCATAGTTATCCAGTACTTTCCATGGGCCAGGTACTGTATTGAGAATCTTATACAGAATTTCCCATTTAGTCCTCATGGCAATCCAATGTCATAGGCACTTTTATGGTCCCAATTTTAGGGATGAGGAAAGTGAGACTTAGATAGGTAATTGAGTTACCCAGTACTATACATCTCAAAAATGGCAAAGCCAAAACTCATACCAAGTCTGTTTGATGCAATTTTTACTTTATTTATGTATTTATTTATTAGAGACAGGGTCTCCCAATGTTGCCCAAACTGGATTCAAACTTCAGAGCTCAAGGGATCCTCCTGCCTCAGCTTCCTGAGTAGCTGGGACTACAGGTGCATGTCATCACACCTGGCTGTTTGATGCAATTTTTTTTCAACAATTTTCTATTGATTTCCTGCTTGGTATCAAGCACAATGAACACAGAGATAAACAGACACAGAACCTGCTCCACAAAGCATACAGTTGTGGCTGAAGCCTTTGCTCTTAAGCACTCTATTTTGCAACATCCTGGGCTAATCAGTGTGTCATTTCCAAACTTCCATTGCTTCAACATTTATATCAGTATTTACTGTTACATTATTTTATAAGTTCATAAGTTTCAATACAAAACTTAAAATTAATTTTTATATAAATTTACCTGACTATACAGTGTTTGATTCTGCTTGGCTTGTAAAATATCTGGTGTATCAGGCATCACATGAATCTTGGTCTTATCTTTATTCCAATCAATGGTGTATAAATGCTAGGAAGTGGGAAAAAAAGACATGAAATTTGAATAACTGGGACAAGCAGGAAAGAAAAATATGTATTTATATATTAGTACTTGAATGCACTCAATTTGATGTAGTAAGTAATAACTAAGTAGCATATAATTCAGAAAAGACCCTAAAAACAAACTCAGATTTAAAAAAAAAATCTTTTAAGTATTTTCTATTTTCTACAATGGACTGAAAGTATTGAAGATATAATAATTAAAAACATAAATAATTTCTAACCCAACTAGAAGGTCAAGAGAAGAAAAAAAATAAGAGATGGGCAGAAGAAGATGGTGTAGGGGAATGATCTGGAATGGTTTGCCACAGCCTAGGAATGATGGACCTTAATTAGATTTCTCCAAACAAGAACCAGAGCCTGCTAGCCTTTCCTCACGTGGGAGCTGTGTGGACGGCCACTGTTCTCTGTACCTTGTTCATGGTATGTGCATTCTGCTTGGCAAGCACCATGTCCATGGAATCAGTCAGCTTCTTAAACTGGAAGTTGCTCGGGTGCTGGCGGTATTTCTGATCACTGGCATATTCAGTTGCTTTCTTGGCCTTCTCCACTTCCAGAGAACCTGCTGGACTCCAGCCAAGCCCTTTGTACCATTCATTGTAATCTTGCTTATATTCATTCTATAAAGAAGATAAGCAAATTCTACTTTATCTTATCCATTTAGACACAAACCATGGCATGTAAACAGACTGTGATCTCCCTTCCCATGCTAGGATTCCAACCATCACCCAAGTAGAAGAAAGCCTTACATCACTCTGTATGCGATTCATATTCCTGGTCAGCTCAATGTTCATTGCATCTGGAAGGAGGATGTACTTGTGAATCAGGTGCTTGTAGTTAGTGTTGGTGATGTTGGCTTGGGCATCCTTTGCAGCCGTGACACTGAGCATGTCGGCAGGGGTGTGGTAGCTGGTCTTTGTGTTCTCATAGTTTTTCTTGTACTCCCGATCAGATTGCATCTTAGCCACTTGCATGGAATGGACTAATTTGGGATCATCCTCGAGACTGCGGAAACCAACCATTTTCCCCTTCCCTTTTTCATAATTGTACTTGTATTTATACTGTGAAGAAAATATGAGTTTTTACACAGAGCAATTCCTTTGACTAAAAATCGATCTAGTGTCAATATGCTATATTATTTTTGTATAATTATAAAATATAATTAAAAATTATATTTGTATAGAGCTCTATAGTTCACAGACTAATTTTTCATATTTATTGATGTAACTGAATACAACTCTCCCTTGTGAGGTAGATAGAAAAGTTCTTATTACTCTCCTCATTTTATAGATGAATAAGCTGAGACCCAGAGAGCTGAGCAACCTGCTGAGGCCACTGAGGATTAGAACCCAGATTTTGTGATGATGCATCACACTGACTTATGCATGTACTTTGCTGTTAGTGCTAAAGAGGCCTTTAGTAGGTAAAAAGAACACAGAAGATGAAAAAAAAAAGGCAAAAAAACAGAACATTTCTCTTAATGCTGCCCTGAGAAATTATTCTGTCAGTCATTTACTGATGAGAAAAGTTTCAATTATGAGACACACAGTGTAATTTTAGAATAGCTTTATATTCGTGGAGCTCCTTTTCCTTTAAGACTCTCTAAACTGCTATAATGGGGAAGAAATTGTACTATTTATCATCCCAACTTTCTTCTACAGAGGGGAGATCTTGATCCATGGAGAGCTTCTTTTTCTGCCTGTCTCCTTTTGGGGTTGCGTGTGCAAGTTGGGGGTAGAAGCTAGTAGAGCCAAATTACTCCAGCGTAATAGAGGGGAGAAGAATTTGGAGTTCTCAGGATAATAAGAGAGAATGGGATGGGCTGGATAGGTAGGGAAGATGAAGAATAGAGATGGGAGAGAAAGTAAAACTGATGGGTGACCAAGGAGAGATTGTTTTGAAATATGCTCCTCCCAGGACCTCCAAGTCATTAAATGTTCCCTGTGAGTGGATTTCTTGTGGAAACAACCAAATGAAAGAATTGAGTTTCATATAGGTGGCATGTCATGACAGTGATGTGTTGGTACACCTGCTTTTTTGCCGGCCAGCGCAGGGAAAGCCTCACTTTGTAGTGTTTGCCAATTTCTGTGGTGTAAATATGCCCGTCACAGCTGATATCAAGCCACCGATAGTTTAACAACTGGTTTGCAAAAATTCCTGATTATTTACTCATCAACTATCATGAGCCCAAATGATCAGCACCCTTGCATACATGAGACATCCTGTTAGAAAATCAGATCCGAAGAAGCAGGAGGCAAGAACAACACAAGACTTTCACCAAGAAAGCTTAGTGAAGGGCTTTGAATTTCTATAAGCCATAGCCTTGGTGACAGATTCAAAGTAAGTTTATCTAGATCTCATGAGTCAGGGAGCTGACATCTATGAGGGTCACCATGTGGTTAGCTTGGTGTTTTTTCAGAAATATCAGAGAAAACACAAAAGCAAGGTTAAGAAGCATTCACAGAGAGTGAGACCCACTGTTTTTCATATTGTGTCCACTCAGTGTTTCCAGAACTCAGCCCTTATTATTTCGGTTCCTTAGAAACCCCCAGCCAGGTGACCGTTTCCTTTGGACTTACATCACTTGCAATATCTCTGGAAGCCTTGGCAGCTTTGATAGGAATTGCATCAGGTCTGAGATCATAGCCTTTCTTTTTAGACTCTTCCAAGGAAAGTTTGTAGAGTTTCTGTAAAGAGAGGCAAAGGGAAGAGTTTTCTTCTAAATATGAAAGCCTGGATTTATTTTAGAAGAGTAAACTACCACTGTGGCGTCTTTTTTTTTGTTTTTGAGCAGAATGCTTCGTTGGTGCTTCAGTGGCTGAATGTTCTTACAAGTAACATAACTGTGTTTGAAAAACAATCTATAACAAACTTAAACATATTTTCAAGAAAATACCAGAAAAAGTAAAAGTTACTGGTCTCTATTAGGTTGTAAATATACTTTAAAAAATGTGAAAGTCCCAGAGATTCTTATTGATGCAAATAAGAGTTAAAGGAAGACTACAAAACAGCCTTATTCTTACATCAAAAGAAAACATCTCTGTTTTAGAATCAGCACTTTTATTTGTATAATAATGTGGAATCTACAATTAAAAAAAAAGGTCAGCTATTCCAAATCTCTGTGGAATTCAAACAAAGAAATGATAAAAATAGGATTAGAGGATTTCCTAGCAACTATGATTAGGATGAAAAAGGAAATGAAATAAAATATCAATACATTTGCACATTCTTTGTTTTGGGGTTTTGCCCCAGATTCTTCAAAATGTTCTTCTTCCCTTTCCATTTAACCCCTTCTTTAGAACCATCTCAAAGGCTTGATGGAAGGGCTGTCTAAGAACGAAATTCTAGGACTCTCATTTCCTTTTTCTCTTCTCCTGGCCCCGGAGCCTGTTTCTTTCTACCAAATCTCTCAATTTAATAAGGAGTGCCCCCCTAGAACAAAATCCAATCACACCGTTCAAATTCTTAACTGCTTGGCCCAACCCCATCCACAGTCCTACTCCAACTCCGCAAAGCAAAATTAGAAAGAGTCTCATGTGTGGATTTCCACCATTATTTTTAAAACATTCACTCTCATAACTGAGAGAGATATTAATTAATTTGTTCTTACTGGTTCAAATCTGCTGGAGAGAAAGATGACAACAGGGGGAACTATACTTACATCACTCATATTAATTGCATTTGCCTTTGCCAAAATAATCTGGGGGATATCAGGCATGATGTGGACTTTGGTTTTGTCAGCCTCCCATGCTTGTTTGTAGAGATGCTAGGAAAAAAACAGTGTAAATTAGTGTTTAAAATCTTAAAAGAAGCTCACTTAGTACATACATATCATTGTACATATATATCAATATTTCATGTATTTTTATTAGCTAGGTTTAAATTAATTAATTTATTTATTTATTATTTTTGAGACAGAGTCTTGCGCTGTCACCCAGGCTGGAGTGCAGTAGTGCAATTATGGCTCACTGCAACCTCCACCTCCCAGGCTCAAACAATCCATCCTCCCACCTCAGCCTCCTGAGTAGCTGGGACTACAGGCATGCACTACCATGCCTGGCTAATTTTTGTATTTTTTGTAGAGATGGGTTTTTGCCATGTTGCCCAGGCTGGTTTCAAACTCCTGAGCTCAAGCAATCCACCTGCCTTCACCTTCCAAAGTGCTAGTATTACAGGCATGAGCCACTGCACCTGGCCCAAAAAAATTTTAATGGAAAAGTTGCTTATTCAAACAATACAGCAGGGAGGATGTAAGATGGAAAGTAAAAATGTTTTTTCCCCTTATCTTACAGCATGAAGGTAGCATTTGCCTCCTAAAATTTTCTGTGTAAATTAAAACAGACATATAGTCCTTTTTAAATATACATGAAGTCATGTTCTACATCTTGATTTTTAACTTAATAATATAGGTTAGACATATTTGAACCTTCTTAAAATAATTTACTTCATTCATTTTTAGAGCTACGTAGTATTTCATTAGGAGGTATAATCTAATTAATTTAATCAGTTCTCTGGTGATGAATATTTAACTTATGGCCTCTAGCCTTTTTCTGCTACAAGCAATGTCATGATCCTTGTGGTGGACATGGAGATGTGCCACCAATATACTCATTCAAGGAAGGACCTGATTCCCCAACTTTTGGCAAATAGTCTCCAGTCACCAGCTGTCTCACTCAAGAGTATGCCCTTCCCAGATAACCACATTCAACAACTCATCGAAGTGGGGGTACAAAGATCTAGCCATTTCAGTTCAGTGCAGGTCTCTACTGACAGAGACACTTGAGAGCCCTCTGTGGGACTGGCCAAGACTTTGTCATGCCAGCATCACTGTTCAACTTCTCCTCCGGCCTAGTCCTTCTTCCCAAAGACTAGGATCCCTAAAAAATACTCTGTACTCCAATTTTCATCTTAGCGTCTCCTTTCAGAAACCCTAAACTGCAAAACATATTCTTGTGTGTATGTATGTATGTATGTATATCTTTGCACACATATATAAGGATTTCTATAGGGTAATGATACCTGAGTTTTAAATTTTAACGAACATTAACAAATGGCCCATTAAAAGTTTGCTTTAACAGAAACTCCCTTACAGATATTGCATGTAACACAGCTATTTAATATTTGCAAATGCAATAGATGATAAATGCTATCTCTTTGTTTTAGCCCATCTTAATTAAAATAAGAATAACCTTTTTCTGGACTAGAGATTGGCAAACTTTTTCTGTATAGACAGAAATTCCTTAAATTTCAGGCTTTGTGGGCTAAACAATTGCTGTCATTAGCTACTCAACTCTGCTGTTGTAGTCCAAAAGCAGCCAGAGACCACACGCCAACAAACAGCTGTGGTTGTGTCACTATAAAACTTTATTTACAAAAACAGTCATTTTTCTGAACTCTGTTTTAGACCAGCACTATACAATAGAACTTTCTGTAATGATGGAAATGTTCTGCATAATCCAATATGGTAGAACCTAGCCACATAGGCCGATTGAGTACTTGAAATGTAGCTAATGTGAATGAGAAACTGAATTATTAATATGATTTATGTAAATATAAATCAACACATGTGGCTAGTAGTAATAGTATTGGACAGTGAAATGCTAGTGGAAAGAGTGGTGACTAGTTATCAGAATCCCTGTTCTAGTCCAGACCCTGCTGTTGACCCGCTGTGTGGGAGGTGCTTTGCTTCTCTGGGCTGTTCTTTTCTCAACTCTGCAATGGGAGGATTCAACTTGATGGTCATCAAGATGTCTCTTGGTGCCAGTACGTGCTAGTTCTATGATTCTCCTCTTGGCATCATTATCCTGAAATGTTAATCACTAACACTGAAAAAAATAGATATCCTCATGTAGTTTAGATTTAAATCTTAAAAGAGGCACAGAAATTTGTGCCTTGTCTTTGAGGCAGGTCCCTTTCAAGGAGGTTGAGCTCCACAAATCATTCAATTCTCTGAAGACTCCAGGGGGTTTGCTCCGTGGCTTAGCATAATACAGTTCTATCTTTCTAGCACAACTATGGCCATTATTTTCTGCAACTGTTTCACGTTTAGATCCAAATCATCTTTTTCTCTGTTATCAAAGGCATTTCTCATTTTGATCCACCAGTGCTGCTGCAGTTATTTTATTACTTTTAACTTCAAAAACAGATGTTCAAGGTTGATTGTACTTGTTGGTCTTGATCTCTTATTGCAAATCAATGTAAAAATAGAGTAAGTCTTTTCTAAAAGCTGGAATAATTCATGAACCAAGGAAACACTGATGTAGAACAACTGCCCTCAAGATTACCCAGAGAACGTCCTGGTTTGAAATGCTGCTACAGGCATGTAATCTTGGACTTTTCTTTGATCCCATCAAAGCAGAAAGCAAGCTGGGGTTTGGGAGGTGGTTTCCAACACCAGCTACCATCAGGAAATCTGCTGATTCAGTGTCATGAATGTCTATTCAACCTCACCTTAGACAAACAGGACTCATTTTCAAGAGGTGCAGTAAAAGAAAAAGTCCCTATTTATTTGGTTATGTCAATGAGATAGGATGGTTCATTGAAGATTTGAAGACTACTAGTTAGAAATAATTCCTATTCTTTTTTTTTTTAACGACAAGACTCTTTTTCTAGGTAAAATAACCTCAAGTGTGATGCCCTATAACTGTATTAGCAAAACCTGTGGATTAAATGTAAATTATACCTGGATTCTCTCTGATGCATATGAAACACTGCATTATTGAAAGACTTACTTCGTTCATAATTTTTGCATTATTCTGGGCCAAAACCATGTTCATCGAGTCCATGAGTGTGGAATACTTCAAAGTGTCTGGGTGCTGGCGGTACTTCTTTTCACTAATAATCTCCATGGCTTTCTTGTTTTTCTCTGCTTCCAGGGAGCCCAGAGGGAGCCATCCAATGCCCTTCATGAAGTCAGCATAGTCAGCCTTGTACTGATTCTGCAAAAGAGGAAAAATTAAATTATGAGAAGAAACTGGAACTTCCCAAGAATCCTAAGTGTGTGTTTAACATTCTGTAACTTCCATTTCATTTGTAAATTTTCTGTAACTTTTCCACTTCAATATTTGCTTGAATATTGGTATTTAACCAATAGCATGTTGAACTTCAACCATTTCTTCCCTAAACTTTTATCCTTTTTATATTTCCTTGCATGATAAATTAAAAATAAGCAGAAATGTCTTTGTGACTTGTTTTTCTCAATGCCTTCATAAAGAAAAAGTACTAAGAAATACCACATAGATTCATCTCCCAGGTGACTGTTATCTCCTTGAGAAAAGCAACTATGCTGACCTTTCTTATAAAAATTCCCAAGTCCCCTTGGTTAACAGATGACTATGGAAACCCCATTTTTCTCTTTCACTGTCTTTGATCAACCACCACCATTACAATTCCCTCAGGTATGCCAGAAACCTTCCTGGTACTTTGTGTAAATTTCATTTTTTCCTCCTCAGCTTTGACATTTCTCTCTACACCTGTGCCATGGCTGCTTTCATTCAGGCACTTACTACCTCCCTGACAATTAATAGCTCAGCCCTCACATTCCCAAAGAGAAATGTAGCCTTGCTTTCGTCTGCTTTGGGTTTGTAACTTAATTCACCTCTCCAACCATCAAATGGACTCTTTAGCTAAATTCTTGGCTCTATTCTTTCTCTGTCTTCCTTATATTTAGTCTAAAGGCTGCCTCAGTCATCACCTTCTCAAAATTTCATTAGTAAGGCAGGCAATTGCAAAGTTAGAAGTGGTAGAATGAAACCCGGTTGGGAGGGAGGGGCTGGAGCTATCAGGTTATCTGATTTCTTACTTTCCCTTTTATTCCTCTATTAAAAGCCTATTATGCTTTTGACCATCTTTGCTAGACATATTCCTTTCAATACACTCTTTCTGAAATGAAGTTCCATTTGCTGTTGTGGAATTCAGAATCCAACAATGCTCCCAGCAACAATAGTAGAAAACAAGACTTTAGTTTCTAGAATTGATCTCCTTTTGTTAAAGGACATGAATTCAATCTAAGGTAACAAATGAAACACTATGTTGGGAAATTGCAGATGAATTTCTTTCAGGATTTTCAAAACGTCATTGCTTATGGTCACTCATGGTTGCTTATTATCCAGAGTAAACGCTCTGCAAATGTGGTTTTCACGTACATCACTTTGAATCTGCATCATATTTTTGGCCAATTCAAAGCTCATGGCATCAGGAAGCATGTTGTAGGTATGGATCACGTTCCTGTAGTTGGCATTGGTGGCCACTTCCTGAGACTTCTTGGCTGCCACCACACTGAGCATGTCCACCGGGGTGTGGAAGGAGGTCTTGGATTTCTCATATCCCTTCTTGTATTCCCGGTCTGACTGCATCTTGGCCACTTGCATGAAGTGCACCAGCTTGGGGTCATCTTCCAGGCTCCGGAAGCCAATGTGTTTCCCTTTGGCTTGTTCATAGGCTTTCTTGTATTTGTACTGTGGACAGAGAAGAAATTATGGTGATGAAAATGGTAAAAGAGAACAAAGTACCATTTGCTAGGTGATGTGAGCTTTGTCTTAGATGAAGGGTTTTAGAGCTACTCTAAAATTGGAAGGGAGGCACTCGTGAGAGGGAGGGAGCAAACTCTTTTTACTTCATTTTTTTTTTTCCCGAGACTTGAGTCCATGGAAAGAAAATAATCTCAGAGTTAATCGAAGAGATGTGTAAATAAATTGGTTTAGAGAGATTTAGAAAGCAGATTTCCCCACTCAGTTGTCTAAGTGACAGAAAAGGCTGCAGGCAGGATTTCTCATGGTGCATCTTTAAAGAGAGGGCCTGGCCATGGGCCTCCTGGTAAAACACGTAGATTGCATCTTTACATTTGCTTAGGATTGTAAGTGATTTGAATAGACTCTAAAGGCTACTTATTTTAACAAGACTCAGTCACTACTTACATTAAATAATGAACAGATGATTAGAGGGTACTTGGATGGGGTGAAGGGAGGTGTCTTGTGTCACATGGGATGGCATTCCCACCAACCCTGAATGGAGCTGACCACTGCTCCTACATACACACAAGCTTAGCGCATTTGTTCTTACTTGCTCAACCCCAAAAAGGCCCAGTGCAAGCACTTACATCACTGGCAATGTCTCTAGAGGCTCTTGCAGCCTTTATTGCAATGGCATCAGGCCTCAGGTCATATCCTTTCTTCTTTTCCTCTTCCCAGCCAGCTTTGTACAGTTTCTAAACAATAAAATAGAAAAACAACAGCATCTTGTTATTGGGGTTAGAATAGAGGTCCTGACTACAAAGTGGTTGGTATGTAGAATGCAGACATAAGTATCAGTTCCCTTTAACCTTCTCCCCAGCTTTTGCTGTTGTTAACCTACTTACATCACTCATGGTGATTTGGTTTACTCTGGAGAGTAAAATATCCGGTGTGTCAGGCATGACATGAATGGTGGTCTTGTCCTTGTTCCATTTTTCAGTGTAGAGCCTCTGCAATGAGAAAGTCAGGTGCATGATTTTACAGCAGGACAAGTTTGACCCAATGCTAGCAAGAGGAAGAGATTTACAACTCCATGGTAAAAGAGGTTAAATGGATATTAGAAAATGGATGAAATAACAAAAAGATGGGCCAAGTAAACTAAATACACAATAAGAAAAAAATTGTTGAATACGGCAACCCTCTACCACCAAAGCACCAAATACCATCTTGCCCCCACCGCACAACCATGTGGAGTTTTGTGGTTCTGTCACATTCTTAACATGCTGTTGAGAGATGATCTGAGGGGTCACTATGAAAGAGAACGCTCTAAACATAATGGAAGCAATAGAGTCCCCCTCCCACCACCGGCACGAAGACGATCAGAAAGAAACACTGTAGGAGACGATTGGGGCACTGCCAGGCTCAATGTCATGAACACCATGAGGGTTCCCTGGGCGAGGCTGGCAGGTGAGTCCTTACCTTGTCCATGTTCAGTTTGTTACTCTTGTTAAGTGCCTGTTCCATTGTGTCCATGGCGTAAGTGAACTTCAGCTTCTCGGGGTGCTGGCGATACTTCTTCTCACTAAGAATCTCTCCTGCTTTCTTTGCCTTCTCCACCTCCAGGGACTCTATGGGCACCCAGCCGATCCCTTTCATCCAATTGGTGAAGTCAGATTTGTACAGATTCTTTACAATGAGAAAAAAAATTTCATTTCAGAAAGAGTCAGGGCTTGTGTTTCTTTGGCTATGTGATTTACTTACAATCAAAAAGAAAAAGAGAAGCTGGGAGGGGGAGAATAATCTGCTTTTTACTCCCTACAGTCTTTCAGAAGAAATTAATTATAAAAATAATTGCATTCATAGTGGTTTTGAACAGGAAATCCTGACCCAGCAATTCCTTTAACAAGTTAACTTTCTTGAGGAAAATAAATGAAAAATTAACAGAATTTTGCACTGGAAGGAAAATTATATAACATCTATCTGAGCCTCCTAATTTTTCATAGACAACATCATATGTTTGGGTCTAATACCAACATTTTAAATATATTTGTATGCATATATATAAAATTAACAACAAAGCCACCTATAGTTCAAATGAGTGAAATCCTAAAACTCTGAGTTCTGGAGGGAATCCTTAATTACAGTGAGTGCAGCCAGGTGTGGGATGGAGTAAGTGGCTCCTGTTTTTTCCTCCCACCCATTAGAAATGGATAACAACTTGGTAACCAGTACATACATCACTCTGAATCTGCATGGCATTCCTGGAGTGCTCCACATTCAAGGCATCGGGCAGGAGAGTGTAGTGGTGGTATGACTGTCTGTAGTTGGCGTTGGTGGCAACCTCCTGAGATTTCTTTGCAGCTGTCACACTGACCATATCCAGAGGTGTGTGGTACTTGGTCTTGCTGGCTTCATAGCCCTTTTTGTACTCACGATCAGACTGGATTTTGGCCACATTCATGTAGTGAACCAGTTTAGGATCATCCTGAAGACTGAGAAATCCAACTTGCTTGCCTTTGGCTTTCTCGTAGGCCTCCTTATATTTGCACTATTTGAAAACAAAGGGCAAACAGAAGTTGGCTAGCATAGAAGTCTGATATAAACTGAATTTATACAACAAATTAAGCAAAAGCCAACTTCAGTCTGAATCTAGGTAACATCGAAGTTTTTTTTTGTATTTTAAAATAAACAATTAGCAAAATATTTTTAATGGCTCATCTTGAGACCTGCCCTGGAGATCATTAAAAATGGAATAATGGAATAGTTTATATTAATACTCTTCATAAGTAGATTATTTGAATATACTCAAAGGTTCCTGAGAAGTTGGCTTATGAAGCATTTGATGTACGCTTTTTTTGTTTTTTGGTTTTTTTGTTGAGACAGGGTCTTGCTCTGTCCCCCAGGCTAGAGTGCAATGGTGCAGTCATGACTCCCTGCAGCCTCTGGGGCCCTCCCTCCTCAGCTTCCCAAAGTGCTAGGATTAGACGTGTGAGCCACCATGTCTGGTCAATGTATGCTTTTTTATGACTATATTTCCATTATTAATTTGTATTACCTTAAAACGTATTTGTATGAGTAAATTTCAGCCCTAATACAAATTAGTGTATTAATCTTGAAATTAATGCCTTTTTTCTCTATCAAGGCATTTATTATGTCAATTCATATAGGAATATAACTTAATTTGTAAAAAAAAAAATTAACTAAAATCCTGTTATGTAATTAACTAAAATCCTGTTATATAATCCATGGAAATAGAAATACGAAAAACCAGAAAGAATCAGCAAAATATTTTTTCTGGTTTTCCATATTTCTATTTCCATGGATTTTTTTTCTTCATGGAAATTATAAAATTAAAACACTGAATTATTTTAAAATACTTGGAGACTTTTCTAATTTAGTGATATTTTAGTATATCATGACTTTTTTCATGACAAAATCCAAATAAAAAGTGGTTTTTAAGTTCATAACAATGATACTAATGAAAGTTTTAAGTACGTCACAGTTTTTAAAAAAGAATTTTCTTCTAACAACTTTATTAAGCTTTTAAATATGTGAAAAATATTTTAAGTGAGGCAATATAAATAACGTAATTGGCAATTAGGATTTTAGGAAATATTTTTATATTATAATTTCTTTACTTGCTTCTTTATGTAGTTGATACAATCTTATACATCACATATAGATTTTTTTTTCTTTTTTAGAGATGGGATCTCACTCTATCACCCAGGCTGGAGTGCAATCACAGCTCACTGCAGCTTCAAACTCCTGGGTTAAAGAGATCCTCCCATCTCAGCCTCTCAAATAGTTGGAACTACAGGTACACGCCACCACATCTGGCTAATTTTTTTTTTTATTTCTGTAGAGACAGGGTCTTGCTATGTTGCCCAGGCTGGTCTTGAACTCCTGAAGTCTTTTAGATAGAAAGTTTCCTACTTTTAAGTTAGACTTACATCACTAGCAATATTCCTTGAACTTTTTGCAGCAACAATTGGGATGGCATCTGGTCTCAAATCATAGCCCTTGGCAATGGTTTTCTTCCAATCTGCTTTATAATGAGCCTTCAAAAAAGTAGAGGTTATTTTATTATTTGACATCATTAAAAGAGGAATGAAACAGAATGCCAAAATGTTTCTTATAAAACATGTCGTAATAGATCCCTTTCTATTAAGACAATCTATGAAGTTAGGACTATTAGTTTGTCTTTTATGTATATAATTGATTTTATTTAAAAGGATCAGTAAACTGTATACACAGTATAATCTCAACTGATCAAAAAATGTATATGCTTGCATAACAAAGCAACAGAAAGGTAATGCTTTGACTGTTGGATAACAGAAGGTTTTCATTTATTTGTCATAATTTTCTATATTTTCCAACTTTTCTATAATAAATATATAATACTTTTGGAAAAACGTTTCTTGTAATGAAGCATTTCAAGCTTATAGGAAGATATGAATACTAAAACTAAAAATCCAGATGTAGTACAACTCAGCTTTAATTGATCTTAATGCTTAAATATTACTTAGAAAAATCTTTCCCCTTAATGAAACAAAAGCACAGGAATGTATAGTTGGATATGAAACAGAGCCTAAAAACATTGGAAAGAATGAATAAGCCATCTTTTAAAAAATTAACAATTTTATCCAAGTTTTATTATGTTTTTAAATTAGGATTTATCAATATCCTTTTTTTAAAAAAGGAAACAATTCATAATAGTGGATTTAAACATTACCACCAATTAGATGTCTAGACCACTCAAGAGAAAGGCTAGTTACATACAAAAAAAGATTTTGTGAAGAAAACTAAACTTTTTTGGATGTTTTAATAAATAATTAAAAGTTGTAAAAAGCAATGTTTTCCATACTACAGACTAGGCACTCTTGTGTTTTCCAATCTTGTCTGTCTCATGTTCCATTTTTTTTTTAAATGGGACACAACTTACTTGACTGACTTTACAACCCACTAATAAGCCACAGCCCATAGTCTGGAAAAGCCTGTATTAAGCAAAATTTTATTGCCGCCCCCTAGGCTCATGTTGCATGGTTAAGGGTTTAATGTGGAGGCTCAGGGTCCACACTGAATTGCGCCCCCTACAATTCTCAGAGCAAGAGTTGCAAAGAACCAGAAAGGAGAGGCCCGCATACGCAATATTAGCACTGGGCCAAATACTCACATCACTCATGTTGAGGGCGTTGACTTTGGCTTGAATAAACTGAGGCAATTCAGGGTCAATAGTATACTTGTGCTTCAGTTTCTCTCCCTCTACCTTGTAGTTCAACTAAAAACAAAGGAGACAGCATGCACATATCATTAGCTGACATAATATAAATTTCATCAAGCAGAGACTCCTTTAAAACGGAAGGCTATCATTTGTGTTTTCCATTTACGAGACAAATACCTACTCTGTCATAAGGGAGGGGCCCTGGTAGATGCATTTATGTTCCCATTCTACCAGTATTTATTGGACAGCACTGTGGGCCAGGCAGGGTGGTAAGTTCTGTGTTTAAAGAGGTGAGGAAGGCATATCTGTCCTGTTGGAGCTTACTGTCCAATAGAAAGGACAGACATAAAACATGTAAACTACAAACTATCACTAGAATTTGTGATGTGTTGTCAATGGAATCATTGTAGCAAAGAAACAAGGATGGTCAGTAAAGCCACTCTGCAGAGGTAACATTTACACTCAAACTTGGAGAGAGGGGCAGAGGAAGAGCATTCGGGACCTGAGGCTGGAAATGGCCTGGCCACCTTGAGGAAATGAAAGCAGTCCAAGTCACAGGGCTGGAATGTGCCTGGGTAGACGTGGGGGTGGAGCAGTATTAGACAGAAGGTGCAGAAGGGCCACAGAGAAGAGGGTCTTTTGTCAAGTTGATGAGTTTAGATTTCACTTCACATTCAAGAAATTCCTAAGAGGTTTTACACATAAGAGGGACATGATTTGATTCGTGTTTTAAGACAGGCTCTTGCGATTGTTTGAGACCTCAGGCAGGGAGTCCAGATAACAGGTTATTGCAGTTGTCCACACGAGCCATACAGAAGCTGGAAGTAGGGTTGGTGGCATTTGAGAGCAGACTGGCTGAGAGATATTTAGGAAGCTGACTCAGCAGAGGTACTGCATGTGGGAGTTCACACAGGGAGGTGTTAACCGTGACTGCCAAGTTTCCAGCTTGAGTAACGAGGTAGATGTTGATGGCATTTATTGTGATGTGGAAGACTTTATATAGTGAGTGTACAGTTTGCCTAGCTAACTGGAAAAACACCATGAGAAGTGACATCTCGCTCAGTACAAAAGAAAAAGAATTGACACCAGTTATTACTCCTAAGATAGAATTAACCCTTAGACATCTGTGATAATGTGGGGGCAGGAGCTAAAATCCATAGATCTTCAAATCCAAGGCAAGCAAAGCATTTCCCCACCTTCCAAAATCTGGGGCTAAAATACAAAAAGTCTTTCTTTGCTTTTTACTTACCCGTCTCTTTCTGGTGGAGGCATTTTAACAGAACTCTAAAATTAACAAGTCATGTGAGGCCCTGAGCATTGTAATTCGCTTCTGACAGAAAGAATAAGAGTCCATACAGACGTGTCTCAGAATGAGACATACAGACGTGTCTCAGAATGAGACATACAGACGTGGTATGAGTCCACGGTGTAAGAGTCCATACAGACGTGGTCTCAGAATGAGATCCCAGATGACTGCAAATAAACTGCTTATCTCCTCCCTAGAGGCCTCATTCTAAGATTGCCTCTCAGAACATGGAGCTATTATGCGAGGGGATTAGGACATTATGCCTCTTCCCTATGTGGCTAGGTAGAAATATTGCAACCAAGAGCAATAAATAGCTTGTTTTGCAATTCATACAGAGCCACAGATAATGATAGTAATAATGTTATTTCATATGTATAATGCGTATCTGCTTATGAATAGCACAGGCTCTCTACATTTGGAAAACAAAGCAAATTTGGAATAGTCCCCCATTTTCATCTCCCTGTTTTTCCCATGTTCAAGATCCCAGTTGCCTCAAAAGGCAGCCCTTTCTCTCATACCTATGAAAGCAGTTTATTTGCTAACATAGATGCATCCTCACACATTGAATTAAGAAGGACGGAGGAGCGGCTCAGACACGTGTGGTTATTTACGGGCAAATCATTTTGAAAGGAAAGCACTCACATCACTTAGCTGCTTTGTGTTATGCTGAGCCAACACCATGCCCATGGAATCAGGCACACTTGTGAACTTGACGGTATCTGGGTGCTGTCGATACTTCCTCTCATTTAATGCATCGCCTGCTTTCTTGACCTTCTCCACCTCCAGGGAACCAATAGGGATCCATCCGATGCCCTTCAAGAAGCTGTTATACTCGTCTTTATACACATTCTGTAAAAGGGTAAGCTAATATGAGAAGATACCCTGGAGAATATTCAAGGGATGTTTCTGGGATCTGCAATTCTATCCAAGGGAAATGAATAGCAACTCTTCAGCATGCTCATGTCTGACTGTCTGTCACAGAGCTTATCTGGAGTGTGGTAATAAGAAGAAGCTGTTCTGTTGTTAGAGTGCATTATACAACACAGAAGGGAATCTAGGTCACATATTTTCATGGGTACTGCTAAAAAAAATTTTGTCACTTTTGACAATAAATTGGTACTTTCTATAATGGTTGTTTATCTTAAAGCATTTTTTTTCAAGTCACTTACTGTATTATGAAGCCTAATAAAATAGAAATGATCATGCTTTAGACTGCATTATGCAACACAGAGGGGAATCCAGGTCACTATGGGTGCTGCTAAAAAGCATTTTGTCACTTTTGACAATAAATTGGGCTTTCCTTTTGATTCCACTGAAGACTTCAAAACTAAATTACATCCATACTGTCCACCTAGGCTATGCTTGAGCTCATCTGGGGAGCAATATTTTTATCGAGTGCCAATAAATGTATAACACTTCTTTCCTTTACAGAGGACAATTCTAACAGAAATCTGGCTCCTGCAGCAGGAGAGGCTCTGAATGTTAAACACCTTTCCATGCAACTCTCCATGAATCATGTTGCAAGCACAAAACCTTCCTGGTTAATTTTAGATGACTCATTACAGAGATTTACATGGATGACATTGTGACCTTGAGTTAATAAAGGAAAAAAAAAAACACCTTTCCCAAATTCAGGAAGGATAGAAAATTCTTCTATTTTTGCATTTTGTATCTATCACCATTGCAGCCAACCCATCAGGAATACCCATCTCCTCTTGCTGTGAATCAAAGTGGCTCTCATAGTTAGTGGAATATAGTTTTATCTTTTATCCATAAGTTAATAAAGACAGCATCAATAATTATGATATAAGCACAGAAAGCAGGCAAAAACAGCTTGTCTACCATGCCTTTGGTAGTCTTTCAGTAATGGTTGTTTATTCTAAAGTGCATTTGTCAAATAGCTGACTGTAGTATGAAGTCTAATAAAAGCGAGAAGTGATCATCCTTTAAGTGCAAACATCTCTGGGTCTGTTGTTACACATACTTACATCACTCTGAATTTGATTGACATTCCTCGTATGCTCAAGACTCATGGCGTCAGGTAGGTATGTGTAATGATGCAATGGCTGTTTGTAGTTGACATTGGTAGCGACATCCTGGGCCATCTTTGCAGCTGTGATGCTAACCATGTCCCCAGGGGTATGGTAGCTGGTTTTGGTGTTCTCATAGTTCTTCTTGTATTCACGATCAGACTGCAGCTTTGCCACATTCATATAGTGGACCAGCTTGGGATCATCCTGGAGGCTTCTGAAACCCACATGCTTTCCCTTTGACTTCTCATAAGCTTCCTTGTATTTATACTGTGGAGGCAGAATTGGGTTAGCAAAGTCCTAGGCATTGATAGCATTAGCGCTGCAATTACATTCACATATAAAGACACTCAGAGCTTTGTGACTTTCTCAAGAGTGTACAAAAAATGCAAACCACAACCCCCTCCAAAAAGTTCAGTGAAAACATATATTGGAGTTACAAGTGAGTGTCACGATAAATTCAAGATCAGTTTATTTTCTTTGCTATGACTCCTACAGATAATTTGCATGTGGAACTTTATTTTAAACAAACTGAATTTTCACACTTAATATGAACATGACACATTCTAAATATAAGGCCAATATCTCTTGGTTTCATAGGGTTTCATAGGTTTCGATTTAATATGTTATTTACATCACAAATATGAGTACCAGCTATAGGATAGCTGGGCCTTCACTGACTCCTTTTATCAGCAGCTGCTTTCCAAGCTCACTGCTGAAACAGCTGCAAATAAATTAAGGAGCCACAGTAAGGACCTGCTGTGGGGTTTTCCCATCAATAAAAACCTAATGGAAAAAGTTCTGCTGTCCAAAGTCTCTCACTGCTGGAATCAGCAATGTGATATAAATTGGAGCAATCTTGTAACAGGTCAGAACCTCAACTGTTATGCAAGAGAATTCAAATCCACTTAAACCCTGCAGACTTTCAGCTCCTGCTATTTAAGCCTTAATTCATAAATAAGAGTTTAGCAGGCAAAAGGATCGTCAAGTAATTTCTAACATGTGAAAAATCACTGTGTAAGTGCTAAAAAAAAAAAAAGAAAAAAAAAGAATAAAGTTATACTGTAGACTTTCACTTTCTACTTAGACTAGAAATGTATTTCATAGTGATGTGCATTGTGTGCAGACCTCCGAGGAAGATGTTTTCAGTATCATTCCTACAAGGAAAGTAGCAGAGTTTTTACACCTCTATTTCCTATGTGGTCTGTATACCTGGTTGGTTTCTTTCTTCTCTTTTCTCAAACCAAGATTTTATTCCCTGGGATAGCATGTAACAGTGAACTCTGCAGGGCATGCATGCTTTCTAAAAATTTTTCTTTTTCTTTTTTTTTTTTTTTTTTTGAGATGGAGTCTCCCTCTGTCGCCCAGGCTGGAGTGCAGTGGCGCAATCTCGGCTCACTGCAAGCTCCGCCTCCCGGGTTCACGCCATTCTCGGGCCTCAGCCTCCCTAGCAGCTGGGACTACAGGTGCCCGCCACCATTCGATCTCCTGACCTCGTGATCCGCTCTTCTGAAATTTTGGCCAGGCGTGAGCCACCATGCCCGGCCAAAATTTTGTTTTTCAAAGATGGAAAGGAGTAGAAGTGTATACTTTTTCTGTTACAGGAAATGGACATCAATTTACATGAATCAAAATTATATCCTAAAAAAGTGGACTTTTCCCTCTTTGGTTTATAAAAATCTGTACATTTTATATAACATCTTTTCAATCTTTTTAATACAATTATAATGCAGGCAGTCATTTGAATTTAATGTGGTAATGTCAGTCAGGGTGTTCCCACTGAAAATAAATGTGGGCTGTCAGGGAAATGTGTCAGTGAAGGTAATTTGGGCTATGAATCAAAGGAGAAAGCCACTGTCAGATTTATGACAGCTCTACCAAGTGGGGTCAACTGAAAAGAACCACAAAAATGTTTCTAAAAGTGACAGGTTTTTCCAAACAATATTTTGAGAATTTAAATGCCATTAATTTAACATATTTCTTTCAATAAGGTATCAATTTAAACAAGCATTTGATTACTTTTCAAAAAGGCAAACACCTAAACTTCACCTAAAATTTGTACTCACATCACTGGCAATGTTTCTCGATGCCTTGGCTGCAGTGATGGGAATAGCATCGCCCAGCACATTGTTGCCCTTGGCTATTAAGTCATACCAATCCCGTTTATAACAGACCTGGACAGAAAAGCAAACAGAATGTCAGCATCTGTAAGTGATTCCTCAACTGCTGGGATTGTTTTGTTCTTTTCCAGACAGAAGTTGAAGGAATCCCTCATAGCACATACTGCTTTAGGAAATCACATTGGCAAAGTGTCACACTGTGTGTAGCATGAGATCATTGGACTCTGCACTAATTATTCACCTACATCTGGTTTTGACACATATTGAAGAGAGGAATATTGAAAGACTGGATCCAGAGAAAAACAAATAAAGGTTCTGGAAACCATGGTATGTGAGGACCAACTAGAGACAATGAAGTTGTTCATTCTCATGAAAGGAATGTCAAGAGAAGACCTGGTGGTCAGCTTTAGAAATTTTAGGGTTGTTATTTTAAAAGGGAGCTCATTTATTCTTATGTTTCTGGAGGATAATAACCTCCCCCACATGCAAAACTAGGAAAACCAAGTAGAAGTTTTAGGGGAATAGATGGTGAGCTCTACCATCCCCTAAATAGAGAAGAATGTTATGTCCTTTAAAATTGTCCTACATTTGAAAAGGCCAACTGAAGAGGTAAAGAACCATCCTTATGGGATATGTTCCAGTAGGGGATTTGTGAGAAATGGGCCTAAATAAATTGTCAAGGCACCATCCTACTCTTAAAGTCTATAATTTTATTGTCAGGTCCGAATTTCACATCCCAGCAAAGACCCTACTTACGTCACTTATATTGTAAGCATTGCACTTGGCCTGGAGAAACTGAGGAAGATCAGGACTCATGGTGTATTTATGTTTCACATCTTCTCCTTTAGCCTTGTATAAGATCTGCAATAAAATGCATTTCACATAGTGCAAAAAGGAAAATCTATTAATTGTTTGCTTTAAAGAGTTATTTTTAGCACAATCACCCATGATTTTCTAGTGTTAAAAATCATCAAAGGCATTTTCCTATTTTTTTAAATAAAACAAGCATCTTATTATCTTTAATACCAACAAGTCTTGTGTGTTAAAATAGAAGGAGAAAAAATCCTTAAGAAAATAGAAATTGTTCACTGCCCAAGATGAATGGAAGGTAAATTCAACCATGAAACCCTAGCAAGAATAATAGAATTCACCAAAGCCAAATCAATTTATTATTTGCCTGTGAGTTAATAGCTCTTCCATTTTTGTTAGTTTCTATTTTTTTATCCCTAGAGAGAAAGTAGTAGTTAGAATAAGTTTTTCACTTCTGCTAAAAACTTTCCAAATTATAATTGTATCAGTGAAAGCATACAATAATTTCCTCATAATGTAGAGGTGCTTATACATGAATCTAGCATACTCAAAAGGCTCACTATTTCATATTTGCCCTATGTTGTTACTTTAAAGAATTATATACACTTTTGACTGAAAGATGTCAAAGTATGTGATGCAGAAATCTTACTGCATCCTCCTCCTGGTATTAGAAATATATTACTTAGTTCCTAAAACTAAAATAGAGCCAGAATCACAAGTAGATTTTCAATCTCATAATTCTCATTTCTCATATATATCCTTATTTCCAAGGCATGACTATATGGAATATGACATGTAAACTGGTATGCATGTACCCAAGATAAAATCTGACATGGCTAATAGCTAAATTAATCCCCAAATAATAAATAATTTCTTCTAGGACCCAAAGAGTTACCTCTAAGTCCTCATTGCCTTTAAGAACAATATCTAAGCAATGACAGATTCATGAATTCGACCTTCTACACAGCTCCTTCTCTGCCATTGCTACTGCCTTAGCTTCAGTCCAATTAAGCCTTCCTTGGATTTCGGTGACAGCCTTCTAATTCATCTTCTCACCTCCAGTCTCTCCTCTTTCCAAAGTCTCCACACTTGGGGCCAGCATTGTCTTTTAAAACACAAGCCTGATAATGCGGCTCCATCGATTAAACATATTCAACATCTCTTCTTACCTACCCCCTAATATCCAGACTCTAAAAATTAGCATACGAGTCCCTTACTAATCAGGTTACAATCCTGAACCTTTTGCTTTTACACTTTTTCATTCCTTTCCTACTGCTGTTATATTGTTCATTCCTTTTCTACTGCTGTTATATTGTTCCTTTTGCCAGGAATGCTCACTTCTCTCACTTGCCTGGGAAACTCTGGTAGGCAGTTACCTGTGTACAAGGCACCTCCCTTGTATTTAACATTTTCCTCTCCTGCGGCATTTGTCTCTCTGGATGACAATGCTCTGTTTGTAGCCATGTCTTTGTCTTATGCTCTTACCCTACATTCTTGTGAATTTCTATATCCCATGAATCCTCATCTATTTCATCTTTATGCCATCAGCAGGTAATACAGTGCCTGGCACATGGTAAATGTTCAAAAAGCATTCATTAAATAAATAAACGAGTGAATGCTTTTGATCTTCTGTATACCAAACTTTCCTTTAGAAACTTTGACTTTAGCCAGAGCATAGACGCTGCTCATGGACAGGCAGGCAAACGATACACACCTCAATCAGATGTAAGTTAAAAAGTCTCTGTGATAATTGTGTATGCTGAATTCTTAGGAGCAAAAACATATATTCATATGTATTACTTCTCTGTATTAATGTCTTATATATGAAAAGAAAATATGAGAAACTTAACATAGAATTGAATACAACAAATCTGCCACAATAAAGTGTCTGGGATTTAAGCTTAAATTCTGTGTATGTATGTGTTTGCATGTGTATGTGTGTAGTCCTAGAATAGAATTTTTTCACCATGTCAAGTTTATTCAATAACACAATATTTCAAAGACAGTTAAAAAGGAAAAGTTTTTAAAAAGGAAGATAAAAAGCAAGAGAGAAGAAAATGTTAGTGCCCAAACTACACATAACTGTAATTTTTAAAAAATTAAATAAACAAAATAATTTAAAATGGAAAGATATTGGCCCAGAAAAAAAATATATTGGGCTGCTGTTTACTTTTCTAAAAAGCTTCCTCCATATCCTCTGTCCTCTCTATTTTATTGTACTCACATCACTGACTTGCTTCGTGTTCTGTTTTGCCTGGACCATAACTGGGGAGTCCACAATGCTGGTAAATTTGAGGGTGTCTGGATGTTGCCTGTACTTCTTTTCATTCAGAGCATCACCGGCCTTTTTAACTTTTTCGACGTCGAGACTGCCAATAGGAATCCAGCCAATGCCTTTCATCCAGTTGTTGTAGTCTTCCTTGTAGACGTTCTACAGCAATGGAGAAAAGAGGAGTGAGGGCCTAGGACAGGGTTCTTTTCATGGCAGGCTCTGAACTTAATAGGGGGGTTTCTTGAGAAGTAAATGACACTTACATCACTCTGTATCTGCATCATGTTCTTAGACAGCTCCAGGTCCATGGCGTCAGGCAAGTAGGTGTAATGATGGAGAGAATGCTTATAGTTGACATTGCTGACCACATCCTGGGCTTTCTTAGCCGCCACGACATTGAACATATCATGGGGCGTGTTGTATTTGGACTTTGTCTTCTCATAGTCTTTTTTATACTCCCGATCTGATTGTATCTTGGCCACGTTCATATAATGAACCAGTTTAGGGTCATCTTGAAGACTTTGGAAGCCAACCATTTTCCCTTTAGCCTTTTCATAGTCTTTTTTGTACTGAACCTATTGTAAACAAAGGTGGGCATAATTTAAAATGTAGTTTTGAGGGCTTTACTAAACAATGAGGCCATGATTTGAAGTAATTGAGCTTCCCAAAAATTACTGTACTTCAATAACCAAACAATTAACAATTCACTTGCATATGCTCTGAAATGTAGCCTGCTTAAAATAAAAATGTTATGTATTATGGAACCCATTTGATTGTCTATAGCTGTTTCTGCCTATCCAAGTGAGGTTGAGATGGGGCATTACCATAATTTGTATCAGTGACAAAACAGATCTTTATATTCTTCCTTTGCATTTAGACATTGGTAGAGAAAAATGAAAAGATAAATATGTCACAATCTCTACCAATTACATTGTGCTACTAGAGTACAAGTAGCTGGATATTTAATTAGTTTTAGAATTTTTAGTAGTAGTGGTAGGATGTTAATATCAATGATAGTAGAATTTAATAAGTCCTTGGATATTCAAAGGGAGACCCAGAGCCAGGAGGGGGTAAACACTAACTGGCTCTGGATAACAAAGTGAGGGGGACTGAGCTTCCTCAGAGATATGTGGAGGGCACTGTGGGACACTGAGAAGCAGAGACATGAGGGAAGGTTCGTGGAAAGTTGGGGCAGGGGCAGCTGGAGGAAAGTACCCACAGAGAAAGGGGGTGGGTGAGAACTTCGGGTGGGACAGGGGCATTTCAGAACGAGGACATTTGTTATTCAATCATCACATATTTACACTGGTGCGATGTAAACCTAATTTCAAACAATCAGTAAAGTGGTGTTTGGGACTCTGGGAAGTCAAAAGGAAGGGGCTGTGTTTCATTTCTGGGTCATACAGAGCAGCAAGAGGAGACCCGCAGGAGGAGGGCGCAGATGAGCTCAAGCCAGCCAGGAGCCAGAGGTAAGCAGAGAAACAAAAACCTCGGAGACTCCACAGAAATCATGGGGAGGGGGATTCCACTCCCTATAGAATAACAGATGGGGGCTTGAGCCAATTTTATTTAAATCTCAAAGAGCAAAATGACTTCAGTTCACATCTTGGTTAAAGATAAATAGGATAAGAAATAAAATTCTTAACTGTAATAGAACCCAAAGACTGGCTATTACAGGTGGTGAAATTGAGGCCTATTCACCTGTCTACAGAAGTAACGAAGGAAAAAGGGAGAGGAAAGGGGAAGAAGGAAATCATATAAATTAATAAAGTTTTGAGATAACATTTTACCATCAGGAGGCTATTATGACTTAAATGGTAAGTCACTTCTGGATCTCCACAAGAGAAGTAATGTGAGTTAGTGTAGAACTATACATGAGAATTTTAAATGAGGGGGCTTGATTAGAACTGATCAGTAGAAGGTTATACAAATCTTTTCCCTCCAGAAAATTTAAATCTATTTAGGGAACTTTATTTCCTAAATAGTTTTCAATCAGATTTGCTTCCAATTGGGGACTGCATGCATGGAGACTTTTGGGTCATCGTCAGACCCCAAGCCCACCCACCCACATTTTCTAGTTGCCCATGTATGACCACAGCTGGACTTACGTCACTCGCCGCCTGCCTGGCAGCTTTGGCAGCTCTGATGGGAATCGCATCAGTTCTCAGGTCATATCCCTTCTTGCTCAAGTCTTTCAAGTCTGCTTTGTACATATTCTGAAAGAAAAATGTCATTTAAGTACAACTTAGAGACTGTGTTAGTAAAGTCTGGACATACGCATCAGCCCGTGAGTCCACCCACGCACCTCACTGATATTGTAGGCATTAACTTTAGCCTGGATGAACTGGGGCAGGTCTGGTGGCAGGTTGTATTTGTGAATAATTTCCTCTCCTTTGGCTTTGTAAGCGATCTGAAAGAGAAAAAAATGCATAAACAAACAAATAAAGTAGAAAGAAAATTTAATGGCACCAGAAAATAATTTCCTAATGGATCATATTTCACAGAGGTGGTTTTAGGAAGGACACTCTTTGTGCATTTGCATATTCATGTGCAAATATCTGTAGGCATTCAAGGTCACACATGCAGTTGCTTAGGATACTGTCTCAGTGCTTATTCAGTTTTGCAAAGATCCCTTGGAACTTGCAGTAGGAACCTCTGGGCCTAGCTCAGGAAAGTGTAATAGGGTGGAATACACCAACCACCTATATTATATTTTGTGGGCAATTAAAAGGACTTAGGGATGGTTTTGATTATATATGATTTTTTTTTTTTTTGCACTGACTTAAAATATAACTGCTCCCCATTTGATATACTCATTCTTTCTGGTCTTTCCTAGAAAAAGGCTTGTAGTTTTTGTTGTCATTAAGAGAAGTCCCTCTTACCTTTTCCTTAGAAAGAAATGTCAAATGGCTAAAAGGACAGTCAGCACAATATACATTACTGTAAATATATGAATTAGGCATGCTTTATTAATGAACAGCTGGGGAATTCTACAGATGCTTGTGTAATTGGGTCTCTTCATATTGTATAATAACTAGAGGTGATCAGTACATTTGAAATACAAATGTATTTGTATTAGTTAACATCTATTAACATATAGATAGCATTAACACTTACATCACTCCTCTGGGCCTGGTTAATTTTAGACTGTACTGTAATTGGAGCATCTTCAATCGAGGTAAACTTGAGGGTGTCTGGATGTTGGCGATATTTTTTCTGTTTGGCAAATCAAAAAGAGAAAAACAATCTTGTTTTCCACTGAAGATTAATACGTCAAAATCCTTGAAATTTATTTTGAAGCGAAAAGGAAGAGTTTTTCATGATTTTAAAATGCAAAAACACTAGATTCTTGATTGGCTTGATGAATGCAATACAAAAGTCAATATCTTTAAAAATCCATTTAATTGTGGATAGTTTGGGACAGCACAGACACATATACTGCTCTCAGGAACCAGACAGACTCCTTTCTTAATTTCTTGCCTATGACATGAAACAAGACACCCTCAGCTAAGCAGAATCTGGAAACATCACAGAGTTTTCTAAAGGTTTAACAGAAAAGCAAGCAAGGAGATTGGAGTGCCTTTGCATGGCACAAACAAGTTCTCTTTTTCCCTGTTACTCCATCAGCAAATGGCATCAAGAAGCTGTCCGGTTGAGGAAGGAGGAATTGAGGAACTAGGCCAACAGCTAGGAATTATTAAGAGAGACAGGACTTTTGCTCTGCAAGTCTTAATGTGGTTAGTACGTAAGTTATCACCAAAACGCTGAAGGGGCACTGCAGAGGAGACCCTGGGTAGGTGTGCCCACTAGG
Organism: Homo sapiens; assembly: GCF_000001405.40. Taxonomy (NCBI): domain Eukaryota; kingdom Metazoa; phylum Chordata; class Mammalia; order Primates; family Hominidae; genus Homo; species Homo sapiens. The sequence goes on from NC_000002.12 coordinate 151,681,424, forward strand.
AGCTGGCAACTTCTAGCTACCTTATTCCTGTACGCGTCTCTATTTATTTTCCCAGTCCTCTTCCTTTGTGCATGTTGTACATCCCAGTTAGCATCATCACTCTTTCGGCTTCAGACTTCTAAAAACCACTAACCCAGAACTTTCTTCTGGAAGATCTTTGAGCAGACAAAATGGTTTTCATCGAAAACAAAACACCGAACAAGAAGTAAAACTTGAGCGTGGAAGACAACCCTCATACCACACCTCTGTCCTTTGTGTAGTCTGCCCTCCTTGAGGATGTACTCACCTGACAGCAGTGAGACTCTTCAACTGTCACAGGGGAGGGACAGATAATCTTGCTGCCTTATGAGCCTCAAGATCATCACTATTTTTTCTTACACTGAATTATAATTTATACATTACTTCAAAGCCAACCAGAATATGACATATGGAATAATTCTTCAAAGACGATTTCTATAATAACTGCATTATTCATAATCACAAAAAAATAGAAACCATCCACATATCCCCCAACCGGTGAAGCAATAATAACAATGTGGTGTGTATTATGCTGGGGCAAAAGTAACTGTGGTTCTTGCCATTACTTTTAATGTCAAAACTGCAATTACTTTTGTACCAACCTAATAAATCCATACAAAAGATTTACTTAATAATTTTTAAAAACCAAATTACAAGCAGAAACATTACATGAAGTGAAAGAAGCCAGATACAAAATAAATTTCTAGAAAAGATAAAACTTTAGAGACAGAATGCAAATCAGTGGTTGCCTGGGGCTGAAGATGAGAGCTGAAATTTTGGGGGGAAACTTTTTGGGGTATTGCAGCATTTTAAAATTCAATTGCAGTGATGACTGCACAATTATATGAATTTATTAAAACTTGTCAAAGTGTACACTTAATGTGAGTTACTTTTATTGTATGCAAGTTATACCTTAATAAAATTGTTAAAAATATTTCTATAATGAATGGCTAACATAAATGAATGGTTAACGTAAATGGTTAACAAGTTATACCTTAATAAAATTGTTAAAAATATTTCTGTAAGGAATGGTTAACATAAATGATTTTGGTAATATAAAGGTTTGTGCTGGTCTCCCTGGGTAATTTGTGCACGTGGTAAGCTCTTTTCCTCAGCAACAGTGACTGAGAATGAAGCAATGAAGGAGCACTGCCCATGCTTTTGAGAGCTTTAACACAACACAGTCACCACTCTCCCTCTGACACACCCAGTGGCTTTACCTCATTGAGGATGTCTGAAGCTCGCTTTGCCTTTTCCATTTCTAAGGACCCAAAAGGCACCCAGCCACAACCTTTCATCCAGCTATTGTAGTCAGCTTTGTATTCAACCTAAAACACCAAGAGAAAGGTTACATTTCTTTGCTGTGTCATCCTCATTATGTAAAATCATCAAAGTTTTACCCAAAACAATGTTTTTGAGATTTCTGACCAGCTTCCTTACTCCAGACATTAAGGTTATTTTATATATTTCTTTGGTGAGATATAGTAACAGCTCTTCGATTTTTGCTTTCCTTCTAACTGGCGTTATGTTCCATTTCATCCTTATTTCCAACTTAATGGAAGTCTGTGGTACTCTAATTCCAACCTGGAAAATGTTCGAGTCAAAGCTGCACTTCAAAGAGTAAGTGAAATTGTCAGTTAACCAAATGTGAGACGTTTGTTCCCTGGAACTTTAAGTATTATGTTTCTATCAAATTAAAATAGAAGGCCACATTGAAGGTGGGTTATTTGCTCATTTTCTAATTTCCTAATTGTATAAGACTTAATAGAACTATTCGTACTAAGTATTTGCACACATGGCCCTTCATGTGTACTGGTCAACTTTGGAGTGTTTCTACATTGGCTAACAAAACACTTTAAAACAGTTGCACTCGTTAATTTGCATAAGAGGGCGGTTATTATTTGGAATTGGTCCTAGTTGAGGCACAGTTACTTGACGCTATTAAAATGCTACTCTTGTTGTCTGACCATAGGTGGTACCAAAAATTTACGTTTTAGATACAAAATTCAAACTGTTGTTTTTTACTCTGGGCATTTTAAGTAGAATGGAAAATCAAGAAAGCATTTAGTTCCTGCCTGTCAGAGGCTTATGATCTATTTGAGATGAAAAAACATAACAAAATCAAACTAATAACAAGTAGAATAACAATGTATAATATAGAATTGTTAGTGGTAGGAATGTAAAATTTTGCAGCTGCTGCAGAAAACAGTATGGTGGTTCCTCTACAAATAAAAAATAGAGCTACCATGTGATCCAACTATTCAACTTCGGGTTTATACCCAAAAGAATCGAAAGCAGGATCTCAAAGAGATATTCACATGCCCATATTCATAGCAGCATTATTCAAAATAGCTTAAAGGTGGAAGCAACCCAAATGTCTACCAACAGATGAATGGGTGAATAAAATATGGCATATCGATACAATAGAATATTATTCACCCTTAAAAATGAAGGAAATTCTGATACATGCTACAACATGGGTGGACCTTGAGGACATTTTGCTAAGTGAAATAAGCCAATCACAAAGAGACAAATACTGTATGACTTTACATATATGAGGTATCTAGGGTTAGTCAAACTTAGAAACAAAGCGTAGATTGGTGGTTGCCACAAGCTAGGGGAAGAAGGAAAATGGGAGTTGCTGTTTAATGAATACAGAATTTCAGTCTGGGAAGATGAAAAGGCTCTGCAGATTGGTTGTACAACAATGTTAATATACTTAACACCACTGAACTGTACACTTGAAAATTGCAAAGGTGGTAAATTTATGTTATATGTATTTTGTCACATTTTAAAAAATAGAATTGTTAGGATGAAGTATTCAGTTGTGTGGTTTGGACAAATGAATTTGCTTAAAGAAGTTCTGATCTGCAGAAAAAACCGTTATAAATATTTATGTTAAATCATATATTTTCTTTTCAGATAGTAATCTATGTAAAAATCATTGATAATGATGAATGTGATGATTATGATAATAGCGATGATAAATACTGAATGTTTATTGAGAACTCACCAGGGCCTGGCACCATGCTAAGTATTTTGCATGCATTTACATCCTCCAAACAATGTTTTTGATTTATTTCCATTTTACAGAGGAGGACTCTAAACTTAGCAAGGTTGACATATTTCCCAGAGGGAAACAGTGATAGGGTGCAAGCCAGATCAGTTCTTCCTAACCTTGAAGGGCATGCTCTTATAGAACCACAAGGGTCGTTTGCTTACATACATAGGACAATGCAGATACCTCTAAGAAGTGCAAAAACCTCACTCAACTTCAAAGTCCATTTCAGTTTCCATCTTTTTAAAAGAGGGGCTACAGAAACCCTGGTTACTCACATCGCTCTGCAGCGCATATGCCTTCTTGGCAAGGTCCACATTGATGCTATCAGGGGGGTAGCTGTAACTGTGTAAGATGTGCTTATAATCAACGTCGCTGGCAATTGCCTGAGATTTCTTAGCTTGAGTGACTTGGAGCATATCAAGAGGTGCCGTGTAGATAGTTTTTGACTTTTCATAATCTTTTCGATATTCGCGCTGTGAATAGGAAATTATCATTTATTATCACAAATCCTCGATGGATTTCCAGAAAAGACAGAGATCTTTCATAAACAATAAATACAAGTTAGAGAAAGAGTCAAACATCTGAGTAGTTATTTTGCCCAAAAATGTGTTCATATGTTACATACCATTGAAATTCCCCCAAAAAGCACGCATGGGCAGACCTTCTCAAATCAATGAGAAACTGTCTGGGTCACAGCAGACAGCGGGCCACAGCTTCTGCTTCAGTCAGGAACAGGAATGATTTTATTCTAAACCAGGGTTTCTCAAGGACCACTAACAAGTGTTACTATTATTCATGTAATTTAACCTATGAAGAGTTTTCAGTAAAGAAGCATTTTTTAATTGTAATGAAAACCATATGACAATTGGATTTTAATAAAATGACTACTTCATACACAGGGCTGTAGACTTAGTTTATTGGCTGTATAGAGTCATTTTTGAATGGATAGTCAACTGGTTTTTTAACCTGTTATTGACAGGAGATAACCCCACTGAGAATCTCAAAGGTTGTTTTCATATCAAGTTCAATTGGGGCAACAATTTAAAAGAAGCTTCAGATTGCAGCAGTTAAAAGACTTCACAGGAGAAAAGTTTGAGAAACTGAGCCATTAAAATAACGTTGGCCCTTCCGTACAGCATTATAAACCAAATGTCCTGGCTGGGCCTCAAGGACTCCCTTCATTGTCTGGTTTTCTGGAATGGTTAGACAAGGTGCTAGTTGGGTCAAATTCCCAGCTTCATTGTATCCACTCACCAATTACTTTGACAGAAAAATGTTGACCCACTGCCTTTCAGAAAACTCTAAACTCATCCTAGTTTCCCATGGTCACATATGTGTTAGAGACGGTGACCCAAGCTGGCAAGTACAGATGTGCACTACAAATCTTCTGTAACAATTCCTTTTGCAAATGATCTGATCTTTTGGCTTTCTAAGGGAACTTGATCTTCCTTCTCATATTTTGTGGGTGATCATTTTCACTGAATACATTTATTATTTAACTATAAAATTGAGACCCTGGTTTATAAAAATAAAGTATGCAAACTTTGTGATAGTTTGCAACAACATTGAAAACAACAGTTTGTCTTCGTTAGAAATAAACTGATAAAGCAATATTGCAACAGCAATAGGTGTGTGGAAGTATTTTTGAAGAAATTGTTGTTACTGTTTTGTTCATGTTCACACCAGCTGACACATACCAGTACATATAAAATGTTGTCAAAGATCCAAATGGCTTTAAAAGATTCTTTTTAAAAAGCCATTCATATTCTGTGTCTGCAGCTTAGCATTTTGCCTGGATATTATGTGAGAATGACTCATTTGCTATGTGTTTTGGTCATCTACATCAATCAATTAACAAATATTTATTAGGCATTTATTATGTGCCTACTGCTGGGTTCTGTGATAGGAATAAAAACAAAAGATAAAAATACACATGCTATCAATGGGGAGTTATATCCTTCTTGAGTTGAAAAGACTCAACTAGTGAACAAGATAGTAATATAAGTGAGCACTATATACTGACATAATTCACTGTGAAGTTACTAGAGAAAATTACAGAATTAGAAGTTTTAAAGTGCTATGTAATGACAGAATAGATGCAAAATGAATTAAAGAGGTATGTATAGATCATTATATAAAAGCATGGTTAAATCTAAATGATACAAATACCCTTCTCTTTCATCATTAAAAAAACTAGTATCTGCAAGCTACACTGAACATTCTCAGTACTCTTAAGGGATTCTCTAAACATTTTATACACAATATATACTATAATTTGCAGTAGTAGATGTTTGTCTCTCTGTAGTAAGAATTTTAACTGCAAAATGTTACATGGCCCATAGATGAGCCTTAAGCAACCCATGAGTTCACCAAAATTCAGGCAAAAGGCATGAAAAGAAATGTTCATTTTCTAGATAGATGATTCAAATCTTTTATCAGAGTCTCAGGGGGGTTTATAATCAATGGAGTCTTTTTCTTGGATCTAGACCAAACTCATTACTAAAGTCAATGAAGAACGATACTCTATTAAGATTTTTGTGACTCATAAATGTCTTCCAAAGTAAAGACAGTTTGAAAATTATCATTTTAAAAATTGTTTTTCAATTAGAAGAAAATATGAAAATATCTAGTGATGTTTTCCAAAAGGTTTTAAGAATACAATCAATATTCTATTAAATATTAATGCATACATTTTTCAAAGTGAAATGGACATCAAGTACAAATCAGTAATTTCTCCCCTCAAATGTGGGAGGCACAATAATCCAGGGCATCATTCTGAAGTTCTCTACAGCAGTACTTTTGTGAATGTGATGTGAAAGAGCCCATGCTCATGAAATTCTTTTCCACACTACTACCCTTGGGCATCGTAACAGGGAGTCCATCTTGAAAACAAGACAGATTCACAAAGACACTCACATCACTCTGGTTTTTGGCTGTCTTCAAGGAGTGCAGCATCTTTGGATCGTCATTAATGCTGAGGGCTCCAATCATTTTCCCTTTGCTCTTTTCATAGTCTTTCTTGTACATCACCTGCAAAGACATCACACATGCCAGATCCCACTCACCAGGAAATGTCCCCAAGGCCACCCTGTCCAGGTCCCCAGGTCCCCAGGCCACACTCACATCGCTGGTGTTCTTGGTGTTGGCTTTGGCTGCCAACAGGGGAATGGCGTCCACTTTAATGTCAAACTTCTTGGCTTTGCTCTTCTCCCAGTCTTGCTTATAAACATTCTGGACAAGAAAAATTCAGCAAAGGAATGATAAGAACAACAGTGTAATCCAGTAAAAAAATAAAAACATATTGAAAATTTGTGTATGTATAGACTTATTTCTCCTATAAAAACTATATTTATCAAATTGTAGTATAAGTATTGATTTATCTATCATCCAGTTTCTTTCTCCCTACCACTAAATAAGTATCAACTACTCTTTTTAATGTTCTGTAAACTTTCTAAGCACTCTGCTGTCCTGATTTACATAAGGATGCTATAAAGTGACACTCACTTGGAGAAGGTGAAATGTGAAATTTACATGGGAAAGATGTTGTAAAACTCCAGGGAATAGTAGACGGGTAATTGGAGATCTTCTGATAGTAACAGAGACCACAGAAAATGAAATCTGATAGATAAGTAGGAGTCTTAAGAGCATTTTGGCCTTAAAAGCTCCACTTACAAAGTAACCATCTTAAAGTTGTTTATTTGCACAATTCCTTGTCTTGTCTTTTAAAATTTAAAACATTTTCTCTTTTCATGTACACCAAACATAGGCTTCTGTGGCTTTGGTACTTACATCACTCAGATTATAGGCATTGACTCTGTGTTGGATAAACTGTGGAGCATCTGCTGGTATATGGCACTTGAACTTCTCACCTTCATGTTTTGCTTTGTAATTCAGCTGAAAAACAAAGGATATTTGAACGGTTCAGGGGAACTTCTTTGAATTTATTTAGGGCAGCATATATAGCTAAGGCATTAGTGCTGTTTTTAGAAAAATGCCTCAAAGAGATACTCAATTCAGTCAAAGTCTCGCACAGGATTCAAACTTTCATCCCCTATTTCAGGGACTGTGGCACAGTCCTCCTTTGTCCTTGGGGGATACTTTTCAAGACCCCCAGTAGCTGCCTGAAATCATAGATGGCACTGAACCCTATACATACCATGTTCTTTCCTATACATATATACCTGTGATAAAGTTTAATTTATATATTAGGCACAGTAAGAGATTAACAACAATAACTAATAAATAGAAAAATTATAACAAAACTGTAATAAAAGTTATGTGGATGTGGTTTCTGTCTCTCAAAATATCTTACTGTATGTTTTCACCCTTCATCTTGATAAAGAAGGGACAAAGGGGGATGGTGTGAGATTTCATCATGCTACTCAGAACAACATGCAATTTAAGACTTATGAATTGTTTGTTTCTGGAATCTTCCACTTCATATTTTCAGGCCATGGTTGACTGCAGGTAACTGAAATTATGGAAAGCAAAACCGTGGATAAGGGGGATTGCTGTGTAACCATACTTTGGGCTGCCAGCTGCCATTGCATAGATTCTGTTATATACACAGGAACACATTTCCAGTCTATACTGCTAGGTTGTGTCTGGAGAACACGAACTTCTGTAATTAAAGCACTAACAAAAACAACAATAATTCTAAATAAAATACTAGCACAGTTAAAAAGATATATACTCTTTTTTTTTTTTTTTTTTTTTTTTTGAGACCGTGTCTGGCTCCATCACCCAGGCTGGAGTACAGTGACACAATCTCGGCTCACTGCAACCTCCGCCTCCCAGGCTCAAGTGATCCTCCCACCTCAGCCTCCTCAGTAGCTGAGACTACAGGCATGTGCCACCATACCCAGCTAATTTTTTTATTTTTTTGTAGAGATGGGGTTTACCATGTTGCCCAGGCTAGTTTCAAACTCCTAGGCTCAACTGATCTGCCTGCCTCAGCCTCCCAAAGTGCTGGGATCACAGGCATGAGCCACTGCACCTGCCTGTGAATTCTTATTTAAATTATTAAACACAGAACTTTATTTAAATTTTTTAAAAGGTGACGTTAGGTGTAAGGAAGGGAGTGTAAAGAACGGATGAGGCTGTTTAATTTTGGAGCCAAAGGCAAAAATGCACAAGATTGAGAACTATGCAAGAAGTAATTCCAAGGCAGAGTCCATTGCCTACCTAAGCCAATAAGAAGAGTGATTGATAGTGACTGTGACCACATACAGCACTGTATTTCTCTGCAGCTTGCTGAGTTCAGCTAGATCAGTGATGTTAGTGTTTAGCTGTTCTTTATTGGGACACAAAATATTAAGATGCTCAGAAAAGTGGCACACGAGCTGAAATGACTTCTGAGTTATACTGATGCCATTCTCCTCTTTACTAATTGGGTATGAGCTAATTTGTGTCATTAAAATATATTTTATAGTAGGACAAACTGTATCTTTCACTTACCTATCTTGAGAAGGATGTACTACTCTCTAGGACTTAGCTATGTTAGCACCTTGCTGTTCAAAGAGTAGCCTACCAATCACAGCATCAGCATCACCTAGGAGCTTATTAGAAAGTCAGAATATGGAGTCCCCTAGATCTACTGAATTAGAATCTGCACTTCAACAGGGTCAGCAGGCGATTGCATGAATGTGGAGGTCTGAGAAGCACTGCTGTTTTCCCCCGATCTTGGCATGACTGGACCACGCCTGTCTTAGACTTTCTTTGACCACTCAATCTAAAGTGCCCATCCAGTTCTTGATGTCATCCCACTTTAATTCTGTAGCACCATTCTATATTAGTTTTCTTATCACTGTTTGATGTCTGTCTTGTTACTGTGCCCTTTCTTTTTGCAAAATCTTTGTTAGCAAATTCAAGAATCGGAAATATTTGCCTTGTCCTACACAAATAGATGCTTTTGTTGTCACTGTTTATTTAAGTTGGCATGAAGTTTTAGTGTGCATGTGACAGATCCTAATGAATAAGTAAGATAGTCCTACTAAAAATCAGTGAGTTATTAAAAAATATTTATTTTTATTATTGTCTAACACAACTTTCCTCAGGCTGCAATTCAATCTAGCAGCCTCATTTGTGTTTTATTAAACAAATCTTGAAAAATAATAATATTGGGATGGTAGATGAGCCCATGAAGATTAAGCATGTAAATGCTTACATTTTAAATGAGCAAAGCACTCTGGGTCACCCACGCTTGCATAAATCAAAGCACTTACATCACTAAGCTGTTTCGTGTTGAGCTGGGCTTGCAACAGTACAGGAGAATCAGTGACTGCCGTGAATTTGGTCTTATCTGGATGAACTTTGTAGGTATGCTAGAAAAGAAGATGTTCTTTAATGAAATATCAGTATATTCTTGGTTATACATGCGCTAACATAAAAAATGGTTCCAGGTCAAAACAGAGTTTATTTTGTTCCTGAAAACTTAGTTGATGCGTTTATATTCTCACTTCTCTGTCTGTCTCTCTCTCTCTCTCTCTTTTTCCTTTAATCCCCACTTCCCAAGTTGCCTCTGGTCTGCCTACAGCAACTCAGCAACCAGATTAACCTTACCCTGCTGAAGCCTTACACAGTGACTCTTTAGTCAACTTGGTACTCAGCTTCAACTGCACGTTGGCTTATGATCCCTACAGAATCCATCCCCTCCTTCATCTCCAACCATTTCACCTCTTACTACTGTCTTCCTCCCCAGTAAATTTCAGCCACCCCATCCTTTCAATTCCTTAAATGCTGAGCTTGTTCTCTCCTTAGGCCGTTCTTCCCTGCTGCTGTTCCCCTGACCTTGGCCTGACTGGTCATGCCTGTTTTAGACCTTCCTTGACCACCCAACCTAAGACGCCCATCCAGTCACTGTCTCACACATTGTCCTATTTTAATTCTGTATCATCATCCTGTATTAGTTTCCTTATTATTGCTTGATATCTTTCTTATTTCTGTGCTCCTTCCTTTGTTTATTACTTGTCTCCTCCACTCCAGTGGGAGCTCAAGAGGTGGCTGGCTTTTTCTCTGTCTTTCTCAGCACCAAGGAAAGTGCCTGGCCCAGCATGGCTTCTCACATAGAATTTGTTAAATAATGAACACTTATCTTAAATCTGCATGTCCTTCTTTTGCCCCAAATTCGTGTAGATATAAACTAATGAAAATTAAGATTTATAAAAATCTGAAATTTTGTAGCAAATGGCCTTCCTCAACATAATTGTTGTGTTCCCCGGTTCCACCCCAAAACCAAAATGTAAAATGTAATTATCTCCTTCTAATCACTAGATATTAGCATGTAAACTCCTGCTAAATTTACCACTAGATGTCACAGGAATCCCAAGCTCAATTTCAATAATTCAGGGCAGCTAACTTACATCTTTACACTGGTCCAGCTTCTTGATTGCTTCATATTCTTGTGTTATTGTCTGAGGGAAATAGCATTTTCCTTTATCTTCTTCATATTCTGCTTTGTAACTTTTCTATAATGAGAAAAACCAAAAATAGATCATGATTGTTATGGCTCTCAAACAATGTCACTGTGAGGCATGAACCATTGTCTTCAAACTTACATCACTGTTTTGAGCTGCAACTTTCATGCAGTGTGTGTGATATGGGTCCTCCATGCTGCCTACATAATGTCCCAAAACATCCTTTACATATAAGTCTTTATATCTAGCCTGAAAAATAAAACAAATGTAATTCAAGTTAACAATCATTTGTCAAACAGTAGGAAAGCCCTCCTACCCGAAAGGTAACCGTGGCTTTTCGAACCTCACTGAAGTTCTTCAGCTGAGTATCAAGTTGATATTTTGGGGTCTCACAGTAATTCATACTCTTTGCCTTTGTCTTCTCATAGTTTTCCTTGTATAATCTCTGTTAAAGGAAAAATAAATTAAACCAAAAAGAAAGAAATATATATCTCATAAAGTAAAAGTCATTCATGTCTTTGCTGCACTTTAACTGAAGGGGCAAAATTTATGTTTTCTCACCATCAATTTTCCACAAAGCAGAAAAGCAGAATAGATGTGGTAGAGGCTCATGCCTTATATAATCTCATCTGCTAATAATCATGAAGATGTTTATGTTACTTTTCCTAATATTTTTTCAGACTGAAAAACGCACACCAATGCTGTCTTTTTTTAAATAATTTTTTGTCTTAAAGTAATTCATTTGAATATGTTTAAAGAAAAATGAGTTTCGCTAGGTGCAGGGGCTCACACCTGTCATCACAGCACTTTGGGAAGCCAAGGTGGGCAGATCACTCAAGGCCAGGAGTTCAACACCAGCCTGGCCAATGTGGTAAAACCCCGTCTCTACTAAAAATACAAAAATTAGCCGGGCGTGATGGCACATGTCTGTAATCCCAGCTACTTGGGAGGCTGAGGCAGGAGAATTGCTTGAACCTGGGAGGCAGAGATTACAGTGAGCCGAGATCGTGACACTGCACCCCAGCCTGGATGACAGAGCGAGAGCCTGTCTCAAAAAACAAAGAAGGAAAGAAAAATGAGTTTAAGAATTGATGCAAAATGAGGTAAAGGGTATAAGGTGAACCTTAGATAATTAAGCACAGTCCTGGAAGAGTATTCTGTTGAGCACTTGGTGAAAACGCATTTTGTAACACCTCCGGAAGCTGGCTATTAACATTAAGACCTAACAGTTTTCTTTAGAGCAATAATAAATGAAAATATTACTTGTCTGTGTTTCTTTTCTGCTAGGAATTAGGAAAGCAATTTCTGTGAAGAGTTTTATCTTATTTTTTATTTTTTTGTTTGATTTCCAACTTTTATTTTAAGTTCAGGTGTACATGTGCAGGATTGTGGGTTTGTTACATAGGGAAGCGTGTGCCATGGTGGTTTGCTGCACAGATCATCCTGTCACCTAGGAATTAAGCCCAGTATCCATTAGCTATTCTTCCTGATGTTCTCCCGCCTCCCCCACCCCCAGCCTCCAACAGTGTGTGTTGCACCCCCCATGTATCCATGTGTTCTCAACATTCAACTCCCACTTGTAAGTAAGAACATGAGGTATTTGATTTTCTGTTCCTGCGTTAGTTTGCTGAGGATAATGGCTTCCAGCTCCATCCATGTCCCTGCAAAGGACATGATCTGATTCCATTTTATGGCTGCACAGTATTCCATGGTCTATCTGTACCACATTTTCTTTATACAATCTATCGTTGTTGATTCCTTGTCTTTGCTATTGTGAATAGTGCTGCAATGAATATATGTGTTCATATATATTTATAATAGAATGATTTATATTCCTTTGGGTATATGCCCAGTAATGGGATTGCTGGGTCATATTTTATTTTTAATAAGTATGTTAAAGTCTTTAAAATAAGATCAATATTCTATAAATTTCTTAAAATAAAATGCTTTGCTTTTGAGTTTATGCCTTATGTAGTTTTTCTTACTTTGCCCTTACATTAATTTCTTTACTTCTTTTCATTTTCCTATATATATATTTTTGCAAACTACCTTAATCAGTTCAGGGCATTGGGTGAATATATACATGCACATGTACCTATACTTATGTATATTAAGCTCGTTTCTAGGAAAAATAATAAAAACAATGATATTGGCAGAATATTTTTCCTCCTAATAAAACAGAGGGCATTAAGGAGATTAAGGAAAATTTGCAGTATTCACTGGCATCAAAGGCATCAACAAGAATAAGGAAGTTCATCTTCCTTTAGCACCTGGGTGAAGCTTTCATGTGTGATTTGTCATCTTGAATCCAAGATTTCAGTTAGGCTAACGTCCATCCAAGGTTATATTAAACAGCAACTTTGTGGCCACGTCTGAAAATAGGGGTGAATTACAAAGAAACTCACATCACTCTGGTTTTTGGCCACCTTCAAGGAGTGCAGCATCTTGGGATCGTCATTAATGCTGAGGACTCCAATCATTTTCCCTTTGTTTTTTTCATAGTCTTTCTTGTACATCACCTGCAAAGACATCACACATGCCAGATTCCACTCAAGAGGAAATGTCCCCGAAGCCAGCCTGTCCAGGTCCCCAGGCCACACTCACATCGCTGGTGTTCTTGGTGTTGGCTTTGGCTGCCAGCAGGGGAATGGCATCCACTTTAATGTCAAACTTTTTGGCTTTGCTCTTCTCCCAGTCTTGCTTATAAAGATTCTGGACAAAAAAATTCAGCAAAGGAATTGGCAAAAGTGATATGCATGTCACGACCTTTAAAGACTAGTGGGTAACTAAATACCTTATCTTAATATAAAATAAATGGGCCCTTTTTATTGTCTAGGAAATCATGCATATTTTAAATATTTCTTCTCAAGCTGGAGCTATTAATTCTCCAAGATTGGGCTTCTCTACTCCCCATGAGAATTTTTTATCAAATTAATTTAATTCTAGCTATTATACTCATATTTGATTCCTAACACTGAATGTTTTATAGAGTAGCACATATATTCTACAGTTAACTTACTTTTTTATGATATAAAGGCATCACTTTCATTTGACCTTTAAGTTCTCTGCAAAGGTTATTTCATAAATCATTACAATACTCAGTGATGCCAGATAATCTTAGTACTCATTTATAGAATTATTGAAGAAATTGAGAACCCCAAGGATAATTTAACTTTTCTATAAAATTAAGTTTGAAAAATGAAGGATAGAAATGGGTATCTGGACTTCTGCCCTTTCAATCCCCTATATCTTTATTCATGCAAGTTCTCATATATGTAGAAATAAGTATCATTTGTGTGAAATAAGGGACATTATAGGCCCAGGGAATAAATGAATTATATATAATTTAAATGAATATATGGCTAAAAGATCTACCATTAAAATTTGCAATTAAGCATACATGAGACGTAGCATTCTGAGGGCTGGTTACAATACTATATATTACGATTATCTAATTGTATGAAATTACTTATAAGATTGCTACACATATTTTGTAAGGTGAATTCAGTTATACTGGCAGAGGCATAGCAACATGATACAAATGTTAACAGTTCTTCTCATTTTTAACATTAATCTATTCATTGAATTGCAACAAAGCAGTTCAAACATAAAAGCACAGGTTGTCAGTACATCACATGGTACAGGGCATAAGGAACTTACATCACTCAAGTTATAGGCATTGACTTTGTGCTGGATAAAAGCAGGAGTATCAGGGGGGATATGGCACTTGAACTTTTCACTTTCATGTTTTGCTTTGTAATTTAACTATGACAGAGAGAGAACCAATTAGTTCAGAAGAATTGTTCCAGAATACAAAAATTCTTGTGTGGTACATTTTGTAAAGTTAGTGACAGCATTATTGAGATCAGAAGAGACATCTAGAGCTTGGGTAGGCCATCTGCATTACTGATCCTGTGTGCAGGACACTTGGCAGCTATTATCACATCTGTCACCATGGTAGGACCCTAAGGGAATGAGGTGGCTCTGTCAAACATGTTCCCCTCCCTGCGTAGCACAATTGTCCCTGCAGGTTCTGAGAGGGGCCCCGCCCTGTCTCTCTTGTCACTGTCAGTGCTCACGTACCAGAGCCACTTTCCTTTCATCTGATTAAGAGTCCTCTCACAGACATCAGGGCTTTTGATGCTCTAATTGGAGCCTTCATTTCTGGCCATTCATCTATTGAGGTCACTTTTATTTTTTTAGTTCAACACAGCTTTGGAAATCCACACTTAAAGCTCATATAATAAAATTTGTCTCAGAGATTCCAATTTCCAGAAACTTACTAGGGAGAGAGAAATTCATGTACTGAATACCTGCTGTTGGCCAGGGTATGTGCAGTGCATATTTCTTCCTTCACTTACTCTTCAAAACAGCCACAAATTATAAAATGGAAATATCAGGCAGAGGGGGGTTAAATCTTTGGCCACCCAGACATCAATGACAGAGCTAACATTTGAATGCGGTTTTGTTTGACTCTAGAACTCATGTTCTTTCCATTGCTTTAAGCTACATTTGTTTCCTTCACAGAATTGTTTCACTGTAAATTTTATCCACCCAAGAAAATGCAGAAATATATTTTTATACAAATGTATACTGTTTAAACTTGCTAATACTTACTTAGCCTTTTGAATAAACTTGATAAGTCATTGGATTTTATGTATAGAGTTATGAAATGTTATCCCTCATAATTGGGTGTCCTGAGTAGTTAGAGGAACTTACGTCACTCAGTTGTTTGGAATTGACTTGGGCTTGTAGCAGAACAGGAGAGTCTGTAACTTGGGTGAATTTTGTCTTATCTGGATGGACTTTGTAGGTGTGCTGTGGGGAAGCAAAGGCATTTGGTTTAGTAGTATCACCTGTCAGATCCAAGGTGGCCCACAGGCCAAGCAAATAGAACCTCATGCCCCACAAAGCAATGAAACTTGTAGTTAATAAAATATATTTTTTTCTAACTAGACTGTAGTTTGAGAGGTGCTCTTATATCTGTATGAGAAACTTTCCTATATCTTCGGGTTTCCAATAACTCTTCTTTGGGAAAATGAGCTAGAATTACCTCTTAAAATGTAGGGATGTCAACAAGGGAAAATAGGATGTTTACTACAAAATAGACTTCATTTCTTGCGATTGCCTGGCTTACATTTATTTGTAAAAGTGGCAACATTTTAAACATATCCTGACCACTAGATGCTATGGAAGGCAGTCACATTCAAAGTTCAGACTACAGACTTACGTCTTTACACTGATCTAGTTTCTTAATTGCTTCATATTCTTGAGTTATGGTCTGAGGGAAGAAGCCTTTGCCTCTGTCTTCTTCGTATTCTGCTTTGTAGTTTTTCTATGAGGAGAAGAAATTAGGCATAAGATGCAGCCATTGTATTCATGCCCTGAGAAAAATGTTATTTGGAAAGTCAAACAATTGTCTTAGAACTTACATCACTGTTTTGAGCTGTGACTTTCATGCAGTGTGAATGGTATGGATCCTCGAAGCTGCCTACATAATGTCCCAAAATATCTTTTAAGTAGGAATCTTTATATTTTTTCTGCAAGACAAAACATACTTCATTTATTAATTGGTGAAATAATGGGTTCTTTTTTTAACAGAAAGAGTGACAGTAGGATTGCTTACATCACTACTGAAGTTCTGCAGAACAGTATCGAGCTTGAATTTGGGGGTCTCGCAGTAATTTATGCTCTTTGCTTTTGTCTTTTCATAGTTTTCCTTGTATAGTTTCTGTCAAAGAAAAAAAATTCAGTTAAAGTAGATTCCTGTCACTCCCACGCTGATTATAACACTTACATTTTCTAACACTAAACAAAAGATGAAGAAAAGATATCGCCTGTCAACTGTCTTAAAAACTGACAATTGAGGCCAGGTGCGGCGGCTCACGCCTGTAATCCCAGCACTTTAGGAGGCCGAGGCGGGCGGATCACGAGGTCAGGAGTTTGAGACAAGCCTAGCCAACAAAGTGAAACCCTCTCTCTACTAAAAATACAAAAAGTTACCTGGGCATGGTGGCGGGTGCCTGTAATCCCAGCTACTTGGGAGGCTGAGGCAGGAGAATTGCTTGAACCCGGGAGGCGGAGGTTGCAGTGAGCCGAGATGGCGCCATTGCACTCCAGCCCGGGCGACAATGCGAGACTCCGTCTCAAAACAAAACAAAACAAAACAAAACAAAACAAAAAGAAAAAAACCTGACAATCGAACACGGAATGTCATGAATTATAAGACTGTTCTGTTAGCAATTATTATAAGGCCTAAGTTTCATACATTCCAAACTCAAAAAAATTTTTTTTCTTTCTTTTTTTTGTAACAGCTTTATTGAGATTTAATGCATATACCACACAATTCACCAATTTAAAGTATACAATTCAATGGATTTTAGTATGTTTACAGAGTTGTGCAACTGTCACCACAATCAATTTTAAAACATTTCATCATCTCAAAAAAGCAAAACAAAAACACACCAAAAACTCTGTAGTTGCCAAGGCCTGGAAAGAAGGGAGAATAGGTATGAGGTTTATGGTTGGGGGGATTAAAAAAAATTCTGGAATGAGATGGTATTATTTGTGCAACATTGTAAATGTAATTAATGCCACTGAATTATACACTTTGAAATGGTTAAACTGAATCATGAAATGTGATCTTTTCTTTCTGATTTCTCTCTTAGCATGTTTTCAAGCTTCATCCTTGTTGTACCCTGTATCAGTACTTCATTAATTTTTTTTTTTTTTTTTTTTGAGATGGAGTCTCCCTCTGTTGCCCAGGCTGGAGTGCAGTGGCACAAACTCGGCTCACTGCAAGCTCTGCCTCCTGGGTTCATGCCATTCTCCTGCCTCAGCCTCCCGAGTAGCTGGGACTACAGGTGCCTGCCACCATGCCCGGCTAATTTTTTTGTATTTTTAGTAGAGACAGGGTTTCACTGTGTTAGCCAGGATGGTCTCCATCTCTTTTTTTTTTTTTTTAATTATACTTTAAGTTTTAGGGTACATGTGCACATTGTGCAGGTTAGTTACATATGTATACATGTGCCATGCTGGTGCGCTGCACCCACTAACTCGTCATCTAGCATTAGGTATATCTCCCAATGCTATCCCTCCCCCCTCCCCACCACAGTCCCCAGAGTGTGATATTCCCCTTCCTGTGTCCATGTGATCTCATTGTTCAGTTCCCACCTATGAGTGAGAATATGCGGTGTTTGGTTTTTTGTTCTTGCGATAGTTTACTGAGAATGATGATTTCCAGTTTCATCCATGTCCCTACAAAGGACATGAACTCATCATTTTTTATGGCTGCATAGTATTCCATGGTGTATATGTGCCACATTTTCTTAATCCAGTCTATCATTGTTGGACATTTGGGTTGGTTCCAAGTCTTTGCTATTGTGAATAATGCCGCAATAAACATACGTGTGCATGTGTCTTTATAGCAGCATGATTTATAGTCCTTTGGGTATATACCCAGTAATGGGATGGCTGGGTCAAATGGTATTTCTACTTCTAGATCCCTGAGGAATCGCCACACTGACTTCCACAATGGTTGAACTAGTTTACAGTCCCACCAACAGTGTAAAAGTGTTCCTATTTCTCCACATCCTCTCCAGCACCTGTTGTTTCCTGACTTTTTAATGATTGCCATTCTAACTGGTGTGAGATGGTATCTCATTGTGGTTTTGATTTGCATTTCTCTGATGGCCAGTGATGATGAGCATTTTTTCATGTGTTTTTTGGCTGCATAAATGTCTTCTTTTGAGAAGTGTCTGTTCATGTCCTTCGCCCACTTTTTGATGGGGTTGTTTGTTTTTTTCTTGTAAATTTGTTTGAGTTCATTGTAGATTCTGGATATTAGCCCTTTGTCAGATGAGTAGGTTGCGAAAATTTTCTCCCATTTTGTAGGTTGCCTGTTCACTCTGATGGTAGTTTCTCTTGCTGTGCAGAAGCTCTTTAGTTTAATTAGATCCGATTTGTCAATTTTGGCTTTTGTTGCCATTGCTTTTGGTGTTTTAGACAGGAAGTCCTTGCCCATGCCTATGTCCTGAATGGTAATGCCTAGGTTTTCTTCTAGGGTTTTTATGGTTTTAGGTCTAACGTTTAAGTCTTTAATCCATCTTGAATTGATTTTTGTATAAGGTGTAAGGAAGGGATCCAGTTTCAGCTTTCTACATATGGCTAGCCAGTTTTCCCAGCACCATTTATTAAATAGGGAATCCTTTCCCCATTGCTTGTTTTTCTCAGGTTTGTCAAAGATCAGATAGTTGTAGATATGCGGCGTTATTTCTGAGGGCTCTGTTCTGTTCCATTGATCTATATCTCTGTTTTGGTACCAGTACCATGCTGTTTTGGTTACTGTAGCCTTGTAGTATAGTTTGAAGTCAGGTAGTGTGATGCCTCCAGCTTTGTTCTTTTGGCTTAGGACTGACTTGGCGATGCGGGCTCTTTTTTGGTTCCATATGAACTTTAAAGTAGTTTTTTCCAATTCTGTGAAGAAAGTCATTGGTAGCTTGATGGGGATGGCATTGAATCTGTAAATTACCTTGGGCAGTATGGCCATTTTCACGATATTGATTCTTCCTACCCATGAGCATGGAATGTTCTTCCATTTGTTTGTATCCTCTTTTATTTCCTTGAGCAGTGGTTTGTAGTTCTCCTTGAAGAGGTCCTTCACATCCCTTGTAAGTTGGATTCCTAGGTATTTTATTCTCTTTGAAGCAATTGTGAATGGGAGTTCACTCATGATTTGGCTCTCTGTTTGTCTGTTATTGGTGTATAAGAATGCTTGTGATTTTTGTACATTGATTTTGTATCCTGAGACTTTGCTGAAGTTGCTTATCAGCTTAAGGAGATTTTGGGCTGAGACACTGGGGTTTTCTAGATATACAATCATGTCGTCTGCAAACAGGGACAATTTGACTTCCTCTTTTCCTACTTGAATACCCTTTATTTCCTTCTCCTGCCTAATTGCCCTGGCCAGAACTTCCAACACTATGTTGAATAGGAGTGGTGAGAGAGAGCATCCCTGTCTTGTGCCAGTTTTCAAAGGGAATGCTTCCAGTTTTTGCCCATTCAGTATGATATTGGCTGTGGGTTTGTCATAGATAGCTCTTATTATTTTGAAATACGTCCCATCAATACCTAATTTATTGAGAGTTTTTAGCATGAAGGGTTGTTGAATTTTGTCAAAGGCTTTTTCTGCATCTATTGAGATAATCATGTGGTTTTTGTCTTTGGCTCTGTTTATATGCTGGATTACATTTATTGATTTGTGTATATTGAACCAGCCTTGCATCCCAGGGATGAAGCCCACTTGATCATGGTGGATAAGCTTTTTGATGTGCTGCTGGATTCGTTTTGCCAGTAGTTTATTGAGGATTTTTGCATCAATATTCATCAAGGATATTGGTCTAAAATTCTCTTTTTTGGTTGTGTCTCTCCCTGGCTTTGGTATCAGAATGATGCTGGCCTCATAAAATGAGTTAGGGAGGATTCCCTCTTTTTCTATTGATTGGAATAGTTTCAGAAGGAATGGTACCAGTTCCTCCTTGTACCTCTGATAGAATTCGGCTGTGAATCCATCTGGTCCTGGACTCTTTTTGGTTGGTAAACTATTGATTATCGCCACAATTTCAGCTCCTGTTATTGGTCTATTCAGAGATTCAACTTCTTCCTGGTTTAGTCTTGGGAGATTGTATGTGTCGAGGAATTTATCCATTTCTTCTAGATTTTCTAGTTTATTTGCGTAGAGGTGTTTGTAGTATTCTTTGATGGTAGTTTGTATTTCTGTGGGATCGGTGGTGATATCCCCTTTATCATTTTTTATTGTGTCTATTTGATTCTTCTCTCTTTTTTTCTTTATTAGTCTTGCTAGCAGTCTATCTATTTTGTTGATCCTTTCAAAAAACCAGCTCCTGGATTCATTAATTTTTTGAAGGGTTTTTTGTGTCTCTATTTCCTTCAGTTCTGCTCTGATTTTAGTTATTTCTTGCCTTCTGCTAGCTTTTGAATGTGTTTGCTCTTGCTTTTCTAGTTCTTTTAATTGTGATGTTAGGGTGTCAATTTTGGATCTTTCCTGCTTTCTCTTGTGGGCATTTAGTGCTATAAATTCCCCTCTACACACTGCTTTGAATGCGTCCCAGAGATTCTGGTATGTTGTGTCTTTGTTCTCGTTGGTTTCAAAGAACATCTTTATTTCTGCCTTCATTTCGTTATGTACCCAGTAGTCATTCAGGAGCAGGTTGTTCAGTTTCCATGTAGTTGAGCGGTTTTGAGTGAGATTCTTAATCCTGAGTTCTAGTTTGATTGCACTGTGGTCTGAAAGATAGTTTGTTATAATGTCTGTTCTTTTACATTTGCTGAGGAGAGCTTTACTTCCAAGTATGTGGTCAATTTTGGAATAGGTGTGGTGTGGTGCTGAAAAAAATGTATATTCTGTTGGTTTGGGGTGGAGAGCTCTGTAGATGTCAATTAGGTCCGCTTGGTGCAGAGCTGAGTTCAATTCCTTGATATCCCTGTTGACTTTCTGTCTCGTTGATCTGTCTAATGTTGACAGTGGGGTGTTAAAGTCTCCCATTATTAATGTGTGGGAGTCTAAGTCTCTTTGTAGGTCACTCAGGACTTGCTTTATGAATCTGGGTGTTCCTGTATTGGGTGCATATATATTTAGGATAGTTAGCTCTTCTTGTGGAATTGATCCCTTTACCATTATGTAATGGCCTTCTTTGTCTCTTTTGATCTTTGTTGGTTTAAAGTCTGTTTTATCAGAGACTAGGATTGCAACCCCTGCCTTTTTTTTGTTTTCCATTTGCTTGGTAGATCTTCCACCATCCTTTTATTTTGAGCCTATGTGTGTCTCTGCACGTGAGTTGGGTTTCCTGAATACAGCACACTGATGGGTCTTGACTCTTTATCCAATTTGCCAGTCTGTGCCTTTTAATTGGAGCATTAAGTCCATTTACATTTAAAGTTAATATTGTTATGTGTGAATTTGATCCTGTCATTATGATGTTAGCTTGCTCGTTAGTTGATGCAGTTTCTTCCTAGTCTCGATGGTCTTTACATTTGGGCATGATTTTGCAGTGGCTGGTACCGGTTGTTGCTTTCCATGTTTAGCGCTTCCTTCAGAAGCTCTTTTAGGGCAGGCCTGGTGGTGACAAAATCTCTCAGCATTTGCTTGTCTGTAAAGTATTTTATTTCTCCTTCACTTATGAAGCTTAGTTTGGCTGGATATGAAATTCTGGGTTGAAAATTCTTTTCTTTAAGAATGTTGAATATTGGCCCCCACTGTCTTCTGGCTTGTAGGGTTTCTGCTGAGAGATCTGCTGTTAGTCTGATGGGCTTCCCTTTGAGGGTAACCCGACCTTTCTCTCTGGCTGCCCTTAACATTTTTTCCTTCATTTCAACTTTGGTGAATCTGACAATTATGTGTCTTGGAGTTGCTCTTCTCAAGGAGTATCTTTGTGGCGTTCTCTGTATTTCCTGAATCTGAACGTTGGCCTGCCTTGCTAGATTGGGGAAGTTCTCCTGGATAATATCCTGCAGAGTGTTTTCCAACTTGGTTCCATTCTCCCCATCACTTTCAGGTACACCAATCAGACGTAGATTTGGTCTTTTCACATAGTCCCATACTTCTTGGAGGCTTTGCTCATTTCTTTTTATTCTTTTTTCTCTAAACTTCCCTTCTTGCTTCATTTCATTCATTTCATCTTCCATTGCTGATACCCTTTCTTCCAGTTGATCGCATCGGCTCCTGAGGCTTCTGCATTCTTCACGTAGTTCTCGAGCCTTGGTTTTCAGCTCCATCAGCTCCTTTAAGCACTTCTCTGTATTGGTTATTCTAGTTATACATTCTTCTAAATTTTTTTCAAAGTTTTCAACTTCTTTGCCTTTGGTTTGAATGTCCTCCCGTAGCTCAGAGTAATTTGATCGTCTGAAGCCTTCTTCTCTCAGCTCGTCAAAGTCATTCTCCATCCAGCTTTATTCCGTTGCTGGTGAGGAACTGCGTTCCTTTGGAGGAGGAGAGGCGCTCTGCGTTTTAGAGTTTCCAGTTTTTCTGTTCTGTTTTTTCCCCATCTTTGTGGTTTTATCTACTCTTGGTCTTTGATGATGGTGATGTACAGATGGGTTTTTGGTGTGGATGTCCTTTCTGTTTGTTAGTTTTCCTTCTAACAGACAGGACCCTCAGCTGCAGGTCTGTTGGAATACCCTGCCGTGTGAGGTGTCAGTGTGCCCCTGCTGGGGGGTGCCTCCCAGTTAGGCTGCTCGGGGGTCAGGGGTCAGGGACCCACTTGAGGAGGCAGTCTGCCCGTTCTCAGATCTCCAGCTGCGTGCTGGGAGAACCACTGCTCTCTTCAAAGCTGTCAGACAGGGACATTTAAGTCTGCAGAGGTTACTGCTGTCTTTTTGTTTGTCTGTGCCCTGCCCCCAGAGGTGGAGCCTACAGAGGCAGGCAGGCCTCCTTGAGCTGTGGTGGGCTCCACCCAGTTCGAGCTTCCCGGCTGCTTTGTTTACCTAATCAAGCCTGGGCAATGGCGGGCGCCCCTCCCCCAGCCTCGCTGCCGCCTTGCAGTTTGATCTCAGACTGCTGTGCTAGCAATCAGCGAGACTCCGTGGGCGTAGGACCCTCCGAGCCAGGTGCAGGATATAATCTCGTGGTGCGCCGTTTTTTAAGCCGGTCAGAAAAGCGCAATATTCGGGAGGGAGTGACCCGATTTTCCAGGTGCGTCCGTCACCCCTTTCTTTGAGTCGGAAAGGTAACTCTCTGACCCCTTGCGCTTCCCAAGTGAGGCAATGCCTCGCCCTGCTTCGGCTCACGCACAGTGCGAGCACTCACTGACCTGCGCCCACTGTCTGGCACTGCCTAGTGAGATGAACCCGGTACCTCAGATGGAAATGCAGAAATCACCCGTCTTCTGCGTCGCTCGCTCACGCTGGGAGCTGTAGACCGGAGCTGTTCCTATTCGGCCATCTTGGCTCCTCCCCAAACTCAAAAAATTAAGAAACCAATATGCCACCTCTGACCACGTCCTTAGTAGCAGAGATTCTTGTGTATTTGTAAATTGCTGCCCTCTCTGTCTCTTAGCTCACATACTCTTTCCTCACTGATAGCACCACAGCAAACACAGGTTTTAAGCAATTGCAAGTTGTTTAATTTTTTTAAACAAACCTTCATGAAAAAGTTATATAAGGTGAGAAATACGCAATCTCCCTCCCTCCTATACCTATAAGAAATCTCTTATTATACAAACAATTAGCCTTCAAAATTATATATATATATATGAACTGGTACTAAGAGTTACTACTAACTCTTCTTCTCTGCCAGGATTTACCTTTAGCTTGAACAAGAAGAAGCAATGATTAGTTTTAAATATGCAGCTGATAAAGCAGATTATTGTCACTTTTTTCATTCTGGGTTTTCAAAATGTAAATGATGCTATTCATGTTTAATATTTTTATATTCCTGTCTTTATCAACAAAGGAGATTTGAACTTGGGCTTTTAGATGTTTAATAAGGATGTTTTTCACTTAGAGAGTAAAACTGCTTCAAACTGCTTTTACACTATGGGTGGGAATATAAATTAGCACAGCCACCATGGAAAACAGTATGGAGATTCCTTAAAGAACTGAAAATAGAACTACCATTCAATCCAGCAATCCCATCACTGAGTATCTACCCAAAGGAAAAGAAATAATATGAAAAAGACACATGCATAAGCATGTTCATAGCAGCACAATTCACAATTGCAAAGATGTGGAACCAACCTGAGGGCCCATCAACCAACGAGAGGATAAAGAAAATGTGGTATATATACAGCATGGAATGCTACTCAGCCATGAAAATGAATGAAATAATGTCTTTCAAAGCAACTTGAATGGAGCTGGAGGCCATTATTCTAAATGAAGTAACTCAGGAATGAAAAACCAAATATCATATGCTCTCACTTATAAGTGGAAGCTAAGCTATGAGGACACAAAGGCAGAAGAATGATATAATGGACTTTGGGGACTTGAGTGGAATGTTGGGGTGGGAGTGAGGGAGTAAAGACTACATATTGATCATAGTGTACACTGTAGGTGATGGGTGCACCAAAATCTCAGCAATCAACACTAAAGAACTTTTCCATGTAACCAAAAACCACCTGTACCCCAACAATGACTGAAATAAAATGTTTTTTAAAAGAAAGCAAACGTGCTTTACAGTGATTTCCCAGCAGAGCTATTTGGGCAGATCCATTTATACCCTCTCACTTGCCACTTTCCCACACCTGCTCCCCAACCACACACACATATTTCCTATGCTGCTGACTTAGTTCAAGGGACAAAGAAAAGATAACTAACCCACACAGACAGCTACATAAAATCCACAAATGCTAGGAAAGCTTAATGCAAACCTAACCGTAAGAGATAAACTCAAATCATCACATATTCAATCTCTCTCTCTCTCTCTCAGGCTGTTAGTCCTTTAATCCCAAGCCCAGTCTCGTTTGCCTAATATGCTTTAAATTGAACGGCTTAGTCGGGCTCTTAATAATTACACAATTAGAAAGTCCTGTGAAGACTTAGGGGCCCATCTTTTAAGTTCTGTTGTTGGCAAATGATGGTTTCTGGGGCCAAGATCTATCTTTGAAAGTCTCCTTCTGCTTCTGTCAAAATCACAACACGTCTGCAATGTGGAGACCCAGGTGCCCGGAGCTCATAAGCAACACATCCATATGGAGGCCCAGGTGCCCAGAGCTCCTAAGCAAGTGAGAATTTCCCTGCCCATTGAATTAACCCCACAGAACCACAAACAGTAAGGCACATTGTACTCAGAGGGACTCATGCCTTTCTGTGGTTACATAGTTCCAATGAACCTACCACTCCATAACCTTAATGTATTTGCAAAGTTATATATTCATTTAGTCATTAAAGGAGAAAATTTTCATCTCTTTTGCAGCTAAGGTTTAAAAACACTTTGACAAAAATATACTTACGTCACTTAGGGCATCTCCTGCTGCCTTCAGCTGCCTAAGCTGTGGGTTCTCTGAAGCAGGAAGCACATTATAATCTGCTTTTCCTTTATTCTTTTCATAGTCTTCTTTGTATTTTACCTGTAGGAGTGAAATAAAATGATAAAGTAACTCTATGGGTTATTTTTGCCCCCGTCTCTATTATGAATATGACATACTTCCACAAATCAATTTTCTCTTTAGAAAAATGGCAGCTTGACATTTTATAAACAAAATACTCATAGTAACTCTTAAAAGCAGCAGAGAAACTGCATAAATTTCCAGGATGCTTTTTCTTCCCATTCATTTATTCATTCAAAATTATCCATAGGGTGTCAATTCTGTTTCTGGCTTGGGGACAGATATAAGAAAGAACACATGGTCCTTGCCCTCAAAGAGAGAGATACAGAAATAATAGGAGGGAGAAAGAAATCCAAATAGTGATCATGCATAATGTCCCAGATACCTGCTGCTATAGAACCTTCACTCAGCTCTCAACCCCCAGCTACCTACCTGCCAACACGCTCCTAAAGAAAGGAAGCTGGAAGTACCACTAATCCACGCTTTTATGCCTCACCTGCAACTGTGCATGGAGCACACATGTATTCAATTTACAAGTAGGAGGAGGAGGATGGAGCAGGGAGAAGGAGCCTTGCTTTTCCTTCTGCTGTTCCTATTTGCACTTTTAATTCCAGCTATGGCAGAAGCAGCAAGTTGAGGGGTGTTGGGGGAGAATAGGGAAGGCAGGGTTCACAAGCCCCCATCAGGAGCCTGTCCACAGGGATTAGAACAAGAAACTGATCCTGGTTCCCACCATGATCCCCAGTGTAAGCCCTTTATTCAGGCAATATAAGCACAGAAGTTCAAGGAATCCTAGATAAATCTACCACTTATGAACTCAGAAAACAAGGCAATCAGCTTGGTATCCAAAGGCAAGAGATACACAAGGGAAGCACAGAGGCATCAACCCCTCAGCCTCCACAGAGCATCACGACAGTATGCTACAGTAATGGGAGACTCAGATCACTTTTCCACCTTAGAGAATTAACTGTTTCCTTGAAAAATGGAAACGACCAGAAAGCAGATTCACAAACTTTACTCTCCCCCTACCCGCATCTGGGATACACAGCCTTCTCCCCTGTTATGCAGATGAACTGTCAGGGCTTGTGGCAAAGCCATCCCCTCCTCTTAAGCACCAAATCTCTTCCCCTTCCACCTGCTCTAGGATATCACTCCAGACATTCTTCCCCATTCCAACATCACCAAATCTTCCCTTTCTACTGGATTCTTTCCATCAACATGATGCTTTTGTTTCGTATCTTAAAAAGTCCCTCTTTACCCAGTTTTTCATTAGCTACTTGCCCATTTTCTTCTTTTCTTACCAGGAAAATACTTAGAAAGAGTTGAATATACTTATATCTTCAATTTCCCTCTTTTCATTCACTTGTGAATCCTCTCTAAGCAGACTCCACCAAATTGCTCTTGTTCAGGTCACCAGAGACCAGACATTGGTAAATCCATTTCAGAGACATTTGACACAGTTGATGACTCCCTTCCCCCTTCACTTGCTTCCCAACGCATTGCCCTCTCCTGATTTTGCTTCTCCCTCATCTTACATATATGTTCCCATGGAAGGACCCCAGAGCTCAGCCCCTAAAGTTTTCTGTTTACACTCACTCCCTTGATGCTCTCCAGACTCATGGCATGAAACACTCTCTGTATGTTGATGACACCCCAGTTTATACAACTTTCCATATATCTCCCCTGAAACTTCAGGCTCATGTAGTCGACTGACCTCTGACACTTCCATGTGGATGTCTAAAAGGCATCTCAAATCTACCATATCTGAAGATGAGCTCTTGTCTGTCCTCCAAAAAAATTACCAACTTCTTCCATAGTCTTCCCTGTCTCAATAAAGGGAAACCCCATTCATCTAACTGCTTAGACCAAAACCCGTGTCATCCAATCCATCAGCAAATCAAGTCAGCTGTGCTTTCAAAAGACTTCTTATCACCTGCCCTGCTACCCTCCTGGTCCAAAACACCGTCTTACACGTGGATGCTGTAATAGCCTTCTAAGTGATGTAATCCTGCTTTCTCCAGCATAGCCAAGGCCAGGGTTAGAACCAAGTGTGTTTGGCTTCGAAGTTTATGCTCTCTTTAGTGACCATCGTGCTTTAGAATGCTAAGGACTCAGGCCATTCACCAAAGTCACTCAATCAAACATATGGAAATATCCATGGATTTATGAACCTGCGACCAGGTTTTTTCATAGTCAGTGGGAAAATAAGAAAAATAATGATAGTGTTGCATGTATGATTGCCTATCTTCATATAAGGCCACCAATTGCCTCTTCCTGGGGGGAGAAGTCCTGCTGTCTAAGATTACAATCTTTCTCCTTCTAAACAGCAAAAGGCCCTTCCAGTGAGAAGACACTAAATCAAATTGATAAATGTACAGTTTGGTTCCTCAGGCAAATAATAAATTAGGAAATATTGAAGATGGTAATTAGATGTTATTAATGCTCATACATGGCAAAACATTTTTAGTAGCCCCATTATAATTCCAAAGTACTTTTGTTGTTGTTCTTGTTGTTTCAATTCTACTCTTTTTCAAATGCCTCACATCCACTGGTCTCAGCCCTGGTAGTTCCCCCAAGAACCACTCCTCCCCTTTTTTACTAATTATATACAAGAGCCAAAGTTATAAGAAATTTACCCACACTCAAACCATCAAGATAAATGGGATGATTTCCTCATACCTTGCTAGCTGCCACACCAGCTTTTTTATTCATTTTATACTCTGGTGTTTCGGTCTGCATGAAGTAGATCTGGTCTTTCATGTTTTCAAAATCTTCCTGGTATTTCCTCTGTAAGACATCAGACAAGCTGAAGAACTGCTGTGGAAATGAACTATGCAAGAATTTCCATGAGAAGACACAGGGATTTGGAAAAGTTACACAATGCCACCCTGTCCTTGGTTTAGGCTGGTCAGATTACAATTAGAGAATGTGGTACCATTACAAAAATGATTAGCAACTTAACAGAGATTTAGAACAATTAAAATAGGCTAAAAACAGAATTAGAAAGGCTTTTCTTGGCTACCAAGAAAGATCTCTTAAGGGCCAGGAGCAGGGAACTTAAGAGAAAAGAAAAACAATAGACTTATGTTTTCCAGTGAGGAGATGCTAAATTAATCAATTTCATAACTGTACAATTTGGCTCCTCAGGCAAAGAATAATTAAAAAGAGTCCCTTTAACTTGTACTAATCTCACTTTGCAGTCAGTAAGAGGGTCTTACCATAATGTGTTGTAAAAATTGAGGTAGAAATAATGGCATGTGGCCAAAATAATATTTCTCAAAAGGAAAGAGAGTTTGGGAAATTTCTTTCTTAAAAGGAACTCTGCACCAGGTCTTGCCCCAAGAAGAGGGGCCTCAAGTGTTCTGGCACCCATTCAGGTAGAGCAAGTAGCTAGAAGTCACTAAGGAAAGGGGTCTCCCTCCCAGGATGACCAACCAGCCATCCCTTCCCACTTAACTGTGCTAATGTTATCAGCATTCATTCTGGCATTTGCAACTTCAAAGCAAGGTGTCTCACTCCATTTGCCTTTGATTTTATTTTCATAGTCTTCTTTGTATTTTTGCTAGAAAAAAGAAAAAGAAAATAAGACAAGCATAACTCATGAATTGACAAATAAGACAGCAAATTAAGAAATAATGATTAACTTTTAAAAATATCTTCAGCAAGCCATTCTTAGGTCCTTAATAAATGCCTTTAAAAAAAATCTTCCAATGTACTGTCAATTTACCCAACCAGAAAGTTGGGCGATAGGGATAGAGAATGGAGAAAGAGGGTACTAACGCCCCCTCCCCTTGCTGAGTTTGGGGACTTCATTCATTCGGAAGTTGCAGATGTCCCCTGATGTTTAAAGAAATAGAGTCAGAAGTCATCCTCTATTTATATTTCAGTTACAATACAACCTATCAACCTGAGATTTCTATGCCAAATGAACTTAGCCGTTAATTTCTAAGCTTTACAAACACTCCTAGTTTTCCAGAAAGAAACAACCACAATAAAATTCAACTTGCAGGCTAACGAATAGATCTTCGCCTTTAGAGTTAAATTTAATAGGAACTGGAAAGTAATTCAAAAATTGAATTATTGCCCCATCTGACTCCCAAATCCCACTCCATCTGAATCCCAGGCTGTAAGGCTCCTGGAAGAGAGAAGTGGTATGTCTTCTTCACTTTCATAGCCTCAGAACCCAACACAAAATGCAGCACACAGAAGTTACATCATAAATGTTTGTTCAACTACACTAAACTGAGACCATGATATGCGGTTTTGAAATACCTTGGCTGAAGTGTTCTTGGAGCAGAATTAACCAAGCCAACCCCAAACCTGGGTCCATGAGCTAGAGCCCAAGCTGAGTTAGAGCAATTCTCCCTCCATGGCTCATAAAAATGTGTTAACAGACATAACTAATGGGTCTCAAGGCACTGGCATATGCCTACATCCCCACAATACCCTTTAAGGAAAAAGAAAATGTCTTTCTGGTATACCTTTAAGAGAAGGTGAGTGATGTGCAGAGTCAACGAGCTTGGGTTAGAGGAAACTTAGCCCTCACTCAAATGCCTAATTTCCTTTCTTCTCAAAAGGTTAATATGTAAATAAATAGCCAACTGGTTTTCGTAGCTATAAATTTTAGAGTCCTGGGCCTGGGTTCAAACTCTGGGACCAAGACTTGACTTTGTCTTGACCAAATATGATTGTTTTCTCAGCCACAAGTGCTGGCAATAATATTTACAGAGAAGGCTGCTAGGAAGTTTAATAAGATCATTCGCTAAAGAGTGCTTTGTAAACCCCACAGTGCTAAGCAAATATAGGGTATAAAAATTGTAATAATAATAATAGTTATTACTATTGTCATCATCATAACAGAAAGAAACTCTGTAAGAAAGAAAATTGTATGTGCGGGGAGGGAACAACTCTTCAATGGAAATCTTTGCTGAGATAAGATTTGTGCTATACTGCTGATTGATTTACCTGCACTCTGTTTTGAAGATTTAAAGAACAGAAGTCAATAAAATTGATTTCTGGATTTGCTAAGACTACTTATAGAAATGTTTCTCATCTTTTTTTTGGAGACAGACCTCTTCAAGAAACTGAGAAAGCTATAAAATGCTCACAAACAGTTATAACTTCAGAGGTTCTTGATGTACACATACCTCAGGTTAGGATCTCCTAATGCATCATTTTTTGGAGAGACATGGCCCTACCTCTTGCTTGTTGTCAAAGGAGAAAAACCTTAGGATTGGGAAGGGGCAATTGGGCCTGATCCCCAAAACTGAGATCCAGAGAACTTTGAAATATAATTTAAAGTTGAGAAGGTAGCAGATATTCTTAATGAGGTCTAAATGTTGGGCATTTATCAAGAAATAGGCATTGCATATGTAGATTTGTTAAGGATAATTGAGCAGGAGATTAATTCTCACAGTGAGAGATAGATGTCTGGTTTTCAAGAAGATATTAAAACAAGATGCAAAACAAGAGTGTAAGATCACTCAACCCCCTCATCCAAAGTCCTTCCTTCCTTCTTAATCTTCACAGACCACGACATGTTATTTCCTCCTATCCAGCAGCTGAAATGGGTCAGGGTGGAGATCGAGCTCTCACAATCCACTCCCGAGCACTGCCAAGTCTGGGAAGATTTTCATGACACAGGAGGAGGCTGGAGCTTGCTGGCTACTGAGGAAGTTATGGCCTTCTGTCTCATTTGTGAGTAGGAGAGAATTTGAAAGGACAAGGGTCCATAGGTGAAGGAGTGAGAGGAAGAGAGAGGTATGTGTCCATGTGGGACCCTCTCTACCAGCGAAGGGGTCCCACTCTGCAAGTCTGAGAGTGAGGCCAGAGCTTTTGTACAATACATGGAGACGGGTTACTCACGTCAGGGTCCAACATTCAACCTTCCCAACATCCAAACACAACAGAGTTGGAGAGAAAGGTTAGGGGGAAACCTTTCTCTCCAAACTCTGTTGTACTTGCAGTTGAACGATGGAAACTTGGAAGAAAGAGTCAGTTTCACTTCTCTAGAATTTTTTTGGTTTGTTTAACAGAGGAATGTATGTCAGGCCAATTCCAAGCTCTGGGACACCTTCTCTGGGTAAGAGGGTGACCATGTGTCCATAGATACAGTAAGATTGTTTCCCTCCTCCTCAGAGGTCAGCTGAGGGGACTTCCATGGGGCCACAAACTGGGTACCCTTTGTCTTGCTTAAACATATAGCTTCATTATCTACTTTCAACATCTGAATCTGTAATTTTTATGTGGTTACCAAATGGAAAGGAATACAAAGCCAGTTAATTACCCTTCTCTTTTTCTGTGAGGGGCTAAGCACTGGGACTCCTGATGGTTCCATTCATAGAAAAGTTATCCCTGCAGAAAAGGTATAAAGAACCCAGCTGGTATTTTTATTGTCCACAGTGGGCCTAACACTGCCTGCTTGACTCAATCAAATCTCTTCTGGTGAAATCAATGGAAATCTTTCCAATTCTATGTGATGGAAGAATTTCCATGGTTTTAGAGGGCCTGGGCCTGGTATCCTCATGCTGTGTAACAATATGTCACTGAAAGATTAGTTTTTTAAAAAAAATTTAGGCTCCAGTTGGTATCAGTGGGAAATTCCAACCTGAAATCTCATATTTTTTCTTTTGTGGATCTGGAAGGGAGCAGAGAGGCAGGTACAGAGAAACTAAAGGGACTTTCCAGTGTCGCATTCAGGGCCCCACTTTCAGCTGGTCATGGTGTGCATAGCTTCCCCACCTGGAAGGCCTGTTTCTATGAACAACTCTGACTGTTCATCTATGTTAGAGCTACAAAATACAGCTGAGACAGAAGGAAGTATGTAGCTAATGGCTTTGGCCAAAGACAAAGGTGAGAGAATTGATTCTGACAGGTGTAGTAAGGAAGGCTGGCAAACGGAAGGTAACATTAGTGTAATCACTGCAGATATGCAATCATTACCATCTGAACTGGGAGCTGTAAGAAAAGGGTGTGAGGATGAACAGAGAACTCCACCCCAAAATATGGCTCCCTAGTATAATGAGTATTTTGAATTAAAGGCCCTTAGAGATTAATGGAAGCTAAAAGAGACTTCTTTCTACATAAAGACCAGACAGACCCACTAAGAAGAAAAATTGTTTCCCCGCTAACCTCCCACCCCCATCCTGTCTCTCAATCCTCCAACTCTCCCAAAGCACAGGCTCAAGTTTCCTTATCTGTCTAAGGTCCGGACCTACCAAAGAAGAAAACAATTCCCTCTGACCCCTTCCCTGAGTTTTCAACTGAACCTATATTGCAGGAGGGAAGACTAAAGTCTGTCAGAAACCTGGACAGACTACTGTCATAAACCATTGTTCGCTTTGTGGGCCCAACAGACTTCACCCCAGACTATTGTATGTTCTTCAAACCCATTGAATTCTCCCTAGTAATCATTTCTTGCTCCTCAACAGAATTCCTCTTCTCCCCACTCCCCATAACCTGTTTTGCCAGGATCCAAGTTCATAGTCTTTCTGTAACCTCAAGATGGTATATAAGCTTCTGCACCCCCTGGGGAGCTGGAGCTTCATTCTGAAGGCTCCCGTGTGTGCATGTTAAATAAATTTGTATGCCTTTTCTCCAATTAATCTGCCTTTTGCAAGCTGATTTTTCAGCCAACCTTCAGTGGGCCAAGGAGGACCCCTTGGCCCCAACAGATGGATCTGGGAGACATGATTCAACAAGGGGATATTGAGTTTAAATGCATGTGAGTGACTAGATAAAGGAGGTTTTTTAAAAAATTTATTTTTTTATACTTTAAGTTCTAGGGTAGATAAAGGAGATTTTTATCCTATTTTAGGGAGAAAGAAGATATGATCCTGCTGCAACATGGGCCAATGCATCTTGAGAGTGAGGAGGGAAGATAGTACCAAAGGTAAGTCACTCTTGGCAGCCCTGTGCCTCCCTTGTTGGATGGTTTGTTGTTGGGTGGACTTCTACCAATCACAAGCATTTCTCCCTAATACAACTATTATTTTGGATGCACAATAGTCATTAAGAACTCAGAAATCTGGGTTAAGACTGGGAATAAATAATGTCACCATGGCCAAATCCAGTGACCTTTTTCCACAGCCACCTCCCCTTAGCTCATATTATTACTCCACAGGGCAAAGCCAGTTCTGGCAATGCTTTCAAAGTACCCAACACTGTCACCTTGCCCACCTAGAGTGGTGCCATCCAATGCATATATAATGCAAGTCATTCTTGTAGCCACATTTTTAAATGTAGAAGGAAACATGTGGGAAATAACTTTAATAATACAGTTTACTGAACCCAGTAGATCTGAAAATTAACATTCCAACATGTAATCAACATAAAAATATTAATTTGAAACATTCTTTTCTTCATAATTAAATATTCAGATCCAGTGTCTATTTCTCACATATTGGACACTAAGTGTTATGGGATGAATGTCTATATCCCCACCCCCCAAATTCATATGTTGAAGACCTAACTCACAAGCATGTGATGGTACTTGAAGGTAAGGGGATTTGGGAAGCAATTAAGTTTAGGTGAGGTCATGAGGGTGGGAACCCCATAATGAGATTATCATCCTTATAAGAAGAGGAAGAAGAGGAAGAGATCAGAGCTGGCTCTCTGTCTCCAATGTGTGAGAACACAATGAGAAGGCAGCTATCTACAAGCCAGGAAGGGGTCTCTCACCAGGAACTGAATCCGTGATCTTAGACTCCCAGCCTCCAGAACTGTGAGAAAATAAACGTCTATTGTTTAAGCCACCCAATGTATGGTATTTTGTTGTAGAAGCCCAAGCTGACTTATATACTCAGTTTATACTGATCAAATTCAGGTGCTTCCTAGTCACATTTGGCTAGTGTCTACTGTACTGGAGAGTGTAGCACTAAACCAACTGGCAAGTCTAAATTGGTGGAGAGAATGATTATAGACGAGTTTGAAAGTGATTTTCAAAAATCACTTTTAAGAATCCCCACTGCATATTTAAATAAGGCAAAAGAATGTTTCCTTAGTAAAGTATCTTTTAAAATAGACTTTAAATAAACATTTAAAAATAGATTCCTTTTTCTTTCTAAATGACCACTTGAAAACACCTTTTTATTTTTCTTCCAAAAAGATAAATTGTCCTTCTCCCGTCTTATTTACAATATCAACACTTTCTTTCTTTTTTTTTTTCTTTTTTTCTCTTTTTGAGACAGTTTCACACTTGTTGCCCAGACTGGAGTGTAATGGCACAATCTTGGCTCACTGCAACCTCCGCTTCCCGGGATCAAGTGATTCTCCTGCCTCAGCCTCCCAAGTAGCTGAGATTACAGGCGCCCGCCACCACGCCTGGCTAATTTTTTGTATTGTTAGTAGAGATGGGGTTTCACCATGTTGGCCAGGCTGGTCTCGAATTCCTGACAGGTGATCAACCCACCTTGGCCTCCCAAAGTGCTGGGATTACAGGTGTGAGCCACCGCGCCTGGCCAATATCAAAACTTTCAATGGATCATGTATTTATGTACAGTTCTAAAGTTAATTTCTGCTTAGCCTTGGGCAAAATTTCAGATTGATAGTATTCCTATTGGTGAAATTTTACTATACTTACTAGATCCTTTATCCAAACAGCTCATAGTTACACAGTTAGGTAATCTACAATATAAAACACTAATAAACATCACTGAATAGACATCATTATCCATATCATTT
Source organism: Homo sapiens (assembly GCF_000001405.40). NCBI lineage: Eukaryota > Metazoa > Chordata > Mammalia > Primates > Hominidae > Homo > Homo sapiens. Next base: position 151,716,658 of record NC_000002.12, read on the forward strand.
CATCATTCTTCTCTACTAGATACTTTACCCAGAAAATGCTTAAGATAAAAATCTTGAGGTTTCATCAAAATTCAAGCAGAACAAACTGACACTCATCTCCACAGAGGGCAAGATAAAGTATTTAAAAGCAGCAGTATCCCAGGAGAAAGTGGTCTGATTTGGACCAATTTAAAATAGGAATTTAGCATGGGCCTATTCATCAGCTAAGCATCTGTCTCTCTGCATTCCTCATCAGAGCCACATTCCTCAGAGCTAGTTTACTGCCTAAATATAGGTAGACTAAGCTGTTTGTTAGGGCCTTAAAAGTTATGAGGTCCACTGCCCACTGCTGTTAACTAAGCTATGTCTGAGACACATTCTTATTTTTCCAAGTGTGACGGATAAGATAGAACTATCCAAGGTCTTCACAGTGAATTTAAACCAGCTCTTCACGGAAGTGTGTGGTTATTTGGTGACTCTGTAGTATTACTGTCATAAGTAAAAATGTCAAGTGACATTAGAACATGGCTTCTGTTTTCAAAAGGTGATTTTCACATTTATCAATTACTGAGTCATCAAGCTGGCTAAACATTTATTAACACAGTTCTTGACGTTTATGGATGTATTGCTTTTGCTGTAGAGTCTTTGGGGATCATATGTAAAAATACTCCTAGTGTTTGTGTTTTATCTTCAGTCTCACCTTTAGTAACCCTCTCTGATGGTTGAAATTATTAAGCAGAGTCTTCAAGGGAGGCAATGTCCCAGCTCTATTTACTTACCTTGCTCACTTGATTGGTTACTTTCTTGGCAAATTCTATATCTGGAGGATCAGCCAGAGGCGTGAATTGAGCTTGCTGTTCAGCGAGACCTTTTTTGTAGGCAACCTGATGAAATAAAAGACAGGGATGTATTTTAAAAACGATTATGCTTTCATCTTTATTTGAAGTCTTAAATTTTAGTGTAACATGTTATAATTTGTCCTAGATGTTACATACCATTGCTCTCAGTACTGCTAGTGATTTCTATTTTGCTGAATTTTCTTCCCTCCTCCTCAAGACTCATGGCCCTAGATCTGCTTTCTTCCATTCATTTCCATGCCATGGTTTGCAACTGCAATTATTCTCTTAACCAGCGTCTTCAACTCCCAACCCCTTGTCTTTTTATCACATTCAATAAACCCCCAGCCTTGGATCGACTTGACCATATACCTCCTTTGTTCTTTTTTTTTTTTTTTTGAGACGGAGTCTCACTATGTTGCCCAGGCTGGAATGCAGTAGCGCGATCTCGGCTCACTGCAAGCTCCGCCTCCTGGGTTCAGGCCATTCTCCTGCCTCAGCCTCCCGAGCAGCTGGGACTACAGGCACCCGCCACCGTGCCCGGCTAATTTGTTGTATTTTTAGTAGAGACGGGGTTTCACCATGCTAGCCAGGCTGGGCTTGATCTCCTGACCTCATGGTCTGCCTGCCTTGGCCTCCCAAAGTGCTGGGATTACAGGCGTGAGCCACCGCGCCTGGCCAACTTCCTCTGTTCTTATGCCTAGGATGCTGAATGCCACAGAAGAAAACCTGCAACTCCATGGATTAGGCAATGCTAACATGATGAGTAGGGTTAAGAAGGACACAGGAAGAAGGTACAGGGCAGGGAGACTCTGAACCCCAGCACTTAGCTTGAAATCTACATGCCTGCCCAGTGGTATGTTCTGTGAACAACAGCTTGCTTGGGGCTCTGTGCCCAATACTCTATGACCCTATGGTATACTAATGCCATTTTGTCTTCAAGGAAACTTTCACAGCCCATTATGAGTCTCTGGTTAGTCCCTACTCTCAGGGGCCAGTCTAAAACCCCAACACTGTCCTTAAGCCCACAATCAACCCCACCTTACTCTCAGCTTCCTCTTTCATAGAGTGAAGAAACGCTACACACTTATCTTCTCCATATTCATCCCTGCGTCTCCCACCCCTTCCCTGGCTCAGAGGAGAAACATCCTTCAGAGGGAATGACTCCTGCACCCAGGGTGCTGCCCTTTCCAGCATATCCTTTTGCACCCAGCTCTCTCAGTCATCCCTCCTCTTTCTCACAACCCCAAACTCTCCTTCTTCATTAGCTCCTTCCCTTCAGCCTATAAAAGACTTCTATCACCTTAAAATAAGTATGGTGCCCACAAATAATGCATATCCTTCTCTCTTGCCCTCCTTTCTCTCTTCATTTCTGATTCCTCTGGTTCTTTTGTTCCACCAGACTTGGCCCCTGTTTCCAACAATGCAGAACTATTCATAGATCCCCAGATACATGAAGCCCTCAGATGCTTCACGGCCTCGTACATGCTGTTCCCTCTCCCCATCTGTCTGCAAACCGCTGTTTCCTCTCCATGGCTCAGGACACCATGACTCCCCTCTCAAGCCTTCCCTGACTCCTGAGCCAGACGTGATGACCTTCTCCTGGGATCTCACTCAACTTGGCCATTACCTCCTTTAGAGGGGTTGTCAGATGACACTGTAATTTTTTGTCTACATGTCTCTTTCCTCTTGACTGTGAGCTCTGGGATGGCAAAGAAGATGTCCTATCCTTGGGAACCCTTGTGGCCTGCATAGTACCTAGCTAGAGCAAGAGTCAATGACTGACATCTCAATGTGTGTCTTACACACTGAGGCCATGGGGGAATGTCTCAAGAGGAGAATTATCTTTCTAATCTTCCGTGACACAACTGTGAAGTTTCTACGATTATTTTCCCTTCCTCATGGCAGTGTTCTTATTTATCAAGTAAAGCAGTTGAATAATCCCAAGGTCCCAATCATCTTTATACTTTAACCAAGTCTAACTGTATCTTATCCCAATAATATCTACCTAGTGCCTATAACAAAAGCTTTCATGGACATCAAATCAATTGGGATACAAAAGACAGATTTTGAAATGTATTTACACAAATTCCACAAACAAGCCTGGCTTAATTTCTTTTAAATAAGTTAAGCAAGGCACAGTGACTCACGCCTGTAATCCCAGCACTTTGGGAGGCAAAGGCGGATGAATTGCTCAAAGGTTCAAGACCAGCCAGGGCAATACGGTGAAACCCTGTCTCTACCAAAAATACAAAAATTAGCCGGGTGTGGTGGTGTGCACCTGTAGTCCCAGCTACTTGGGAGGCTGAAGTGAGAGGATCACTTGAGCCTGGGAGGTGGAGGTTGCAATAAGCCAATAAGCCAAGATTGTATCACTGCACTCCAGCCTGGGTGAGAGAGTGAGACCCTGTCTCAAAAAAAAAAAAAAAAAAATACAAACTGAAGACTTCATTTTAGGCATAGGACAACAGGATTTTTCATGGCTGGTTAAGTCCTTAGGGTAAAAGCAACATTTGAATAGGATAAATGTTTATTAAGTATGACATCCTGCCAAGAAGTTTCAGACAAATCAGATCTAGAAGTCCTAATTTCTCAGGAACCTTCTTCAGAATTCTGTTTAGTTAGAATTCTGTTGTTATGGAGAATAATCTGATTTTTAAAAAAGTAAAAAAAAAAAGTTCAGTATTCTGCATCAGCTTAAAGACTCTTAGTGTGTGCAAAGTAGTTTGTCTCTACTTAGTTAATAAGGAAAACATGATAAGTAGATTAAGAAGGACACAGGAAGATAGTACAGGAGAGATAGCAACAGCATCTAAGCCCAAGCCCTTAGCCAGAAATCTATGTGCCTACACATGGTGCATTCTGCAAACAACAGCTTGCTTAGGGCTCTGTGCCCAATAATTGTAGAAGTTCATAGTACTGACAACAGTATTAATAGGCATGTCAATAATCTGATACTGAGTGCACACTTGGTCTGCAATTAAAATAAAAGCTATGCCTTAACTGTCACATCTTTTTGAGGAATAGCAGGGAAGACTTTACTTCATTATTGTATGTTCTCTTTCATTACATCTTCTACTGTAATTGCTCAAAACATGTGGCCAACTTTCATTGTTCAAAGTCCATAGCATTAGAATGGTATGAAGGTAATCCTTCATCTCTCCATTTGATAGATGAAGGGAGATAGGAGATTAACTGTCTTCTTGGAAACCTCTCCCAGGCTTACATGACATGGCATTTCCTGGTTCCTTTTCAACTTCGCTGTTTGTTCCCTCATCCTTTTGCTGGCTCCTGTTCAGTCCTAAGTGTGGGTGTCCTCCAAAACTCTGCCCTTGGCCATGCACTCTTCTGCTTCCCTCATAGATGTTCATGTCTTTGGCTATCACTTTGTTCTGATGACTCTCAAATATTAATTTCTTGCCCTGTTCTCATACCTGAGCAATGGAACTTTCTAATTTATCCATAGGATGCCTTGATCTGAAGTTTCCTTCAATCATCTCAACTCCATTTCTCTTTCCATTAACGCACCTTTACCAGCTGTGCCCCTACTCACCCAGACCACCAGTCTACAGTCAGAAGCTCCTCTAGGGCTTCTTTCTCTCCTTTGGCTCCAATATCCAATGCCATTCATGCCTATTAATACTTATTACCCTCAGATTCCTTTCTTCCTCTCCTTTGCCCTAATTATTACTAAAATAGATTTCTCCAAATTACCCAGTTTTTCCTGTATTTCCTAATCTCAATCTATCATATTGCTCATCAAAATTACTCCAGATTCTATTTTTATCATGCTGTTTTCCGCTCCAAAATCTTATGATGCCTCTTATTTATTACCGTTCCATGTCGAAGCAATTTTGTCTGCCTTTCAAGGTCCTGCTGCCGGCATTCTCACAAGTGCCCTCCAAATGAGGCACTCCCATCATTCATTTTCCTTGTCCCTCAAAACTCAGACCTCATTTTACCTGTGTCCCCTTGTTCAAGTGCTCCCTCTACTCAAAATGCCTTTCTTCATCACCACCCATGCCCTTGGGACCACCACCTCCACATGGCCTTCTCTGATTACTCACACGTGTTCTGTCTGTCTTGTAGCAAGTATTAGACTGTTGGGTTTTGTTTCATTTTTAACTTTTTTCTTGTTGTTTGCTATATCATACTTTTATTTTATCAGCCTGATTATAAATTCTAAGAGGAAAGGATGAAAACTGCTTGTAGTACTTTTCTATCCTGCCAGGTGTGCATGCATAATAGACTTCCAATAAATAACTATTGATCACTTGGTAACAGCCATGTAACAATATTGTGAATCTGTGAGATACAGAATCAAAAAGCTAATCTTGAAAGAGAAGCAAGAAGTACTCACACAATAAAATTGGTATCATGTGCTAGATGACTTCAAAATTTTGTTACACCTTCTCTATTTCCTAACTTACCTGTGGAAGGATACGACTGTATCTGTGTTATATTTTAACCAATTACATAGAAAGTGAAATAGAAAAAGATGTCCACTAAACTTGCAGGTGATATGAAGAGGGTGGCGTTAAAAATTAGACCTCAAAAGTTGGAGACACCATCAAATTGGTGTGTATAATTTTGGTTCATGGCAAGATCAGACCATAGATTCCATTAGAAGTAAATCCCAATCAGTCTGAACTGGCTTACTAAGTCCAAATTGAGTATAAGAGGTTCCAGGGATCTAACTGACAATTGAATGTCAAATAACTTGTCGCTTTATAATACAGTGCTCTGCTGAAGACTGGAGTAGCAGTCTGGATTTTCAATATGGCCTCCCGCAAATCCAATGGTCATGTAAGAAAGTACCTCAAAATAAGGGAGAGTGTTAGGCCCAAGTGGGTCTCTCTGCTGCTGTTGCTGCTGGTTTCAAGCCTAAGGACTCTGTTAAGCCTTTTAAGTTCCTCTAACATACAGTTTTCAAGGTCTAGGATACCAAAATTCCGGCAAGTGGGATCACTGATTTTTCACTAACTGAAGTATCTTCTGATAGCAAGAGCTCTTTGTGGGATAACTATACAAATGTGTTTTTGGTTTGTTTAGTTGTTGTTGGTGTGGTCATTGTTTGTTTGTTTGTTTTTAAGATGGAGGTCTCGCTGTTGCCCAGGCTGGAGTGCAGTGGCTTGATCATAGCTCACTGCAGCCTCGACCTCCTGGGTTCAAGTGATCCTCCTACCTCAGCCTCCTGAGTAGCTGAGACTACAGGCATGCACCCCCACACTTGGCTAATTTTTTAAAAATATATTTTGTAGAGATGAGGTCTTGCTTTACTGCCCAGGCTGATCTCAGACTCCTGGCTTCAAGCAATCCTCCCCTCTTGGCCTCCCAAACTGCTGGGATTACAGGGGTGAGTCACCACATCCAGCCACAAATATGTTTTAACAAGTACACTAGTCAGGTCCCACACACAGAAAAAGGGAGACACACCACAATTTGGACTTGATGATTAGAATAGTAAGGCACAACCCTTCCATAACATTGTTTACTTAATAGATTTGGGAAGGTGGCTATGATTACAATAGGTTTTTAAAAATTGTCATTCTGTTGTCACAGAACAACTTCAACCAGAGCCAAGGGGAAAGAAGGACTCATGCTCTAATGGGAAGAATACTAGTCTTGGGCTCACAAGCCTGGGCTCTGCCACTAACTAATGTGACCCCAGATTCAGGTTTGCCACCTATAAGAAGAGGGAACTGGACAAGATTATATTTAATATAAAGTGTAAATTATATCTAATTTAAATGAGACATCATAAATTATAACAATTCTAGACATACTCCTCTGAAATACAACATTTAGTCTCTTATACAGAAGAGTTGCAGTGACCATCTGGCCAGAATATGTAATTCAAGTTCCCCTGACTCTGCACACCTAAGTGGTGCCACTTGCATTTCACTTACATCACTGAGAGCTTTCTGGGCCTGGGCAACTCTCCTCAGTTCCGGGCTATCATTATAGGGGTAAAACAAACTTTTGTCTGCTTCCCAGTCTTCAGTGTACAGTTTCTAAATCAAAAAAGAGTGAAAAGTTAGGAGGAAGTAGGGTCACGTTTACACAAAATACATAGTTTTGAATTCATCCATTAATAACCTAAAGAACCAAGGGCCAGGTGAGAGCAAAGGTAAATGAAATTCACAGATAACTTCCCACTTTCCATCCAACCCAAGTCATTTTTACTGATAGCATGCCCTGCTTTTTCTTATTTTCAGAGGGGCAGATGTGTCTGATTTTGTTTCAACTTTTCTCTGTGACTCTACCTGCCTTCTTTGTTTTTTTTTTTTTTTTTTTTTTTTGGTCATTATTTGTCATTGTTTATTAATAGCACTTACAAGTGCTAACACAATGTAAGGAGCCAGGAAGCACTTCACATAGTTCAGGGCAATATAGGACACTTGCAAGAAGGGGCACAAAATAAACCTCTAATTAGAGTAATAGCCAGGGACATCCAAAGTATACCAAAGGGTCTACAGACAATTTTGAGATATTACTTTGTGGCTCTCTCAGCTGGTTCTCCAGAGCACCTTTATTCTCCACAGACACTCCCCTCTGCCCCCAGGTTGCTCAGGTTCCCAAAGGACCCTCTCCCCACTCTGCCTAGGAGCTTTCCTCTCAGTTCCTTTTTGCCAAGCCCTATCCCTGCAGTCTCACATGTCTCAAGGCTACTCATAAAAAGATTGGGGAATTGTATTCCAGATGATCAAGAGTTCACCAAGTATTACATGAAATATATGATGGGATGACATAGGAAGACAGAAGTGGCAATGGAGCAGACCCTTACCTTGCTGAACATGGCGGTGTTCTTAACGGCCTGGACAAGTTCAGGGGCATCAGGAGGAAGCAGGTACTTATCCTTGGTGTCTTCCCAGTTCTGCTTGTATAAAACCTAGACAGAAGGAGCAGAGGATCTGTGGCTTGAGGTCTCACCCAAAGGCATGAGGATTTAAACAACAAAGGGAGACTCATGAAGGCATGCTTGCTCAGAGGTTGCCAATGGGTTACTAGGAAAACATTGACCATGCCAACATCCTATAATACTTTTCCTACAATAGTCAGCTTTTGATTGAAAATTCTAATTCCTTTCAATTAAAAATTTAGCTCCTCAGCTTCTTTGGTGACACTGGGACTTCATGCAGCAACAGCCTGGAGCCGAGTCACAGCTGCCTCTTTGGGCAGGGCATGGACTCTTCCATCCACCCATAGGTTCTACAGGCCACTCAGTCATCTGTGCAGCCTCCTTGATGAATACAGGTATTGAACTCACACTGCCCATGAGGCTGGTGGGCAGGATCAGGCCTGTCCAATTTTCTCCTATAAGACAATGCAGAGGTGATGCACATGCTACTGAGTACCCCAGCCATCCATATCATTGCCTTACCTTACTGACTTGCTGCGACACTTTCTTTGCATGTTCAATATCCTTTGCTTTTTCATCTACGTGACATATAGTCTTAGCAACATCACCATCCATTCGATACTTAACCTGCCCAAATAATGCACAGTTAGAGTTCATGACAGGCATGTACATGTGAGTATATTAAGGAATTTCTTATAACCACAGAGCATTACCCCAATGACTCTAGGTCTGCATCACAAAGCATAGTTTCTGCATTTTAGCTGGAAAAATGTGATCTTCAAAGAAGCACCTGCATTTACTGCTTGTCTGCTTTCCTGGCTGGATCTCCAGCCTGCTGCTTCTTGGCCTTACTGTGCTACAGTGTGGAGAACCACAGTGAGTTGGAGCTTCCATCTCATAGTCTCCTCTTAAGCTAAGTTGCTAAGCCAAGCTTTTAGAAGTTTCTTTGGGTTCACATTTACAGCAACATGATCTATGGTTCATGCTTTTCTAGATTTGTGAACTAGCTCATAGTAATTCAACTGCTCATTCTCACAGCACATATTTAGAGCCCACAATTCCCAGCAGTAGGTGTATTTTGAAATGTCCCTCTCCTTTATTTCAGCAATGCAGCCCACCTCACTGAGTTGATCTTGTACTTTTTTGATTCTGCGAAGTTCTGGAGTATCTGTTGTGCTGGCGTATGGCTGTCCTTTTGTTTTCTCAAACTTCTCCTTGTATTTATTCTGAAAAGAATATCAGATATTAGCCTAACAAGACAGCAGTGAAAATTTCAGGCAACATACTCACCCCATTTGATAAAAAAAAATCCTTCAAGTTATAGCAATTATCAATTATAATAGCTTTCTTTTTGTCCCCTACCCCAACTCTCAGCAAAAACTAAAATAGATTTGATAATTGCTTCTCCTAAACATGGTTGGATCTTGGAGACAATGCAAATTTATTATAGACTATTGTCTTGGAAATACCCTAAAATGATTCTTTCAATCTTTTTTTTTGTCTGAATGCATACATAAAAAGCCTAAATCTCAATTATTTTAGAAAATAAATATAGAAATTGAGTTAATTCTGAAAAGATTTGAGTGCTAATACAATGCAAAAATATTCAATTCAGAAGTTGCAGCTAAACTTCAGTAGTTCAGATAGCTGAGACACCAGCTGAATTAATGGCAGATCTGAATTATATTCTGTAAATTTAGGAATGTGATTTTATTATTTCTGCTGAATACACAATGAATTCTTGCTTTAATGATAATGTGCATAATTTATCATTATAAATGTTTTGGGAGTACTCTTAAGTGGAGTAGTGAACAATCTAAATTATACTATTGATTTGGTTACTAACCACTTAAAAACTATTACAGACCTTTGCTGGCATTCTGTTCAGAACATCAGAAATTCTAGGTTCATGGGATCTGAATTAATAAGAATGTATGGCAATATATTGACAAAAAATTCTATCCTTGCTGAATACTGCAGCACTAAAGAAGTTAAGAAAATCTTGTTTCTAGAAACCTGTCTTAGATTATTTAAGGCTCTGAACTAGAATTTTACCAAACAGTGAGCTGCTATCATTTAATGAAAAGTGAGTATGTATTGCTCAACCTCAATAGGATGCTTTTGACATAAACTTTAGTCTTATATAATCCAATGTTCTCTTAAGCTACATTTCATTTTTTTAAGCCTCCAGAGGACATGCAATCAAGCCACCCAGTGAGACCTCAGCCCACCATGGACAATAAACAAATTAGACCCATTGAAATGTGTCTGAATCTGTCTGAATCAGTCAGTGTAACTTACAGAACTGTGCATGGGAATCTAAGGACCAGGGACCATTGAGAGCAGTGATTCTCAACCTGGGTACACATTAGAATCATCTGGGCAGCTTTTTAAAATCCTTTTGTACAGGGCTGGGCATGGTGGCTTATGCCTATAATTCTAATGTTTTGTGGGGCCAAGGTGGGAGGATCACCTGTGGCCAGGAGTTTACGACCATCCTGGGCAACATAGCAAGACCCTACCTCTATGAAAAAATAATTAGGAGATCCTACAATTTTTTTTTTAATTAGCCAGTCATGGTGGCATGCTCCTGTAGTCCTAGCTACTAGGGAGACTGAGGTAGGAGGATTGCTTCAGCCCAGGGGTCTGGGGCTGAAGTGAGCTGTGATCAAGCTATTGCTTGATCCAGCCTGGGCTACAGAGAAAGATTCTGTTTCTTAAAAAAAAAAAAAAAAACCTTTCTGCACAGTCCCAACTCTGAACAAATTAAACTAGAATGGCCTGAGCATCATTAGTTTTAAAATTCCCAGGGGGTTCCAGTGTGCAGCCATGGTTAATAACCACTGTTTTAAGGTATAGCCAAACATTCAGATCCTCAATTTCAAATGAGTTCTTAGTCTGATCTTGGATTTTTAAAATAAATGTTCTTCTTCACTATACACCTCTTTACATACCTTTTTATATGCTGTTAGCTAGTCTACTAAGAAGCTATTCTGCTGACATTGTTTAAATATGTTAAGTAGCTTCTGTGAACTGGCCTAAATTAAATCTGTATTTATGATTTCATTATTCTAGATTGGCTAATAGTGATTAAATACCAATAAATGCTTTATGATTGGCCTTATGCTTATTTTGCAGGAATGATTTCAATAAGAATGCTTTCTTATGCTGCAATGGTATAAATGAATTACATAAAAGGAAAATTCAACAGTCACAAGAGCCTATAATTTGCAAAATAAGTTTTTGTTTCATACAGGTTTGAGAAACAAATCCAGCCAGCATCCAAAACAGAGTGAGTTGAGATAAGTAATTTCTTAATAATCAAGCCAGGTTAGCAGAAGTTGTTTGAAACTTACTGGGCTAAAAAGATCCTGCATTTTCTGACTGTGTGCAATGTAGGGGGTCATGAACTTTGAAGGATCCACTTTCTTCCGGATGACCTTCCTCCTCTCCACCGGCTTTGCTGATGCTGGCTGTGCCAGTGCTGGCTGTGCCAGAGCTGGTTTGGAAGTTTCTGATTGCTCATAGTCAGATGTCCTTGTTGTCGTAGTCTCATAAATTTTTGTTATTGTCTGAAAATTTGATATGCAGTTCAACATTGTTGTGAAAGTAAAAACTGTGCTACTGTGATCTTAGTATATATTAGTCTAACTTCAAGTCAGATATACATTCCTGGTGTTACTTCTCCATATCTAAAGTAAGCCAAAGCAGGAAATGGCACACTGTAGCCGTATGAAGGCACATTATGTACACAAATCTGAATGCTGATTGTTGGGATTGCGTGGAATAAAAAGTTTACTCCTTATTACTTTGCAACATTGCCTTAAGTTTGCATTTGCAGAAAGACACTCGAACACTTCAAAGTAGTGGGGGGGAAATTGGCAATAAACTATTTTTTTAAAACAGTTGAAAATCTTAAGTTGCCTGGGTAAAGTAAAAGCAAACTTGAGTTCGGGGAACAAAAGGTTAAGATAATCAAACAAAGCTCAAATTCTTGACTTTAATATTAACTTGTAAATGACTAAGGGAAAATTGGTCGTTTGTTCTGCAGGGATTTAGGCATTCTCCACTGTAGTAGGAGACAAAGAATAATGAACTTTAAAAAAATGAATCGCATCAATATTATAAGAGATTTTCATTCCCTTGGCTTAGTCAGTTAATTAATGTGAACCGGAGTGCCATTTACACTAATAAATGCTTAGGTGGACAAGAATAATGATGACAACATAATGGGGTAATTATCCTCACAACAGTCCTATCTACGTAGTAGGTGAGAAATTACTATTTCTTACAGCAGGCTGTAGTGGAAGACACTAAGACCCAAAGTTTGGGTCTAATCCAAGGTTAAAAATAATGCATGTAAGAAAAAAAGATAAGCAGCCAACTCTTCAATCCATTTCACAGTATCCTTCCCTTCACAGCTAATATCATCTGTACCAAAGAATTCTAGCATCAATTATGAAAAGAGAACCTAGTAAGGAAATTGTACATTTACAAAAACCCCCTCTAGTGTTGTCACATCATTGCTAATAGGTTGTTTTCTGCCCATGATTACCTAGGCATGGTTGACTGTGAGAGACTAACCAAATTACAGCATCTACAGATACTAGTTTTTATGCAGTCACAGGCTCTCTGAACAAGCTTCAGGATTAACCATCCATATCACTGTTTGTCATGCTCAAAGAGAAACAGCTGCATGCAGAAAATAAAGCATGAGAGAGGTATTTCACCTTGAAAAAAAAAAGAGCTTGAACGTGGAATATTTATGGTAATAGGTTATTTAGAATTGCTAATGTGCTAAAATCTGAGTAGCATTTCAATGCATCATCAGGGACGAAGCCCTGGAGACACCATCCCTGGTGGCAGAGATGGTGTCCTACAAGTTATAACTCCACACAGTAAAACTGCTTGTCCCTATGCCAATCACAAAGCCAAGGCTCCTTGGCTTGTTGTCACCATCCCTCCTGCTGCTGTTGGAGAATGGTGATAGCCACTGACATTATTCTAATTAGCTTCATCTACACAAAAATATCACACAGAAGAAATAGGGGGAACCACCCCCTGCCATCTTGCGTTTTTTGAATAGGAAAAAAAGGTGAAATAATCCATCAAACAGGTAATGTTTGTGCTTTCACACCAGCTTCTGGGCACAGGTAGGTGAGTGATCCTCTGTCAGATAATCCCTTTTGCCATCTTTGTGGCCCTGGGAGTCTAAGAAAGGAGAAAGCTCTTCCTGCTTTAATGAGAATGCAGTTTATGCAGCTGTGGGCTGGGCCTTACCTCTCCCGGCACCTCTTCGTAAACCACTTCTTCTGTGTAGTACTGTAAATAGAGCACAAAGGCATTGGCAAGAGAACCAAAGCAGAAACCACCTCTCCTCTGCCTCAGCTGAACCACTTAGGTGACTGCACTAGCTCGGTTGATTTGGAATGTCTGTGGGAAAGGGGTAGGTGAGGGAGCCTGTTCATATTTTGGAACCCATCTTCACTTTGTAATACTTCAGGAAAGCTAAAGTGAATGCCATCCAAATGGACAAAGAGATGCAGAGGGCTGAGAAAAATGTATGAGGCTGTTTTTTAATCAAGAGAAGCTATTTTACTTTACTGGGACATGGAAATTTTTTTCTTATGGTCCCCAAGATAGAATTTGCTGAGAAGAGAATACAATAAGAAGATCCTGAGTGTGTGGGTTGGGCAGAGAGGAACTGTGATAAAACTCACTGTTTGCAAACTAACAATAAACTAAAACAGAAACTCGAGTGTGAATACATTTTTAAATGGATTGCATCATGGAAATAATAAGATCCCAAGGTATATCCACATCTCAATTATTCCTATACCCTCCTGATTAGTAAGTAATAAGTTTCTTCTGGAGTGATGGGTGAGTCCCTTTCAATAGTGTGATTGTCCTAAACAGAGTGGTGCTAATATGAAAACTGGTAAATGCCAAGTAATGAAGGGGAAAATGAGAAGATTCTTCATCACAAAGTGTGGGAAAGGTAGGCTGCAATTTGCCATAGTGGCTCTGAGGTCATCATGGCCTGCATGATGGATCTGCAGCCTGGATCTGAAACCAAGTCTACTTTTGTTCTACTTCTGACATCACCAGCAATAAATAGATGCAGAAAGGAACTGGTTGACACTTGGTTTCAGATGTGTAAGGAGAGAGGAATCCTGTCCTTAGCCTCACCCTGCTCTGTAGGGTGAACAGAAGGAGAGGCTCGTTTAGGCCAAGCACATGAGGAAAGGGATAAAGATGAAACACTTGGCTCATTTCTTAGTGAAAAAAAAAAAAAAAAAAAAAGGATGTAAAACACTTTATGCTTCCTTTTTCTTATCTTTAACACCAAAACATACAGCACTCAAGGGAAGGGAAAACATTAAGATGCAAAATTTCCCTCAATGGCCTGCATTCTTTTCAGTGAAGTGTCATCAAATTACTTAACCATTGTCAGTAGGCCGCCTGTGCTATTTCACCTGCGTTAACAATCGTCTAGAACTTGCCTAATGTTCCTCATTCTTGTGCTTTCTTTACTCTTGAGCTATTGTTTTAATTTAAAATCTAATTCTGCCTGTATGTCGTTACACATAGCAACAAAAATCACAAGCACTGACAGGACAGAGATTTGCTTTTTTACAGTTGTGACTTTTCAGCACATGAGAAATATCATTTGGACACTAGAAAATATTGTTTGATGCTGACGCCACATAGAGTCATTCCTCCAGTCACACAAAACATCAGTGGCTTCAGAAGAAATATTAAAATAAAATGGAAGATTCACAACTATTTTGGATTTTCTCAGCATCCAAGTTTAAAAGCAGCTCCTTGGAAACCATTCAATTTTACCTTTGCTGGGCTCTCACCATTGGTAAATCCATCTTAGAAATACGCTTATAAAAGAGGCAACATTATTTAAATGGTTGGCATTAACTTGTATGCCAAATCTCACTCTTTTTTTAGAGCTGTGCCACTAATTAGATAGTGCATCCTTGCTTCTCTCTCTTTCTTTTCAAGTTTAAGTTAGAGTAGAGAGAACAGTAAAACTTTATTTCAGATGTCCAAGATCCCAAGGAGATATATTTTTAAAGCCAGTTCTTCTCTGTTTTCTGCATATTTTTAAAGCTAGTTCCTCTCTGTTTTCTAAAATCTTCCCTGGCCATTTTTTCGAATGCACCACCCTCTTATGCTCATGATCTTTTTTGAGGTCAAAGAGATCTCAGTTCAATACTTTCTGGCAGGCAGTCTATTCGTTTATCACCTGCTGGTCAGACACAGATGCTGTAATGGGAACAAAATGGTAGGGATGGGATGTCTAAAAATAGCCACCTCCTTTTTTATGACATCTAGTTGAATCAATCAAGTCTAGCACTAAGGACAATTTCCAGTGGCAAAGGTACACAATTATTTTAAGAAAGACAAGGGATATTTAAGTTGGAGAGTAAAAACTGTTACTGGCATTATTATCATAGGGAAGACAATTTAATTTATAATTGTATTAGTGTTTGACAGTGATATTTCTGACCCTTAGGTACATAAGTAAAATGCACACTAGTGATAATATCAGCATGAAAGATGTGGTATCAGCATTTAAGCCAGAGAGGCTGAGTGTTACATTGTACGAGATTCATTCTATTTTTTCCCTCATATCCTTCAGTAATAAAAGCTATTTTATTTGTAGAATAAATAAAATTTTCTTCATCTAAATATA